>NC_000005.10:115867382-116170413 GCF_000001405.40 Homo sapiens
CTATTTTTAAAATGAATAAGAATATTGCCAAATATTACAAACAAATACTTTTAAACTAATAACTTCCATGAAAATGGTTTGTTCTCAAACATAAATCAGTCAGAGAAACTTAGAATTTTCTGTATTTTACTGTGTATGATGGATGAGAAATACTCTGGATAACAGGGAATCCATGGTCATAAGGTACTTTTTATCATGTGGAACACTTAACTTGGGTTTCCTGAAAGATTATATCATGCTGTCCTTAAATGTCCAATACATACTTACAAATTTTGCTGTTAACTCAAGGCTTCTAATTTAATAATTGAGACAAGTGTACCTGCTTCTGTTTTTGAATTTTACTTGTACTTATTTAATTTTAGTTGTCTTTGACATTACTATCACTTCCTCTCATCCTAGCCTCTTGATTTCTTATCTCCTAGGAAACTTACCACCCAGCACAGTGCACTGCATGTAAGAACTTGATTAATCTTACTAGGGTGCTATTTGAATTAGAAATTGTGGCTGGAAATTGTGATTGTTCTTTTTTAACCTTACAAAAAATAGAAAGCAAATATTGCAGCAGAGATGAGGCCTCACATCTAGTTTAATCCTAGTTTTGTCACTAACTAGCTGATTTCCTTGGACAGGTTACTTAAATTCTCAGGCCTCAGTTTTCTCCTCTATAAAATGAGTTATTTGGACTAACAGGATTTCTCAGTCCTGTGGTTTTATATGATGTATTACATTCTGTACAGGAATTTTTGTCAGTATTATACTATAGCTTAAAGATAAGATTATATTTTTAAAGGCAAAATATGTACTTGCCGCATTAATATTTTGCTTGCTTTTAATAGCATTACTGGCCTTTTTGAAACTTATATTCTTCAGAAGTTTGCTGTCCTTTTAAAGTAAAGCAAAAGTTTTAAGATAATCACTAAATCGCTGATTCAGAATGGAGTAAAGCCTCCTATTTGTGTTCTTTTTGCCTCTTTCAGGGAACAATTGCAGTCATAGTCTGTAAATATACTCTCAGAATCTTTAAATTGCATGTAGATATTTTTAAATTAAACATCTTCTCTAGAAGAGTATCTAGCATAGTAGGAAATTTTTATTCTTGTCAAAGATCATTTCTCCTTTTGCTATTAGAAGACATAGAAGTAGTATATACCTTGGGAAGTTGTTTCTACAGAACTTATAAGTTTAGTATTATTTTTACTGTGTAAGAAATAGATGCTGGCCAGGCGCAGTGGCTCACGCCTGTAATCCTAGCATTTTGGGAGGCCTAGGCGTGCAGATCTCCTGAGCTCAGGAGTTCGAGACCAGCCTGGGCAACATGGTGAAACCCCATCTCTACTAAAAGTACAAAAATCAGCCAGGTGTGGTGGTGTGCGCCTGTAATTGCAGCTACTTTGGTGGCTGAGGCAGGAGAATTGCTTGAAGCCAGGAGGCAGAGGCTGCAGTGAGCTGAGATAGCACCATTGCACTCCAGCCTGGGTGACAGAGTGAAACTCTGTCTCAAAAAGAAAGAGAGAGAGAGAGACAGAGAAAGAGAGGATGAAGGGAGGGAGGGAGGGAAGGAAGGAAGGAAGGGAGGGAGGGAGGGAGGGAGGGAGGGAGGGAGAGATGCCATTTTCCCATATTCTGTTGGGATGGATGTTAGTTTAATTTTGGTTACATATAGCCTTGATTGTAAATTATGTAAGTGTTTAGGGGTCTTTTAAGAAGGTGAATTCATTATTGTAAACTTAACTATGAAATAGCTAAACTATATTTAGAAAAATATGTTTGGAATGATTCCTAAATTATTATTTCTAAAATACTAAAATTCCAGTCATTATAAATAAAAGTATTTCATGAAAGAGTTTAGTATCTTAGCTCAGTTTTCTTGCATTTATGTCAAAACAATGTAATTTTGGAAGAGATCTTGACGGTAAATCTATCCAAAACTTAAGAAGTGTCATTCTTCTTTTTTTTCTGGTTGATAATCAGTCTTAAGCTGTGTAACTTACTGTGACGTATGGAGTTAAATCTAGTAAGCACTTACAAATGCCCCATGATCTAATTTCCGCCTACTTCTCTGACTTTATCATTTACTAATCTTTTCTTATCTACTGGCCTTTTTTCTCTTCCCTGAACATACATACTTTGTTCTTGATGAAATGTCCTTTTAGTACTTACTACCTTAGCCTGAAATGCTCTTCTCTAAATTTTTTCCAAGCCAACTCCTTATCATTAGATCTCAGCTTAAATGCCACTCTTGCTTAATATTCAGCCTGAAGTAGGGAACCCATCAATATATCATCATTGTATTTTGATTGTCAGTGTAACACTTGCCACTATCTGATGATGTTCTGATGTGTGTGTTTGTTGCTTCTTCCCCACTACCAGTGCTTGGCACATAGTAGTTACTCAGAGAATAGTTTAATGAATGAATGAACTGAAATTAAGCACTGGCTTCTTTTACTTGATGTTTCTGAAGAAAACAGCCACCTTAATTCACCTAGTCTCTGAATAAGTTCACTTAAATACTTTGCCATTGAATGTCACCTTTCATTTGACAAGTGGTTTTTAAACAAATTGTCAGTTTGCTTGAGCTAATGAAAATGATTCGCATTTTGTTTCCAATAACATTACAATTTTTTTGTCATTTAGATTAATTGGAGGATCTGACAACAAACTGATTTATAGACATTATGCAACGTTATATTTTGTCTTCTGTGTGGATTCTTCAGAAAGTGAACTTGGCATTTTAGATCTAATTCAAGTAAGTTAACACTTGCTTCTTACTATCTTAAATAACAGTTTGACATTTAAATTTTTAAAAACTTATATATTCTAAATTTTCTAAAATGATGTTAGTAAGAAATAAAGCATTTCATAATAGATATTGTGTTGGTAAAAGAGGTCAGAGGACATAGAAACAAGCAAACATTTGATCTGATTAAAACTATCATAACTAGTTTAATCATGACATTTTATCTTGCTCATGTAAGTTACAGCAAGGAGCTTAAGACTCGTGGGTTTCTTAACACATGTATCCAAAACTAACCCTAAACCCTACCTCTCCCTGTCTCCTGAAAATCTTTCATAATGTCCCTGGAACTCAAGGTCAGTCATCAGCAAATTTCTTTTTATCTTCAGCCTCTTCTGTTAATATTACTTTACATTTTGCTCTAAATTAAATCTTGCTTCCCTGATGATACTACGTGCAACCCTTTGAAGTAGTGGCCATTTTCTCTCCTGCTTCTTTCTGCCTTTGAGCCTGGAGGTGTAATCTTAGCTTCTCATTGCATTTTCCAGACCATTCTTTCTTCTCAAACACCTCCAAATTTTATCTTATGTTATCAGACTATACCACCTTCTATCCATTTAGTTATAGTCATCACTCATCTCCATCTCTCCTTCATTGGAGATTTTGTTAAGAATTGTGAAGGGTCTGAGATTTGCTCTACTTGCAAACTAAGAAGTTAACCTGCCATAATTTCATGGATGCTGGCAGAAGGCAGGAGATTTCTGGGCCAGAGACAAAGGACCTTATTACTAATAGCAAAAACATTAGCTAAAGTGACAGCATTTGCTTGCACGAATTCTCTAATTCCCAAAGGGTGATATGAAGAGGTCCAGATGATACCTGCACACACAGTGGATTAAATGACAGATGAGGAACGCCAAGTTTAGGGAACTGGAATCTTTTATAATGGATACTAAGCATGTCTGCCCTTGTTTGGAAGGAAGACTGTCTCTTCCAAGAGTGTAAGGAAACCTATCCTTTGCTGTGGAAGAAGACACTGTCTATTTTCCAGGGCTGTTTGATATACAAGCATGCTTAAAAAGATAGCCCAGAACAAAGACAGTCAATGCCTCTGCTCACAATACGTGTGGAAACACAAGATCCATCTAAAATTGTCTCCTAATAGATTTTGGTTCTTGGTTCCCTGGCATTCATTCCAGTACTGCTTGTTTTGTAATTCTTGGTGATTCCATTGTTCATATGTATAATTCTCCCAATATCCTGGTGTCTTCAAAATCTGGAACTCCTCTCTTCCAATAAATTTTGCCCTCCACTCCATCTCACTATGTACCCATTTCTAGATTTTATCTTTGTCTAAACTGTAACCCCTCCATAATCTCAATTTCACAGTTTTGAAGTCGTTAGACCTATTGCAACCCTCAGTTTTAAAAATCCATCATTTTTTTCACTCTGATTTTACTGATGTCTTACTTTCCTTATCCAGCTTAAATTTCATAATCATGGTAGTGATATAGCCTTGTGTACACTGAACTCCTTGCCCACACCCATACATCTGAACATACCTAGAGGAAAAAAAAAAGTAACCATATTTACCAGTCTCACTTTAAATTAATGATCCCTTAGCTCATTGAGTCCTTTATGCTACGCAAGAATCATTTTCTGTTTCCCCGGTCCATTTACTCTCCCATACCTCTAGATGACTACTCATACAGTCTCCTCTCTCCTAAAATATCTAGCACTTCTAGCACCTTGCTTCCCAGTGCACAGATAAAATTGGCTTTTGAAGTTAGCAAGAAGGTGGCATGGTTTGAGCTCTAGTTGGCGTTACAGAATAGACAAGAAATTAACCCAAGCAGACAACTTAGGTAACAAATTCTTAGCACTGTGGCTAAGGCTTTAAAAATAAAAACATTGTGGCCAGGTGTGGTAGTTCACACCTGTAATCCTAGCACTTTGGAAGGCTAAGCTGAGCAGATCACTTGAGCCCAGGAGTTCGAGACCAGCCTGGGCAACCCCATCTCTACAAAAATTAGACAGGCATGCTGTTCTGCACCTGTCGTCCCAATCACTTGGGAGGCTGAGGCGGGAGCCAGGGAGGATGGCTTGTAGTGAGCTGAGATTGTGCCACTCACTCCAGCCCAGGTAACAGAGTGAGACCCTGTCTCAAAAAAAATAGAAATAAAAACATTGTTAATAAAATAAAAAAGGAGATAAATGATAAATTGATCTATTTGTATGCCATATTACTCTTAAATCTGTAATTCTTAAACTGGGTTTTTGGGAGGAGCTGGGTATCAAAGTTACATGAAACCACAAGGTAATCATGGCACATATTCCTGGTATATGTTTCTTCTTTGTTTTGAAGATTGGCGGCAGTGAGGAAATGAACGTAAACATGTATATATTATGAGGTAGAATACAAATTTTTCATAATATTTAAAGCTCTAAGTGGAGACTTGAAAGAAATTTTGAGCTTGAGGTAAAGGTGCCCCAAGATCCCTTGGGTATATGTTCACTTTCCTCCTGGGGCCTACTTGAGAAACACTGCTGAGTTATGTTTTGCTTTCTCAAGGCTTTTCTAGTAAAGAAAAAGAAGCCAAATCTTACTTTTGATGACATTGAAGGGTTGATCAGGACTATATATTGCATTGCCTTGTAACTTTGTTTATTCTTACATTTCTTAGTTTATCCCACCTAGGGGAGTAGTTAATTCATTTTATCATTATGTCAAGAGAGCATTATATTTTTACAGAAAAAAAATTAATATAGAACCATGCTTTCTATTTCTCTGTTTCCCATGACTGAAGAGAGTGGTAGACATGCACACTATGTTCCAAAACACTGTTTTTATTTACCTGAGCCTAGCCACTAGAATTACAGGAAGAAAAACAGGAGAAAGTGTACCATTTCAAATTTAGTCTCTTATTGAAGAGAAATGTTGCTATTAAGAAAGACCAAAACAAATGTGTCTTTTCCTAGAGGTAAATCAGAAGTATTTTATGCTTGCGTCCTGAGATTAAGTCATCACCATTGATTATTATTTTGATGCTGTTGTTGATCTTCTTATGAGAAAGTAGTTCTATCTCCAAAGGGGATTAGATGGGGAGTTTTCAAAGAACAAACATGGTATTAATATATCATATCCAAAGTAAATTCTGTCATGTACTCGTGGAAAGTAGAAACTATCTTTTGTGTTTTGCAAAATTTTTTATCCATGCTTCACACGTTGATCACTTGTTTTGATATTAGATAACATACAGAAGAAAGGATTTCAGGAGGACTTTGTCATTTTCCGATTACTAAAGTAGGCTAGAGCTGTTTTTACAATACCCCTGAGTTACCACATGCTGATGTATTGTGTCACAAAAAAGAAGATTTCTGTAATTCACCTTATAGGTACTATGTCTGTCACTATCAGGAACATGTTGGAAGTTCTGTGGTTGTGATCTTTCCCCTTCAATTACCACAGTTCATTAAATACTGAAGAGGGAGTGTACTGAGCACACATGAGTCAGTCACTTTAAAAAACATCAGTTGAATAAACAAAGATGGAAGTGCATAGCTTATTATTTCTGCTTCTGTTTCATCAAATAGCTATTCAGAGAGAACTGATTTTCTTAATTTGTTCATCCTCTAGTTTTTAGAAAGGCAATTTTAATGTAAAAAGTAAAAGTGGAAAATTATAAACCAAGAGAGTTTACATCAAAACCTCTTGGTCTTGCATATTCTTTTAGAGAACAGATCAAGAAAACTCAATATGTAACTATTAAACCTATGCTTATAATTTTGATATTTTAAATATCAAAGTGATACCATTCATATAACTGGAAGCATATATTTTAATGCAGAGAGTTAGTGTCTCTAAGGTATGCATATGTTGTCCCAAATATGACTTTGTATCTGTATAAAATCTGGGAGAAGGCATTATTAATAAATTCGTTATGGAATTTACACCGCTATTCCACCAGTACTGAATTTACATTGGTAGTCCACAGAATTTACACCAGCTACCCAAACGAATGATCAGTTTTTGTTTTCTTTTGTTTCTTTTTAAAAATTCCTTGTAAGTTTGGAAAAAAGGGGTGGACTTTTTTTTATTGATATATACCATTTTAGTGTGATATTAACTGCTATGTATGCCATATATGCTAGAGTTAATAGCTAGCTTTTTAAGGAGTCCTTTCTGTTGTAGCATATTGTTATTGGAAGTGTTAAAATATTTACAGGATGAGAATAGAAGTTTATTAAATATTAATGTTGGGTTGAGTTATTTATAAGCAGTTGTATTGTCCTTAATTAGTTTATTATGCCAAGCTGATAATGGAGGCATATAAATTCACTGGATAATTCCAAATCTCTGTTACAGTTTTCTGTACCACATGTAACAGTAATCAGAGCATCAGTCTTATTCAGTTGTAGCTAGATTAAAAAAACAACAAAATTGAGAACTAACAGCTAAACTTTCTTTAGGTTTAGAAAGATACGTTCTGACCATGTTGTTAGAATGTATATTTAAACTGGAGCTCCATATATAATATTTGTTATTATTACAGTACTGTTAAACTACCTTTTGAGGAATTATTTTATTCATGGCTGCTAATGCTCATTTAGTATGATGTTGAGCAAGTTATTTATTCTTTATAGACCTTAATTTTTTTTTTAACTTTACATGCTTGTTTCAACATGTTGCCTACAGACAAGAGGTTGTTAGAAAGACCTGTGAATTAAAGCTATCTATTATCTTGTAGTGGTTAAAACCATTTAGCTCTGCCATATACTATGTAATTTTGGCAAGTTATTTAACCTCTTTGACCCTAACTTTCCTCATCCACAAAACAGGGATAATAATAATAACACCAATTCACAGAGTAGGTGTGAGCGTTAAAAAAAGATATTTCATGTGAAACCCATGACTAAATGATTAACATTTCAGTGGTTTTTAGCTAACATTATCACTAAAGCATATATTTGTAAGAAAGGCATATAAAATATTATTTTGTTAGTACACAAACTGAAGTAAATATGTTTTTTTTTAATCTTTCTGACTTTCTCATTGTTAGAAGCATTTTTGAATCTTTTTATCCTATATGTTGTTTGATGGCTTGGAATGAATTTTATATGACACATTTATGTGATAAGAAATAGTCTTCATTGGGGAAATTTATAAGCCAAGAATACTTAAGTGAGGAAAGGTCTCTGATCTTCCCAGCATCACCTGGCAAATTATGGCGAGGTAGGTACTTCTGACCGACTGAATATACAGTGGTGTGCCGATGAAGGCCCACCCAATTATGGTTCTCATCTATCATGATGGTAGGCCTGAAAGCACACTTGGTGGTGGGGTGACAGATACACTGTTTAAGCCTTGGGCTATGTAGGTTTGGGTACCACCTGTTTTTTAAAATTGCCTAGGAAAACCGACTGTCCAGCACTTGGAAATTGTGGGAATTTGCAACTCTCCTGTTGGAGATGAACCAACTCTTGGTCCCAGAGGAAGATGAGTTTCTGGTGCAGTTCCTCCTGCTGGAGCAAGAGGGATTCCTGGCCTAGCGAGCTTATTTTCCAGGCACTCAAGTGAATGCCCAGGATCATTTTAGGAAAATTCTGCCTCCTACATTATACTGTATTACCAGGTTATTTAAAACTTTCTGTTTTCAGTAAGATTTGTTTCTCATGTATTTTTGGGCAACCCCCAGTTTTTTTAAAATAGTTTGGGTCAGATTGTTAGAGTTGTGCAGGATTCCTAAAATTATTTTCCTGTGTTATTTTCATGCTTGAGAAGTCTGATTTCCAGCAATTGCAAATATAATAATTCTCAGTTATTTACATTGCTATTTGTGACAAATCCTGGTATCAAATTTGATGATAACTGCTTTTCTAATTTACATGTTTCATTGATGTCTTAGCAGTTCTTTTAGGAGGCATCATGGCGTCAGGTTTAGAGTGTCAGGGTGTTAGAGTCAGGTAGTATGGATTTGAATCTTGGCTCTGTCACATAACAGTTATATAACTTTAGGCAATTACTTAACCTCATCTGTCCCCAGTTTTCTTTTTTGTAAGTGCTGATATTCATACTTATCTCACCAGCATTGTTGTAAGAATTAGAACTAATTTATATAAACAATCAGCAAATGGTCTAGAATATAGTAGACACGCTTTTCTTAGTTACTTCACAGTAGTGAAGGAAGTAGTTTAGAACTCAAGTGCTTAAAGTCAGAGTTTTGGAGCTGGAAGTGACTTAAAATTTATTTTCTTCCCTTCAATGTAGGTTTAAGAGAAAAACTCAGGTTATGTTGGTCTTTTTCTTTGATTTAAGGTAAATTCATCATGTCCTAATGTAGAATGGTTGGTTTTCAGGAAGGAATTGGACATGGTGGAGAGACTCCCCAAATTTAACATTAACCACAGTACAGCTATTAACCCAAGAAATTAACATTGATACACTACTATATAATCTGTAGGCCTTGTTTACAATTTGCCACTTGTCCCATTCAAATGTCCTTTTTCTCATTCTGGATGTAATTCACACATTCCATTTAGCTGCCATGTCTTCTTAATCTCCTTTACTGTGTAACAATTCTTTAACTTTGTCTTTCATTCATGTCTTTCATATACTGATCCTTTTGATGAGTACTAGCCAGTTATTTTGATATTCCCCAATTTGGGTTTGTTTGATACTTCTTAATGATTTAGATTGTGCATTTTGGGCAAGAATACCACAGAAATAATGTTATGTCCATAGTGCATCATATCAGGAGGTATATGATGTCCATTTGTTCCACTACTTGTGATATTTGTGATGATCACTTGGTTAAGTTTGAGTCCAACAGGTTTATGCACCATAAAGTTTCATTTTCCCATGGTGCTAGTATTTTTATGGGGAATATTTGAGACTATGTAAATATACTTTTTCTAGTCATATATTTGTTAATTCATCTTAATATCTATTGATCATTCTTACCTAAAAGAATTATTAATATTTATGGTGTTTACCAAATGGTGGGGTTTTTTTCTATCATACCTCAATATTTAATAGTTGAAATTCTCCTGTGAGGAAAAGCTTTGTAATATATATATATTTTTATTGTACTTTAAGTTCTGAGATACATATGTAGAAGGTGTAGGTTTGTTACATAGGTATACACATGCCATGGTGGTTTCCTGCACCCATCAACCCGTCATCTACATTAGGTAGATGTAGGACAGCATTATCTTCTAATGCTATCCCTCCCCTAGCCCTCCACCCCCTGACAAGTCCCGGTGTGTGATGTTCCCCTCCCTGTGTCCATGTGTTCTCATTGTGCAACTCCCACTTATGAATGAGAACATGCAGTGTTTGGTTTTCTGTTCCCGTGTTCGTTTGCTGAGAGTGATGGTTTCCAGCTTCATCCATGTCCCTGCAAAGGACAGGAACTCATCCTTTTTATGGCTGCATAGTATTCCATGGTGTATGTGTGCCACATTTTCTTTATCTACTCTATCACTGATGGGCATTTGGGTTGGTTCCAAGTCTTTGCTATTGTGAACGGTGCTGCAGTAAACATATGTGTGCATGTGTCTTTATAGTAGAATGATTCGTAATCCTTTGGGTATATACCCAGTAATGGGGTTGCTAGGTCAAATGGTATTTCTGGTTCTAGATCCTTGAGGAATCACCACACTGTCTTCCACAGTGGTTGAACTAATTTACACTCCCACCAACAGTGTAAAAGCGTTCCTGTTTCTTCACATCCTCGCCAGCATCTGTTGTTTCCTGACTTTTTAATGATCGCCATTCTAACTGAATGAGATGGTATCTCATTGTGGTTTTGATTTGCATTTCCATAATGACCAGTGATGATGAGGTTTTCTTCATATGTGCGTTGACTGCATAAATGTCTTCTTTTGAGAAGTTTCTGTTTATATCCTTTGCCCACTTTTTGATGGGATTGTTTGCTTTTTCCTTGTAAATTTGTTTAAGTTCCTTGTAGATTCTGGATATTAGCCCTTTGTCAGATGGCTAGATTGCAAAAATTTTCTCCCATTCTGTAGGTTGCCTGTTCACTCTGATGATAGTTTCTTTTGCTGTTCAGAAACTCTTTAGTTTAATTAGATCCCATTTGTCAATTTTGGCTTTTGTTGCAATTGCTTTTGGTGTTTTAGTCATGTAGTCTTTGCCCATGCCTATGTCCTGAATGGTATTGCCTAGGTTTTCTTCTAGGGTTTTTATGGTTTTGGGTCTTACGTTTAACTCTTTAATCCATCTTGACTTAATTTTTGTATAAGGTGTAAGGAAGGGGTCCGCTTTCAGTTTTCTGCATATGGCTAGCCAGTTTTCCCAACATCTATTAAACAGGGATCTTTTCCCCATTTCTTGTTTTTGTCAGATTTACCAAAGGTCAGATGGTTGTAGATGTGTGGCATTATTTCTGAGGCCTCTGTCCTGTTCCCTTGGTGTGTATACCTGTTTTGGCACCAGTACCATGCTGTTTGGGTTACTCTAGCCTTATAGTATAGTTTGAAGTCAGGTATTGTGATGCCTTCAGCTTTATTCCTTTTGTTTAGGATTGTCTTGGCTGTACAGGCTCTTTTTTGGTTCCATATGAAGTTTAAAGTACTTTTTTGTAATTCTGTGAAGAAAGTCAATGGTAGCTTGATGGGGATAACATTGAATCTATAAATTACGTTGGACAGTGTGGCCATTTTCACGATACTGATTCTTCCTATCCATGAGCATGGAATGTTTTTCCATTTGTTTGTGTTCTGTCTTATTTCCTTGAGCAGTAGTTTGTAATTCTCCTTGAAGAGGCCCTTCACATCCCTTGTAAGTTGTATTCCTAGGTATTTTATTCTCTTTGTAGCAATTGTGAATGGGAGTTCACTCCTAATTTGGCTCTCCGTTTGTCTATTATTGGTGTATAGGAATGCTTGTGACTTTTGCACATTGGTTTTGTATCCTGAGACTTTGCTGAAGTTACTTATCAGCTTCAGGAGATTTTGGGCTGAGACTATGGAGTTTTCTAAATATACAATCATGTCATCTGCAAACAGAGACAGTTTGACTTTCTCTCTTCCTCTATGAATACAGTTTATTTCTTTCTCTTGCCTGATTGCCCTGGCCAGAACTTCCAATACTGTGTTGAATAGGAGTGGTGAGAGAGGGCATCCTTGTCTTGTGCCAGTTTTCAAAGGGAATGCTTCCAGCTTTTGCCCATTCAGTATGATATTGGCTATGGTTTTGTCATAAATAGCTCTTATTATTTTGAGATATGTTCCATCTATACGTAGTTTACTGAGAGTTTTTAGTGTGAAGGGGTGTTGAATTTTATCAAAGGCCTTTTCTGCATCTATTGAAATAATCATGTGGTTTTTGTGACTGGTTCTGTTTATGTGATGGATTACGTTTATTGATTTGCGTATGTTAAACCAGCCTTGCATCCCAGGGATGAAGCCGACTTGATTGTGTTGGATAAGCTTTTTGATGTGCTGCTAGATTCGGTTTGCCAGGATTTTATTGAGGATTTTCGCATCAATGTTCATCAGGGTTATTGGCCTAAAATTCTCTCTTTTTTCTTGTGTCTCTCTCAGGCTCTGGTATCATATCAGGATGATGATGGCCTCAAAAAATGAGTTAGGGAGGAGACTCTCTTTTTCCATTGATCGGAGTAGTTTCAGAAGGAATGATACCATCTCCTCTTTGTGCCTCTGGTAGAATTCGGCTGTCAACCTGTCTGGTCCTGGGCTTTTTTTGGTTGTTAGGCTATTAATTACTGCCTCAATTTCAGAACTTGTTATTGGTCTGGTTCAGAGATTCGACTTCTTCCTGGTTTAAGTCTTGGGAGGGTGTATGTGTCCAGGAATTTATCCATTTCTTCTAGATTTTCTAGTTTATTTGCGTAGAGTTGTTTATAGTATTCTCTGATGGTAGTTTGTATTTCTGTGGGATCAGTAGTGATATCCCCTGTATAATTTTTTATTGTGTCTATTTGATTACCCTTTTCTTCTTTATTAGTCTGGCTAGTGGTCTATATATTTTGTTAGTCTTTTCAAAAAACCAGCTCCTGGAGTCATTGATTTTTTGAAGGGTTTTTCATGTCTCTGTCTCCTTCAGTTCTACTCTGATCTTAGTTATTTCTTGTCTTCTGCTAGCTTTTGAATTTGCTCTTGCTTCTCTAGTTCTTTTAATTGTGATGTTAGGGTGTCGATATTAGATCTTTCCCGCTTTCTCCTGTGGAGATTTTAGTGCTATGAATTTCCACTGAAACACTGCTTTAGCTGTGTCCCAGAAATTCTGGTACATTGTATCTTTGTTCTCATTGGTTTCAAAGAACTCATTTATTTCTACCTTAATTTCATTATTTACCCAGTAGTCACTCTGGAGCAGGTTGTTCAGTTTCCATGTAGTTGTAAGGTTTTGAGTGAGTTTCTTAATCCTGAGTTCTAATTTGATAGCACTGTGGTCTGAGAGTCTGTTCATTATGATTTCTGTTCTTTTGCATTTGCTGGGGAGTATTTTACTTCCAATTATGTGGTCAATTTTAGAATAAGTGTGATGTGGTGCTGAGAAGAATGTATATTCTGTTGATTTGGGGTGGAGCATTCTGTAGATGTCTATTAGGTCCACTTGGTCCACAGCTGAGTTGAAGTTCCGAATATCCTTGTTAATTTTCTGTCTTGTGGATCTGTCTAATATTGACAATGGGGTGTTAAACTCTCCCACTATTATGTGGGAGTCTGAATCTCTTTGTATGTTTCTAAGAACTTGCTTTATGAATCTGGGTGCTCCTGTGTTGGGTGCATATATATTTAGGAAAGCTAGCTCTTCTTGTTGGGTTGATCCCTTTACCATTATGTGATGCCCTTCTTTGTCTTTTTTGATCTTTGTTGGTTTAAAGTCTGTTTTATTGGAGACAAGGATTGCAACCCCTGCTTTTTTTTTTGCTTTCCATTTTCTTGGTAAATATTCCTCCATACCATTATTTTGAGCCTGTGTGTGTCTTTGCACGTGAAGGGGTCTTCTGAATACAGCACACTGATGGGTCTTGACCTTTTATCCAGTTTGCCCATCTGTGTCTTTTAATTAGGGTATTTAGCCTGTTTACATTTAAGGTTAATATTGTTTTGTGTGTATTTGATCCTGTCATTATGGTGCTAGCTGGTTATTTTGCCTGTTAGTTGGTGCAGTTTCTTCATAGTGTCAATGGTCTTCACAATTTAGTATGTTTTTGCAATGGCTGGTACCGGTTTTTCCTTTCCATATTTAGTGCTTCCTTCAGGAGCTCTTGTAAGGCAGGCCTGGTGGTGACAAAATCTCTCAGCATTTGCTTGTCTATAAAGGGTTTTATTTCTCCTTCACTTATGAAGCTTAGCTTGGCTGGATATGAAATGCTGGGTTGAAAATTCTTTAAGAATGTTGAATATTGACCTCCACTGTTTTCTGGCTTACAAGCCAGCAGGGTTTCTACAGAGAGATCTGCTGTTAGTCTGATGGGCTTCCCTTTGTGGGTAACCCAACCTTTCTCTCTGGCTACCTTTAACATTTTTTCCTTCATTTCAACCTTGGTGAATCTGACGATTATGTGTCTTGGGGTTGCTTTTCTCGAGGAGTAACTTTGTGTTCTCTGTATTTCCTGAATTTGAATGTTGGCCTGCCTTGCTAGGTTGGGGAATTCCTCCTGGATAATATCCTGAAGGGTGTTTTCCAACTTGGTTCCATTCTCCCTGTCACTTTCAGGTACACCAATCAAACATAGATTTGGTCTTTTCATGTAGTGTCATATTTCTTGGAGACATTGTTTGTTCCTTTTCATTCTTTTTTCTCTAATCTTGTCTCCAAGCTTTATTTCATTAAGTTGAGCTTCAATCTCCGATATCCTTTCTTCTGCTTGATTGATTTGGCTATTGATACTGTGTGTGCTTCATGAAGTTCTCCTGCTGTGTTTTTCAGCTCCATCAGGTCATTTATGTTCCTCTCTAAACTGGTTATTCTAGTTAGCAATTCCTCTGACCTTTTATCAAGGCTCTTAGCTTCCTTGCATTGGGTTAGAACATGCTCCTTTAGCTCAGAGGAGTTTGTTATTACCCACCATCTGAAGCCTACTTCTGTCAATTCATCAAACTCATTCACCTTCCAGTTTTGTTCCCTTGCTTTTGAGGAACTGTGGACCTTTGGAGGAGAAGAGGCAGTCTGGCTTTTGGAATTTTCAGACTTTTTGCACTGGTTTTTCCTCATCTTTGTGGATTTATCTACCTTTGGCCTTTGGTGTTGGTGACCTTCAGATGGAGTTTTTGTGTGGACATCCTTATTGTCCTTGTTGATGCTATTCCTTTCTGATTGTTAGTTTTCCTTCTAACAGGCCCCTCTGCTGCAGGTCTTCTGGAGCTTGCTGGAGGTCCACTCCAGACCCCGTTTGCCTGGGTATCACCAGAGGAGGCTGCAGAACAGCAAAGATTGCTGCCTGTTCCTTCCTCTGGAAGGTTCGTCCCAGAGGGGCACCCGCCAGATGCCAGCCAGAGCTCTCCTGTATGAGATGTCTGTTGACCCGTGCTGGGAGGTGTCTCCCAGTTAGGAGGCACGGGGGTCAGGGACCCGCTTGAGGAGGCAGTCTGTCTCTTATCAGAGCTCGAGCACTGTGCTGGGAGATCTGCTGCTCTATTCAGAGCTGGCAGGCATGAACGTTTAAGTCTGCTGAAGCTGTGCTCACAGCCACCCCTTCCCCCAGGTGCTCTGTCCCAGGGAGATGGGAGTTTTATCTATAAGCCCCTGACTGGGGCTGTTGCCTTTCTTTCAGAGATGCCCTGCTCAGAGAGGAGTAATCTAGAGAGGCAGTCTGGCCACAGTGACTTTGCCATGTTGTGGTGGGCTCTGCCCAGTTTGAACTTCCAGGTGGGTTTGTTTACACTGTGAGGGGTAAACCGCCTACTCAAGTCTCAATAATGGCAGACGCCTCTGCCCCGACTAAGCTCCAGCATCCCAGGTTGACTTCAGACTGCTGTGCTGGCAGCAAATATTCAAGCCAGTGGACCTTAGCTTGCTGGGCTCCATGGCGGTGGGATCCACTGAGTGAGCTAGACCACCTGGCTCCCTGGCTTCAGCCCCCTTTCCAGGGGAGTGAACGGTTCTGTCTCACTGGTGTTCCAGGTGCCTCTAGGGTATGAGAAAAAACTCCTGCAGCTAGGTTGGTGTCTGCCCAAACGGCCACCCAGTTTTGTGCTTGAAACCCAGGGACCTGGTGGTATAGGCACCCGAGGGAATCTCCTGGTCTGCGGGTTGCAAAGACCATGGGAAAAGTGTAGTATCTGGGCTGGGTGGCACCATCCCTCACAGCACAGTCCCTCACAACTTCCCTTGGCTACAGGAGGGAGTTCCTCAACCCCTTACGCTTCCTAGGTGAGATGATGCCCCACCCTGCTTCTGCTCACCCTTTGTTGGCTACACTCGCTATCTCACCAGTCCCAATGAGATGAGCCAGGTACCTCGGTTGGAAATGCAGAAATCACCCGCCTTCTGCGTTGATCTCGCTGGGAGCTGCAGACTGGATCTGTTCCTATTCGGCCATCTTGCCATCCACCTCCTTTGTAATATTTTTACTCTTTTAAAGTCACTGCTCAAAATATCAATCATACCATATTCAACTATAGGTAGAAGAATGTATTTTTAGGCGAAATACCATTTTAAAAATCAGCTTTTGCTTGGGAGTTTAAATATAGTTTTGACAATTTATATCAATATGAGCTTTAAAAAATGTTCTCAGGAGTAGTTTTGTACACAGAAAGAAATTATTCAGAGGTTACTTTCAGTTTTAATAATACTTATTAACCTTAACAAATTCATAAACCCGGTTCTTTCTTAGAATTCTAAATTCAACATACAAATCAAATTAAGTCGCTTAAATGGAGGGACTGAAACAATTAAATTTCCTATAGTACAAGCACTCCTCACTTTGCAGATTACCATGGTAATAATTCATGTTTATAGAAACCATGTTTATCACTTTGCACAGTTCAGTGGTTGCTGAGATCTATTAATGTGGTACCCTATAAAACAAGCAGTGCCTGTATTTTAAACGGAATTTATATATTTAATATGTTTTATTTTTATGCTCATATTTTGGCATACTTTCTCAAATTTTTAAATATCTCTTAATTTTTAGAAGTTCATATATTATGGTTACTCTTAAGTTATCTTAAGTATTCTAATAGTGTAGGCAAATTTTCCTTTACTTTTCAGCTTAAAAAGTCAGGTGGATCACGAGGTCAGAAGTTTGAGACCAGCCTGGCCAACATGGTGAAACCCCGTCTCTACTAAAGATACAAAAAATTAGCCGGGCATGGTGGTGCGCGCCTGTAATCCCAGCTACTTGGGAGGCTGAGGCAGGAGAATCACTTGAACCCCAGGCGGGGAGGGGAGTGGAGGTTGCTGTGAGTTGAAATCACACCTTTGTACTCCAGCCTGGGTGACAGGGTGAGACTTCGTCTCCAACAACAACAACAAGAAAAATCCCATTCCAATTGGATATTCACGTTTACATAGATTTATAAAAGCCTAGTCTGTTAAGTATTCTTACAATACCACATTTTTTAAGGCTTAAGTATTTAAATATCAACTATACAGAGTCTTTCTAAACTTAACATGAAAATATTAATATTATAGGTTCACATCATAATTTCTGTTACTTTAAATTTTTCTGGGTTAAAAAATCACTTAACTAGTAAGGCAACCATTTTTTTTTCCTAGTTTCTGAGGTTATTACATGTTGACTTGAGAGGCCCTGGCCTGATCCCAAGACTGATTCTTTACTAACACACTGATAGGAACACTGATACAGACATTCTATCACATAGAAAAATGGTTGATCTCAGAGTTCTTCCTGGGTTGAAATCATAGCCATATAACTTAATATTATGAACTTAACTATTATTACTTCTTTCTACTTCCAGAAGTCTGCACTAACATGACGGCCAGCATAATTTACCATGTTAGTTGTATTTCCATTTCTTCTGCTTTCTTGAGATATTTCATTATCTTCCTCCTGGTTCCAAAGACAACATTAATGACTTTCCATTTGTATTAGTCAGTGTTCTCCAGAGAGACAGACCTGACAGGATATATGTATATATGAAGGGGAGTTAGTTTATTAGGGAGAATTGGCTCACACAATCACAAGGCAAAGTCCTACAATAGGCCGTCTGCAAGCTGGGGAAGAAAGAAGCCAGTAGTGGCTCAGTCCGAGTCCAAAAGCCTCAAAAACAGGGAAGCCAACAGTGCAGCCTTCAGTCTGTGGTCAAAGGCCAGAGAGTTCCCTGGCAAACCACTGGTGTAAATCCAAGAGTCCAAAGGCTGAAGAACCTGGAGTCTGATGTTTCAGGGCAGGAGGAACCAAAGGAAGCAATCAGTATGGGAGAAAGATGAAAGCCAGAAGACTCAGCAAGCAAGGTTATTTAACCTTCTTTTGCCTGCTTTGTTCTAGCCACGCTGGCAGCCAGTTGGATGGTGCCCACCCACATTGAGGGCAGGTTTTCCTCTCCCAGTCCACTGACTCAAATGTCAATCTCCTCTGGCAACACCCTCAAAGACACACCCAGAAACAATACTTTACCAGCTATCTAGGCGTCCTTCACTCAAGTTAACAGCTAATATTAACCATCACCGTGTTGAATACTTTTGTTAATTTATTTTGTTCTCCTTAAATTTTATCATTTGATTTAGGTGGATGAAATACTTTAAAGAATGGTGTGAAAAGCCTGTGTTTGTAGTTAGTTCTTTTTCTATTTCTTCACTTAAAAGGAAGTTTTGAATGAGATTTTAACTGTTAACAGTAGATTTATGTGGGTGCTGTAAGTATGGACAGTTCAAATTTTTGCTTTATACTTTTCTGTATTTTCCATATTTTCTAAATGATCACTTCTTACTACATTAGAAATAATATATTATTTGTTGTTGATGTGGGTTCTGGAATTAGATTTTTGAGATTTGAATCAGGACTCTACCATTAAGTGTTAGTGGTTAACCTTTTGCTTTAGATTACTCTTCTGCAAATGGTTGATGATAAAAGTAGTTGCCTTATGGGATTACTGCAAAGGCTCAAATAAAATAATATACTTAAAGCAGTCGGAACAGTGGTAATGCCACAATACTGTGTAGAGTTGACTCTTGAACAACACAGGTTTGAACTGTGTGGGTCAACTTATACACAGATTTTTTAAGATAAAGATTACACTGAGTGTACCTGCCTCTCGTGCCTCCCATTCCACCTCCTCCACTTCTTCCACCTCTGCCACCCCTGAGACAGCAAAACCAACCCCTCATCTTCCTTAGTCTACTCAATGTGAAGACGAAGATAAAGATATTTATGATGAACCATTTCCACTAAATGAAGAGTAAATATATGTTCTCTTCCTTATGATTTTCTTAATAACATTTCTTCTCTAGCTCGTTTTATTGTAAGATTGCAGTATAGAATACATATAACAAAAAATGTGTACTAGTCGACTGTTTATGTTATCGGTAAGGCTTCTGGTCAACAGCAGGCCATTGTAGTTAGGTTTTTAGTGAGTCAAAAGTTGTACGCAGATTTTCAACTGTGTGGAGAGTCAGCATCCCAACCCCACTGTTGTTCAAAGATCACCTGTACCAAGTAAATGCTAGCTGTTATTATAATTAACTTTCTATAAATCACAGAGAAGGAATCATTAATGTAAACTCTTTCAGAATTATTATGACATGATATAGAAGGTAGATGGTCCTTTCTTCAGCTCTTAATTTCTCTATATTGACGTTGAGTTCATTATGTGTTAAGTGCATGGTACATAGTAAATGCACAATAAATGACTGTTTTTGCTAACATTGTCATCACTGGCATGTGAGTGTCCAAGTGAGGTTTAATAGAAATCCAGTCCAGAATGCAGTCATATATTGAGTCAAGTGCTATTTACATATCTTAAACACCATACTTTAAAGATTCTTAATAGTACATGCAGTGGGTACCTATTGGAGAGTGTACCTAGGCTACATTCATAATTGTTCTTCAAAGGTAAATGATGTGATTTTACGTTCAGTTTGTCTTCCCTAGCTCTGCTGGTACATTCAATATTTGTAATGGTATTTTTTAGTTATTGGTTTGAGTTAAACCAAGATATTTCTCTCTAGAACATCTTGCTGGTGATAAAAAAATAATTTTTTGGCTTCAGCATATTAGTATCCTTAAATTTATGCCTCCTATTTTTGCACTAAAGACTTTTCGTATCTTATAACATGTCAGTGTAACCCTTTTTTTTTTTCATTTATTATTGTAGATTCAAAACAGCAGGATCTGTTTCTCCTGAATTTTAACAGAAATTTCTAAACCCAGAAACCAATTTTTTTTTTTACTTAGAAACTCAAAAAGGGGTCTGCCAAATAAGTGGTATTGTTTAAGGGTAATTTGTGGTATTTTTATTTTATCTTGTGTACATTTTTATTTCTCCGTGTGTTTGGTATTATAATACTAGCTAATGTATATTGAGTGTTTTCTTTTGTGAGACATTGTTGTAAGCCCTTTATATTTATTCATTTAATCACTAAAACAACTCTATGATATAGTTACCATTATTATGCCCAGATAAGAAACTGAGGCTTAGTGTTAAATAACTTGCCCTGGATCTCAGAGTTAGAGGCAAGGCTAGAATTTAAGTATACACATGCTAAAGTTTGTGCTCTTGAGTACTAACTACAAAGCTGTCATATAATAGATACCTGTTACTCTTTGTGGCCTGGATGTATAGGTTACTCTTTGTGGCTTGGATGTAAAGATAAAGAAAACACAAGCATGTTTTATAACTAGAATAGCATGGGAAAGGAGGACTCTTTATATTTGGAGGAGGCATTTTTCGAAATCTATTTACTTTTTATATTTATTTTTTGAATACTAGGTAATTAAAATGCAGGACAATTTAAAATATTATTCTTTTTGTAAATTGGAAGTAATTTTTCTCCCACCAGCTTTTGAATTCCTTGAGGACAGAGTTTAGGTCTTTGGTTTTATATCCCTGGCACCTGAGTAGCTACTCAGTAGTAGTTAGATACCTGTTATATTGAAATTGGCTTTAAACTTTATATCATTTTAAAGTTGAAGCACAAGAGGGTGCTGTTTACTATGATACTTCTAGGTCTTAGCTCCTTTTATCTTTCTACTTGTGAAATAATAATGCAACAGCAATTTTTTTATTGTTGTTATGGTTAGAACCATCGAGACTCTAATTTTTCCCCCTTAATTTCTTCACTTCAGATTGTCAGTTATTTGTTTTTTGTTGGCCTTGTGCATGTAACAGATCATCAGTGTGTGATGGACCTTAGGGCTCTAGATTTCTGATGATATTAAATAATTTTTGCTAAATCAAAAGAAAATTAGAAAGTCTTTTGAAGAAGGTTTGTTGATTTTTTAAAACTGAACAGAGTATCTGAGTGCTTTAAATTTTAAGAATTTTTTTCATAAATTAATAACATGCAGTTATAATGACATTTTGTTGCAGGGTACTTTTTTTATAGTATTCACATTTTTTTACATGTGATATTGTTCTGGATTAAATGTGGACAGCATTTTTTTCTTCCTAAGTTAACAAATTACAGTGTCTTGGTAGTTGTGGCATGTAGTTATCTTCCTTTTATATCAGTATTTATCAGCAGAATTATAATTTTCTATTTCTATTTTAATTTTATAATTATCATGTATTTTGAACAGCCAGATAAATAATTCTGGCTGCCATTTATTAAATGGGTCTTCGGAACTGTGCTGGGCACTCTATCTAAATTGTTTAACTCAATTTTTATGATAATCCAGAAAAGTAAGTAGTTTTATCTCTATCTTATAGTTCTGAGATTTAAAGGAGTTAAATGATACTTGAGGCCACAGAGCAGGGATTTGAAGGCATGTATGTCTTCCTGGTTTCAAAGCATGTATCCTCAACACAGTACTGTGCTGCCTCTATAGGCAACCCATGTTTTTTACCACTCCATACTTTACCAGAGGCACACTTAATGCTATCACGAACTTTTTTTTCTTTTTTGCCCAATATAATCTGCACATTTAGTAGGTTCTGCTGATCTTTTATAAATACATGTAAGTGAAGGGGAACTATTTAGACAGCATTTTTACCAAGATGGTCTTCTCATGGTTAAAAAAGTATGACTGCAACATATAGGTAATCAATGGAACTAGAAAAATTAAGAAAGAAAAAATAAAGGCATACTGGAAATTGTATTCTGATTAGTAAATCTAATAATGATTTAAAATCAAGTAAGACCACTCCACGTCATACACAGAAATCAATTTCAGATAAATTTGGTCCAAACATGAAGAGTAAAATAATAAAGCTTTTGTTTTCTTCTGAGTGAATCTCTTTCCTGACCTTGCTGTAAGCCAAGATTCCTTAAAGTGGACATAAAACAATGTTAACTACAAAGAAGAAAACTGAAAAATTGGATTTTATTGGAATGGAAAAATTCTGTTCTTCCAAGGGCACTGTTAGGAGAATGAAAAGGCAAGCCACAGAACTGGCAAAGGTATTTGTAATACATATGACAAAAGACTGTAGCTAGACTATATAAAGAATTCCTATACATCAATAAGAAAATACAGACCCTTGTAATCCCAGCTACTCAGGTGTCTGAGGTGGAAGGATTGCTTGAGCCCAGGAGTTTGAGACCAGCCTGGGCAACATAGTGAAACCATGTCTTTAAAAAAAAATGATAAAAAGACCAATAGAAAATGAGCAGAAATCTTGAACAGGCATTATGAAAATAGATATCTAAATGGGTAATACAAATGAAAAGGTACGCAGTCTTATATCAGAGAAGTACAAATTAATACCATCATATACCACCACACACCCTTGAGTATGGTTAAAGTTAAAAGATGGATAACATAAGGTGGTGAAAAGGCTATGGAACTACAGAAACTCTCATATACTGCTATTTAAAGTCTAAGTGCGTATAATCGTTTTGAAAGTCTATTTGACACTGTATACTAAAGCTTAACCTACACGACTCTTTGACCTAGCAGTTCTACTCCAAGTATACAATCAGTAGATATGTGTATACGTATATATATGTTCACTAAAAGATGTGTAAGAAATGTTCTTAACAGTACTAATTGTAATGGCACCATACTGGAAACAACACAAATTTATGTCACCAGTAGAATGGACACACTGTGATATTCTAATTCAGTGGCATACTGTACAACTAAGAATGATTAGCTGTTGTATTATGTAATAACCTGAATAAATCTCACAAAAAATAACAATGAATAAAAGAAGCCACTCACAAAAGAGCATGTATCCTATAATCTCATTTTAATATGGTTCAGACATAGATAAAATGTATTCATAGTGTTAGGAAGTTGGGTATTGGTTACCTTTGATGGTTGATAAGTGACTGATGGACTCTGAGAAGGCTTCTATAATGCTGGTAATGTTAAAACATGATTTGAGTGTTGATTATACAGAAAAATTTATGTTATATGTTATGATTTTTGTACTTTTCTATGTGTATGTTACACTTAAGTAAATACTTAGGTGGGGGTGGAACTTAAGTGGCTTTATTTTCCATAACTTTTAACTATGATTTTCTAAATAAGTATTCAAATGATTTCTAAGTTAAAGACTATTTTAAAAGTAAATATTTTCTTCTTTCTCAATGGAAATGTCACCAGTAACTTGAGTTGTTTCCGGAGCTCTGGTATCATCCCAGGCTGTCTAGTTTCTTTAAGCAGATGTGCCCATTAATAGGGGTCTAGGAAAAGACCTTTCCCAGCTGTTTCATCAGGGCTGCCCTGGTAACAGTGAAAATTTTCCTCTCTTCACTCCTATTATTACTCTCTCCAAAAAGTTAATATTTGTTAATTGCTTACTCTGTGTTCAAGCAGCATTACCCCATTCAGTCCTCATAACAGGAGTCTGTTGTATCAAAGAGGAAAAATGTATCTGAATTAGTTAGAAATAGAATGAGTAAAGTCATTTCAGGCACCATGTCACCAGGGCCTTGAGGAGAAATAGATAAAGTTGGGAGTTTGGGTGGATACTAAATGATACTAATTTTTTACCTACCAAAAAATTAAACTAAAATCTCACTTGTGGCTGACCTGTTGTAAAGGGAACATACAAGATTTTTTTTGCCTCTACTTCCACAGTCACTCAGTACAATACATCTGACACCAGATATTTGGGAGTTTGTCCCCCACACACCAAGCAGTTCTCCTGCTGGGTGTCCTGTAATTCAGTGCTGACAGTATCTACGTGGGGATAGTATCAGATCCCATGACACAGTCCCACAAGGCTGCCCCCACTTCAGATGCCAGTTGCAAGTAGTAGGTTGTGACCTGTACTTTTGATTGAGTGATGGTAAATTGGGATTCTTGTGACCCCCCTCCTCAGTTTGATTAATTTCTCAGAGCACTTTACAGAACTCAGGGGAACACATTTACCCACTTATTATAAAGAATATTACAAAGGATACAGATGGGTGGGACCCTCATGGAGAACCTCTACTAGGGCAGTGTGGAAGGGAAATGTGGGGTCAGAGCCCCCACACAGAGTCCGTACTGGGGCACTGCCTCGTGGAGTTATGAGAAGAGGGCCATGATCCTCCAGACCCCAGAATGATAGATCCACTGACAGCTTGCACTGTATTCCTGGAAAAGCCACAGACGCTCAACACCAGCCTGTGAAAGCAGCCAGGAGGGAGGCTGTACCCTGCAAAGCCACAGGGTTGGAGCTGCCCAAGGCCGTGGGAGCCCACCTCTTGCATCAGAGTGACCTGGATGTGAGACATGGAGTCAAAGGAGATCATTTTGGAGCTTTAAGATTTGACTCCCCCACTGGATTTCAGACTTTCATGCACCCTAATAATTTAACCAAAAAATGGGCAAAAGATTTGAATAGACATTTCTCAAAAGAAGACATACAAATGCCAAACAGGCATATGAAAAGGTGTTCAACATCATTGATCATCAGGGAAATGTAAATCAAAACTGCAGTGAGATATCATCTCATTCCAGTTAAAATGGCTTATTTGCAAAGTCAGGCAATAATAAATGCTGGCAAGGATGTGGAGAAAAGGGAACCCTTGTACACTTGGTGAGAACATAAATTAGCACAGCCACCATGGGGAGCGGTTTGGAGGTTCCTCAAAAAACTAAAAATAGAGCTACCATAGGATCCAGCTCACTGCTGGGTATATATTCAAAAGAAAAGAAATCAGTGTGTCAAAGAGATATCTGCACTCCCATATTTGTTGCAGCACTGTTTAGAATATCCAAGATTTGGAAGCAACCTAAGTGTTCATCAGCAGACGAATAATGGATAAAGAAAATGTGGTACATATACACAATGGAGTACGAGCAAAAAGAATGATATTGTCATTTGCAGCAACATGGATGGATAGAACTGGAGATCTTTATGTTAAGTGAAAGAAGCCAGACACAGAAAGACAAACATCATATGTTCTCCTTACTTTTAGGATCTAAAAGTCAAAACAGTTGAACTCATGGACATAGAGAGTAGAAGGATAGTTGCTAGAGACTTGGAAGGGTAGTGGAGGGTTGGAGAAAGGTGAAGATGGTTGTGGAGATGGTTAATGGATAAAAAAAATAGAATGAATAAGACCTACTATTTGATAGCTCAATAGGGTGATTATAGTCAATAATCATTGAATTGCACATTCAAAAATAAGTAAAAATGTATAATTGGATTGTTTGTAACACAAAGGATAAATGCTTGAGGGGATGGATACCCCATTTTCCTTGAAGTGATTATCATGCATTGCATGCCTGTATCAAAACATCTCATGTACCCCACAGATATATATACCTATTGTATACCCACAGAAATTAAAATAAATTATAGCTAGACAAAATTAACTGTATATATTAACTATAATAATTTTGTTGTCACCTCCTTGTGGTGAGGTCAAGTGTTTTGAGTATCTGCTTAAATTGCTATGTCCTGCTAATAATTTCCCCATAAGCAAAAAGTAATCCCTTCTGGTTCTTGTGTATTTTTCATCATGTTTACTCAATATCGTAATCCTTGAATAACACCACAGTAACTCCCATACCAAGTGCCACTAGCGATGGTGGAAGTGCCCCCAAGAAGCAGAGAGTGTCATGACATTACCAGCAAAAGTTGAATCACTTGATATGTACCTTAGATTGAAATCTGCAGCTGTGGTTGCTTTCCATTTCAAGATAAGTGGATGTAGCATATAGACCATTGTACAACAAGAAAAGGAAATTTTTAGGAAATTTCATGAAGTCGTACCCCAGCAGGCATGAAAACGTTATTTCACATTTTTTGCGAAATATGAAATATGTGTTAATCAACTATGTCATTGGTAAGGTTTCCATCGATAGTAAACTATTAGTAGATTTGGGGAAGTCAAAGTTAGGCATGGATTTTCAACTGCCTGGAAGGCTGGAGTCCCTAACCCTACGTTGTTCAAGGATGAACTGTAGTTACATGTCCACTTAGCCATCTAACATTGATGCCAGGAAGAAACCTTAGATTGTGGATTTGTAGAAACGTGCCCTACATAGGAGCAACTATAGCAAGAAGCCTCTTGTTTACATTTTACCCCTTTCCCCATAGGATCACCTGTGAATAGTGGGATGACTATTCATTTCAATAAACTAGGGATAGTCCTGGTTTATAGCTGTTGTTCCAGGCTGTTATTACATTATAATAATGTTGCATACTATTATATAATTTATTATTAATAGCTGTTCCTTTTTACTTTTAATACTACCCCATTTAGGATAATAAATTACATGGTCCCTTTATCTTAAGTTACCACTGAAAAGGGTGGTGAGAATAGAAATGGGAATAGAATAGTCAGTGACAACTATGCAAGTTGGAATTTAAGAGATTGATTTTTGAAGGTTTGCATCAGAGATCATCAGGATCATCTCAATGATTTACTGGGATGCACTGGACTCAGAAGTTGCTATATGCATGCTATGGTTTATTATAGTGAAAGGATACAGAGTAAAATCAGCAAAGGCACATGGGATGAAGTCTGGAAGACTCCAGTTGCAAGCTGTCAGGTGTTCCTTTCTACTGGAGTTACACAGGACATGCTTAATTTCCCCCAAAATATGTCATAATGTGTACAGAGTATTCCCAACCAGGGATGTTTACCCTGGGGGTCAGTCACATAGGTATGTCATGCCTGCATGACTGACCTTGGCTACTTAAGCTTCAGATCCTCGGAGAAAAAGCAGGCATTCACTATAAATCACATTATTAACATGAAGTACCTGCTCAAATTGGTACAGCATGGCCCAAGACCTCCAGCATACAAAAACACTCTAATCAGACAACTTTCTGAAAGGTTGGAGCTTAGTTCTCAGGAGCTGGCCAAGGGCTAGTCCTGAAAACAGTCCATTTATGGGAATGTGCAGAGTTTGAGCAACGCAAGCCTGCTGAGGTGACTCTTCCCACGAGGTCATACAAGTTATTCAGTTTAGAGTTTGGACCCAGGTAAGTCTGATTCCAAAGTCTGTGCTTTTTCGCTAAGTAGTTTTTAGTGGTCTTTTATACTGATTTGATAATTAAAAATTACTGGCTGCATTAGATATAGTAGGGACTTGGACTGTGCCTTACCTCTCTTGATGGATATTTCCTAATGAGCTTTCTTCCCCCTCACATTAAAATAAGGAGGCTTAGTTGAGTATTTTTAAGTGCTTTTGTAAGAAATGGTGCTAAGACTTTCTAGTTTTAGTCCTTTTCAAAAAAAGTTTGTTTTCTATACTTATGTATTGAAAAGTAATTTATCTGTAGTTAAACTTGGTAGGACTCTATTCTTTTTTTACTTTTTTTGCATTAATACAATTTTTAGTTTGAAAAAGATAAATGTATAATACAAAATTTTAGTTCATAATTAAGAATTGCCTTCCTTATAGATAATAGTTTTGAATAAATTTAAACAGTTCTTAAAACCTTTTTTCTTTTTCCATAGGTATTTGTGGAAACATTAGACAAATGTTTTGAAAATGTCTGTGAGCTGGATTTGATTTTCCATGTAGACAAGGTACTATTTGTATTGTCACATCTAAGCTTTTTAAGAAAAACATTAACTTATAATTGTCATAGCAAAAATGGCTTTAATGAATAATTCTATTTTTATTCTTTTATTATTCAATTCATAATTTTTTTTTTACTATGAGCCAGGCTTTGTGCTTGGTGGAGAAGATTCAGATCCTGCCTTAGAGGAGTTCACATCGAAGGGTGGAAACAACGGCATTAACAAATAATAATAATAGTATGTGTAGCATGTTAATGGGGACACAGCTGAACCACTTACCTCTGCCTAGGAGACTGTGAATGGAGGAAACTACATTTAAACTGGATTTTTAAGGGATTAGTAGATATATCATACATAGAAAAGGAGAGGATGGTCCTACTGACAGAGATATAAAATATAGGCCTTTTTGTGAGGAGGGACTGATACTGATCAACAGGCCTAGTTTAAAACAACCATTAATGCCATGACTTTGAACTTTATTGTGAGGCAATTTAATGTTTTTAAACAAGTTTTTACTGACGTTATTATTGCTTTGTTTGTATATTTTTTTGATAGAGTGATTTTTTCTTGTATTATGGAGATTGGATTGATAGGCTGGGAAATTAAACACATGGAAATCAATTAAGAGTTTATTGCAGTAGTCCAGAAGGAAATGACTAAGACACTACGATGAGGTTTGAAAGAAGGAAAAACGCTAAGATTAGGTTTGGAAGAAGGTAGAATTGATGGGATTTGATGGCTTATTGAAAGCTGAAGGTGAGAGAAAGAATGACAGATTTCTGCCAGTATTAGTAGATATTTGTGATACGGAACTTAGGAGGAAGAGATTCCACTTTCACTATGTGCAGATTTTTTTCTGTATTAGGTTTGTATAATCTAAGAGATTCTTTATGAGTGATTCAACTACTGAGTAAGAGTCTGAAAATTTTAGCAAAAAAAATCCAGTGTGATTTTTAAAAATTGGCTTTATTGAGGCATAATTTACAGGTGTTAAAAGTCAACAGTTTTAAGCTTACAAAACTAAGTTTCGACTAGTGTGTATAGTACATGTAACCAGCATCACAATCAAAGTAGTACAAAGAATGCATTTCATTATTTGTGAATGTCAAAAAAATACTTTTCTCTTTGGCCAGTATTCTAGATCATATCTCTCATTTACCAAGTGATTTGATTTTATAAATTAATTCATTTTGGACAGTGTACTTAAGCATGATATTTTTATGAGTCTGTTTTTAATGTTCTACTGTTTTTCTCTAATTGCTATGTCTAATGCTTTTTCACACTTACAAAGACTCTTGTTATTTTTAGTCATTAGGGTTCACAATATTCAAAATTATGTTTGAAGACCAGGTGCAGGTGCTCATGTCTGTAATCCCAGCAGTTTGGGAGGCTGAGGCCGGAGGATTGCTTGAGCCCAGGAGTTTGAGGCCATCCTGGGCAACATGGCAAAACCTGGTCTCTACAAAAAATACAAAAATTAGCCAGGTGTGGTGTTATGCATCTGTAGTCCTAGCTGGTTGGGAGGCTGAGGAAAGAGGATCACCTGTGCCTGGGGAGGTTGAGGCTGTAGTGAGCCATGATTGTGCCACTGAACTTCAGCCTGGGTGACAGAGTGAGACCCTGTATCAAAAAAGAAAAAAATTTATGTTTTGGTACATGATTAAAATTTTTAGAAAGCTGTGTTTTAAAATGACTGCTGAGAGGTCATCATTAGCTTATGTAAATACATTTACCATCTTTTAAGAAAATTGAGGACTCTCTTGTGAAATGTGATGGTAAGAGTAAGGTTCTTATATTTTTTTTACTAGAGAAAGAGAATAAAAGTTTTTAAGGAAATTAAGCTGTACTCATCTGCAACTTCCATACATGACACAAAATGTTTTTAAAACTTCTATTTCTCATTAGTATGCATTCATTTTAGAAAAATCAGAAAATACAGAGAGAAAAATATGTGAAAATCATCCCTATCCCAGAGATTGCCTAGTGTTAACATTTTAGAATATGTATAGTACTTGATTTTACATCTTTAAAACAAATAATCTTTAAACAAATACATCTTTAAAACAATAAAGATGGGATCATACAATATGTATTTTGTGTTAGCCTGTTCATTTTACACAACACTATATCACTATTTTAGAACCTGCCAAAATTAGCTGTCTCTCTTTTCTCTGGGCTAAGATCTTGTTTTATTTTTTCAAGGCAAGGAGACAAAAGTTTTAGGATACCAAAAGACAGAGATCAAATAAGTGTTTCCTTTCTATTCGCCAAGACAATGCTAACTTTGCTTTCAGCCCTTTGATGAAAATTATTTTCAACTTAAAAATATAGATATATTTTTTTAAATTTCAACTTTTAAGCAGCTCTGGACCTTCCAGCAGTAGGGATCTTCTGACTGGCTCAGCTCACATTTTCTTTTTTTTTTCTGAGATGGAGTCTCGCTCTGTCACCCAGGCTGGAGTGTAGTGGCGATCTCGGCTTAATGCAAGCTCCACCTCCCAGGTTCACTCCATTCTCCTGCCTCAGCCTCCCGAGTAGCTGGGACTACAGGCACCCGCCACCACGCCTGGCTAATTTTTTTGTATTTTTTTAGTAGAGATGGTATTTCACGGTGTTAGCCAGGATGGTCTCGATCTCCTGACCTCGTGATCTGCCTGCCTCGGCCTCCCAAAGTGCTGGGATTGCAGGTGTGAGCCACCACGCCCGGCCACAGCTCACATTTTCTTAAAGGCAAGACATAGGGAGGTTTGCACACAACCCTCAGACTGCTTCTGGGTCACAACTGAGTAGATGAAAAGAGAAAGTTGTAGAGAATATCCCTTTTGTTATCAGTCAGGATGAGCTAATTTATGCTGCAGTAGCGAACATGGAAATGTTAGCCACTTAAAACAAAAAAGGGTTATTTCCCATTCACGCAGTATGTTTATCATATTCCACATGCTGTCATTTTGGGATCCATGGTAACAAAGCTGCCACTATCCAGAACATTGTTAGTTTCTATGTCAGAGAGAAAAAAAGTTTTCATTGGGTAAATTTATCTGCTTTTCAGGGTATCACAGATGATAATTGTACCAAGTATTTTGCCACTACAAACATGGATCAGTAACTTTCCAGCCTCCAATGTAACAGTTTCTATGTGGCCAGCTGCCCAACCTGTAAACCACTGTCACACATTTTCTTTTATTGTGGTTGTTACTAGTTTCTTTTTATAAATCTTTACATGCTAATAACTGTATCAATCACATAGGCTAGTGTAGTCACCCTGAAGTAGTGGGACAGACCCACCCCTACTCACAATTGGTTTGGATGTAGAGACTAACAATGTCACAGGTGCCCCAAGAGGATAGGAAAAGATTTATTACTCACATAATGAGGCTTTCTGGAGAAAACAGAGAACAACACGGGGCTTGGGTTTTATGGTGGTTTGGTGGTGGGGATGGGGTGTGAGGATTTCTGCATGTGGGCCAGGTCTTAGGTAGTCTGAACTTTCCACTAGTGTAAAGGAAGGAGCATCCAGACCTTCTTAACAGCTTGCCCAGATATGGGGCAGAAGAGGAATGGGGACTAGTAGAACTTGAAGGCTGTGAGCAGACACACATCAAAAATGGAGTCAGACCCTTTATCACATACAGCTAAGGTATGCTGTGGTTATTACCCCTAAAATCCTAAAATATGAATCATTCAGTTTGTTTCTTACTTACACTATATGTTTATTGTGGATTTGCTGGGGGAGCTGCTGAGTTATCTGCCCATTTCCTGTATAGTGTGGCTCCAATTGGGTGGCCCCGTGTTGTTGCCCATATTGGAAGAAAGCATCAAAATCCAGGGCAAAATGAGAGAGCTAAAGATTCTGTGCAGGGCTTGGTTTGGAGGATGTATGACTTTGAGAATGACAGCTGTTAATATACTCTATTCTCCTCTCTGCATTCCCCCACTTGCCTCCACAAGTGATTAGGGTAGAGATCTGATCGGAGGCCTGTGTCTTTCATACCCTTGAGGCTGAGAGAATAAAGACTTAAGAGCAGAGTGCTTTCTTCCAACCTGGTCCCTCTTGAGGATTTGGACAGCCTGGTCTTTAACCACAGGCACAGAACGAGAGACTCCTTTTACTTTCACCAAATAAAGGAGCTACTAGCCATTAATAACATCTTGGAAGCCAGCCCTGAGCACAGTAAGCCAATAGAAAGAAAGCACTGCCATCTGAACAAGAGAGATTAACAGATTGAACAATCAGAAATTACGCTCCATGGAAAAGAACTACTGGAGAAGATAGAGTAACACTTGAAATTTTATAATTTTAAAATTTATTTATTTTGGTATGGCTGGGGTCTTGCTGTGTTGCCCAGGCTGGTCTTGAACTCCTGACCTCAAGTGATCCTCCTGCCTTGGCCTCCCAAAGCATTGAGATTACAGGTGTGAGCCACCACCTGGCCTCACTTGAAATTTTAAAATGATTTTAAAAGTACTTAAGATTTGGAAAAGTCTTCTTGGGCTTGAAAAGAGTTTTTCAGACTGAAAACTTTTAAAGAAGGTGATCACAATTGAGGCTTGAATTAAAGGTAGAAGATCAAGTGTAGGAAATAATCCCAAAGCATAAGACTGAAAGATAGAAAACATGAAGAAGAAGAAAAGAGACTTTGAAGGATACATTTAACATCTATTATACAAGTACTTGGAGGATCTTATCCAATTGAGAGAAAGAAGAATGAGGAATAATTAAAGTATTTTAGTAGGAAAACAAGGTCTCTCAGTGGTCTAGAAAACTTGATATTTGTTTTATAAATAATAATAAAGTCATTTAAGAGGGAGAGATATATATTAATGGGAAGTATAAGCACAGTAGAGTTTCATATTTAAAAGGAAGAGAATAGTGTAATAAAATTAGATCAAACTTAAAATATTGGGAGAAAAGAGAAAGTATAATTAAAGGTAGAAATAATATTCAATACACTAAAAGTGCACAGAATGAAATAATTTACTGAAGACAAAGATGGGCTTAAATAAAAGGCACAGTTTATATAGGAAAGGCCAGATAAATTCTAGAGTATTTTTCTTTATAGTTACCAATTTTCATAACTGGTTGCTTTTCTAATATCCACCAAAAAAGATCATTTAAGTTTTTTAGTATCCTATGGCATAAAATTTTTAATATATTTGATTTGTTTTAATCAGTTGCAGACATTATTTTCTATTATGTTCAAGTTGCCCATCTTTGGCCAGTGGGAACCCCTTCAGATTATCTTTGCTAGTTCATTTGACCTGACCTACCCCGTCATAGGCTTTGGTAGCTGTCTTGTGTTGTGGTCCAGCTAGATGTTCTAAACTCATTTTATTCATTTCCTGTTCCAGACATGTTGTCAACCATTCTTTTCTAGGAGCCCTGATTCCTTTTTGTTGGCGATGGTATATAGTAACTACAGTCTAGAGGTGCTCATGATTATGAAGTTGCTCATTGTTTTATGGCCTTTTCAATGAACAGAGCATCTTACGTATTTTCTGCTCCAGCCCTCAAGTCAGCCATTTCTCCAAGGAACCCTGGCTTCCTTCAGTAGAGAATGATGTTTAGAAATGACGATTTGGGCACTGTGTTTGCTCATTGTTACTGGGGTGACATGACTCCTGGTTCTTAGTGAACTGAGCTGGGAAATAGATGTATGTATACACGCACAGCTGTTTCTGGATCTTGATATGATATTAAAAATCATTGACCACTTCTTAATACCTCAGAATCTAGTACAATACTACAGAATTTCTTCTGGCTTTCTCGTTTTCCATATTTGCAGCTTGCTTCTCTGACAGAGATCAGTGAGAGATCTCATTATAAAAATATGTGTCTAATAATTAATGTTGATTCACTGTTTTAAATTTTTATATTTTTGTTTGTTTGCTCTTACCAACACAGTTTCATTTATCACTGTCATATGTATATCAGGCACCAGTCTCTTTTATGGTTTTCCTAACTTAATTTCTCATTCTTTCCTTCCTCTAACTTTCAATTCTTTATTTTCTTGCAGAACTGCGAAAATTAATGTATATAATATGTTCTCATTTGTGTAAATTAGATATGCATATACACACGTATAACAAGTATGTGCACAGCAAGTTTTCTAGGATACCTAAGATATAGCTAGCTGAGTAGCTTTGGATAAAGGGACCTAAAAACGGATGCAGAGTGTGGTAGAGACTATTGTTGTTCATACATAAGTTTCTGTATGAACTTTTAGTCATTTGCCTATATTCTTTTTTTTTTTTTTTTTTTTTAAGTTACGGTAGTTTTCAAAACACTGTCATGTCTGGTTTGGTTTGGTTGGCTAGGAAGATTAATTTATATAAATTTGTCTTCAGAATTTGTGCATGAGGTGTCCATGCTTCCAAAATGAAAAATAGTAAATAATGATGACTTTTTTTTTTTTTTTAATTGAGGCAGGGTCTCACTCTGTTGCCCATGCTAGAGTGCAGTAGTGTGATTTCAGCTCACTGCACCCTCCACTTCCCGGGCTCAGGCAGTCCTCCTGGGTCAGCCTCCCGAGTAGCTGGAAGTACAGACGTGAGGCACTATGCCTGGCTAATTGTCTGCATTTTTTGTAAAGGCAGGGTTTTGCCATATTGCCAGTGATCTGTCCACCTTGTCCTCCCAAAGTGTTGGGATTACAGGTGTGAGCCACCATACCCAGCCTCCAGGGATATTTTTTAAATTATGAATAAATTTGCGTGAAATCTTACAAAGAAATTTAAATTGAGTAATACATATTTAACTCCTAAAAAGAGTTTGTTGAAAAAAAAATTACCGTATAATACCTAGTGGTTCTATGCTAAGCACTTACATAAATTATTTATTTAATTGTTATGGTAATCCTATGAGGTGCCTATATTATTTCTGTCTCTATTTCGTAAATAAGGTAACAGACTCAGAGAGCTGAAGTAACTGCTCAAGGGCTACAAGTAATAAGTGGTAGAGTCTGTATTCATACTTATCTAATTTTGGAGTCTCCATTTCTAACCTTACCACATTATTTTAAAAAAATTATAGCAGAATAGATTCTTCTGTGAAATGTAATTCAGTTCTGAATTGTTGATTTTTTGATCCAATAATACCTTATGAAAAGACAGAAGTTATATTTTTACTCCCCAATGGAAGACATCATTTTTAGTCATTGTAAGATGTATTTATTAGAAGAAATCTGAATATTACATGTGTAGAGGATTTGGGGGTAAAAACACTATTAAAGTACCCACAATTTAAAAAATTCTACCTTTTTCCAATCTAGAGCCTGTTAGAAGTACTGTACTACATTGCTTCATTAAGTACCATGAGTGTAAAATAATAACCTAATTATTGTTGGCTAAGAATCTGGCATAAAAGGCTCTTATAAATCATATTTTAGTATTAAACTTCACATAATAATAATAATAATGGTAGTTAATATTTACTAGTCATTTACTTTGTTTTGAGTACTGCATTGGATTACCTTGCTTATTCCTTTCAACAGTCCTATGAAGGTAGTACTATTGTTTTTGTTTTATAGCCCATTAAGCTCAGACTTAAGGAGGTTATATAACTGCCTAGGGCTTCACAGTAGTGATGAAAGTGGATTATGAGCCCTTACTCCAAGTTGTTTTTACCACTCATACTTTTAACATAGACAAAGTGGTATTTGAAACAAAAAGTGAATCATGAAACTTCTTTTTAGTGAATTTTCTTTATGGGTATATATTCTTTTATTCCCTTTAGGTTCACAATATTCTTGCAGAAATGGTGATGGGGGGAATGGTATTGGAGACAAATATGAATGAGATTGTTACACAAATTGATGCACAAAATAAGCTGGAAAAATCTGAGGTAAGAATGGAAAATGCTGTAGTTAAGAAGGTTCTAAGCATGATGACAGATTACGCATGATTTGTAGTTTTCACTGTTTGTCCTTCAGTATCACCCTTTAGGTTCAGCCGTTATGCTTATTCAGTTTTTAAAAAATGGAATATACACGTAGTATGCTAAAGGTTCTGTGACTGTTCTCTACCCAACAGCTTTGTGTATTCTTCTTTTAGCCACAGTCATAGCTGCCTTGGGTAATAAGCACAATTCCAAATCTTATTGCCTAAAAGAATTATCTGAATAATGGAATCTAATATTTGCTTTGTAAAACTTCAGTCGGTAATTATCAAGGAAATCTTAGAACTAATATTTTAAAGATATATAAATTTTGTGTTACAAAACTACTTCTGGAAAGGGAAAGGACAGGAAATGGAATTCTTACAGGGAAGTAAGTAATGTTTCAAGTTATTAATAAATGCAAAATAAATATTTTGAATGTTTGAGTTCACATTCAAAAAAGAAATTCAATACCTTAATCTTTTAATTCTAAATCTTTCCCTAAGATTTCACTGACAAGTTAGTTAAGTCACATATTTTAGACATTAGTACATATATATCCATGGTCTTTATTGCATTCTATAAGATCGGTTTGTTATACTTAGCTAACTTTCTGCTGTTAGATTCAACCTTAGATGGGATAAATGAGGAACAGCCAGCACTTTAGCATTGTATAAAACCCTACTTCAGAATTGTAGTGACTCTTCCCTCAAGCACTAGTCTGAATATCAGTAGCAGGTGCTGTAGCTGAGCCACCTGGGTTCACATTATTTTGGTTGTTTATTACCCTAGCAGAGGTTTAGAAAGATCAGTAGTTTTATCATTTGAGTTCAGGAGTTCGAGACTAGCCTGGCCAACATGGTGAAACCCCATCTCTACTAAAAAAATAAAAATAAAAAATAAATAAATTAGCTGGGCACGTAGAGCGCACCTGTAATCCCAGCTACTCGGGAGGCTGAGGCACAAGAATCACTTGAACCCCGGAGGTGGAGGTTGCAGTGAGCCGAGATCACATCACTGCACTCCTGGGCAACAGAGTAAAACTTCATCTCAAAAAAAAAAAGAAAGATCAATAATTTTGATATCTCATTCACCACCCAACTTGTTTGAGGATACTCTTACATTTGGTATTTGCAGTCATAACTCAGATTGGAAAAAACAGACTTTATTTTTATAATTATTAGTGTTAAGCTCAGATGTTTCGTTGATTTAAAGTAAATATTACTTTGAAAGCATCAAGGTTTTAAAAATACACTGGCATTAATTTACAACAGGTGAGTTCTGAAAAATTTTACCTTGTTGGCATTTTAAAGGATCAGTTTAACTCAATTCAATTCTGTGTCCATTTTAATTGAAGAAAACACAGGGTGAAGAATAAATCTCAAATCTAGAAACAGTTGAAGCTTATAAAACATTTTCCAGTGTTCTCTTTTAAATTTAAAATAGTCTTGCATTTTTCTTTATCTCAATTTCCCATTCCTGTTGGTTTCCCAAAGGAGAAGTTTATAGTGGTGATTTAGAGCTAAGATTATCTTAACTAACTATATGTTTTGTTTGTCCTATAGCCAATTTTTAAAATATTGGCTTTTGAAAGTGGAAAACATAAATTAGGTTAATAGAGAAAATTTTGTTTTAGGACAAGGAAAAAGACTCATAATTTAATTTAGTATAACTGACTTGCAATATATTATTTAGTAAAGAAAAGATTATTATAAACCCTGAGCTATTGCTTTTAAAGTCTTAAAAGAACTTAAAATGTGTGTCATTTGTTAAACATTGCTTTGCAAAACTGTATGGTTATAGATTTTAAATGCCAAGGGACAAACAGTGATGCAATCCTTTAATAACTGGTATAAATGAATGAGTATCTAGTAATTTGTGAATTCTGCATAATCATCTGTAAAAAATATTGACCAGTTGTCTGGAATTTTCACCTTTCTAGGTAGTTAACTCCTTTTCATTGGTGGTGGTCCTTCTTTTTCTTCTGCTACTTAAGACATTTATGCCTGGTGTTCCATTATTGGAATGCTAAGCTTGTGGGAGTTATTTATATCCTACTGCTCAAGGTCATCCCCAAGGTCTGATTTTTCACAAAAAAAAGTTTGCAACCTCCGGCATAAATGGGTTAATGTGCTATATTGACAAAAGTTATGAAGGACCTATAATTATTGCATAATGGGTATTTGCTTTTTGATTGTTGAATAAAACTTCGTTAATGAGGCAATTTTTCTTATCTATAAAGAGCAGTAAAATGCGTAATTTACATTTCAATGGAAATAGTTATAAGAATACTATAACTTAAAATCTATTCACAGAAATAATGCTATTTAAAATAGTTTAGAATACTGGTGATTACTTCTATTATTCATTCCCTGATCATCTCGCATCATACATAATTGTTATCTGGTACCAAATTAGTTTCTCTTCTTTTGTCTTTTACAAGAAAGTATGTTTTAAGTCTGATTGGGGATAAACTACAAAATTATATATTTTCTATACATGTAACGTCTGCTAATATTTTAGTTATGAAATCGGATTTCAAGTCAAAGTGAGGCCATTTAGCCCTGATCATCTTTTTAAAACAGCACTGAAAATTATGATGACTAATTTTTCGTAGCTTTTGTATATTTTAAGTATGTTTGAAAGGCTTCTAGCTTTATTCCAGCTAGAATGTCAAAAGCTTTCATATGTTTCATGTCCATGTTACTTCAATTGGTTAAATTTACCAGAGATATTACTCTGCAGAATAATCCAAAATTACTTGAAACAAAGTATAAACTTTTCCTAATCTTCTTACTAAATTTCAGTTAAAATGTATTATATAAGGACAAACTTAATGACTTGTTTGGCTGGGCGCAGTGGCTCACGCCTGTAATCCCAGCACTTTGGGATCACTCAGGTGATCTGCTCACCTGAGGTCAGGAGTTTGAGACCAGCCTGGCAAATATGGTGAAATCCCGTCTCTACTAAAAATACAAAAAAATTATCCAGGCATGGTGGCACTTGCCTGTAATCCTAGTTGCTCTGGAGCCTGACGCGCAAGAATCGCCCGATTCCGGGAGGCGGAGGTTGCAGTGAGCTGATATTGCACCACTGCACTCCAGCCTGCGTGACAGAGTAAGACTCCGTCTCAAAAACAAACACACAAAAAAAGACTTGTTTAAAATCGAGAATGTCATGATTGATGAAAAGAACTGGTTATCAATATTTTTAAAAATTATTTAAGTAATATCTTAGGAACATCATTTATATTTAAAAATCAGTCTGGGTATAATTGAGACACAGCTTTTTAAACATAACATGCATTTATCTAGGGGCCTTTGTCAGAAATCAGAGCTTTTATTATGTTGGTCTAAAGTTAGTACATTTCTGGTAATGGAAAAAAGTGAACCAGTTTAATTCCCAATACCTAGACAGGTGGAAGCAAAGCTCTGCCAGATCCTGAAAGAGAGAAGCAAAGATATACTCTGAATGTATTTCCATCTATTCTATTTTGATAGAAAAATGGTTTACTATAACATTGGAATATTGGGAGAGGAGGGTTTAAGCTGGGAGGTTGATGGGATTCGGGGGAAGTATAAGAGGCACTCAGGAACCTGCCTAAGAATAAAAGGACTCCCTGGGGGTGGAGGTAGAGGGGTGGGGTTGGGGAGATCTGTTAGCTTTTATGTATTTCATGTTATTCTTAAGATGGATAAATGGGTCTGAATTTAGTCACTACTTTTTGAAAGTCAGTCCTCTTTTTTTTCCGAACATCCTGATCTTTCTAGCTCTTTCCATTCTTCTCTCTTACAGACCTTTATCTTTCAGTCTCCCAGACAGGACAGGTAGACAAGGTATTGCTGACTTTGAGAAATATGTACTATAACAAAGGGAAAGCAAAATGATGTCAAAGGCAATTAATTATTTAGGCCAGACTCAAAAATTCTTTGTGTTAATAAACCCATATAGTCCCTGTAGCCTATTTTCCATTCTAGTTTCTCCTTGTAGTTTCTTCATCTTTTATTGGACTTAGTGTATTTTACTAGTATATCATTGATGTCATGTTTGTTCTGTTTTGTCTGCCTGCATTGTAAAAGGAAAGTTTAAATTTTTTTTAAACACTTGTCATCTAACTGACAAATTGCATTTGCAGAAGTGACAATTTACTTTGTATATAAAAACGTAAAATTTATTTTGAGCATCATATAGCAGAACCAATCTTAATTTAACTCTCACAGATTTGTTTTTTTTCCATCTCTAAATTAGGATTCTAACATAAAATTGCCTGCTGGGTTTTGGAAGCTGTGAATTTAAAAACCAAAAGCTGAACCTTCAGAGTTTTGCATACAAAATGGGAAGCAGTGAAGGCTTAGAATAGTGACTGTTAAATAGTACTTTTTCCCCTCAAATGGTTTTCAGTTCCAAAGTCTTAACAGAATTGCTTTTACAGTTTTGACCTGCAGGTGCATATTAACAGTGGCCAACAGAAAATAAGATCAGAAATCTTATAAAACTTGACTGTATTTCAAACTAGAATGCTCGAAAAATGGAATTACCAAATTACCAAATCACCAAAATACAATGGGTTTTCATTGTAGCAAACCTTCTGACATCCAAACATGTCATAATCAGAATCAATAAAAATATATTAATGTTTTAGTATTGAATTAAAAACCCTGAATATTTTTGCAAAGCGTATTGGCAAATATTGGAAATATTTTTAATAGACCTCTAGTTTTACAAAACTAATTTTTCTTCTGATATTTCCTGTACGTTTTTTCACACCATAAATTAACTGTGTGAATTACTTTTTTAAAAGTTCCATGTACGTGGTGATGAGCAACTATTTTGTGTGAAACCATGTAAGCAAAAGAAATGTTTATAAGGTCTCTGATTGAAAATTTCAAAATAAAAGTAATTTATTGAGTCCTATGGAGGAAAAAATGTATAAACTTACGAAGTTAGATTATGCACTTACTAATTAGAAAAACATCACTGAGAATTGATGATTGTGGTGATATCACAAAGCATTGCCTTTTAGCCACTAAATTTTTACTTACTCTCTCGATGTGTTTGAGAAGAAGTAGCAACATACAGGTGGCTTTATAGTATCTTATTTTGAGATTGTGGGCTATGTCACAAAACTGGGGTACCGTTTTTGGTCCCTCTATCCATGTTATTTTGTCCCTCATATAGAGAATACATAGTAGTCTCATTCTCACCATTGGTCAGAATTATTGCCAGTTTCTGTGTTACAGTATGTAATTTATTACTGCTATTTTCCAGCAAAGAACCATTAATCACTTGGGTCTGTTAACTTTATTGCTAGAACTGTTAATTGGCCTTTTTTAAAAAAAATCAAGTTTCTGTTTTCAAAGAGGAGAGAATAAGAAAAGTGGCTCTAAGGTACTGATGGTGGAAGGTCAGCTCATGAGCTGGTTCTGCCTCTCTACCTTGACATACACATTTGTCTTGTACTTCTACAAAATTATGGTGAGAACCCTTGAGGTCACTTGTAATGGTCAAAACTAGTAATGATAAATCCATGAAAGTCATTAGTCTGCTCTCTTTTTTTCATGCAGGCAAATCCTATGTTTGAAATTAAAGCTATAATTGAAGATAATCCGTACAAAATGACTAATAATTTGGAAGGTTTTTTAAATTTTTGAGCACTCTAATTTTGTTAAAACTGTGAAACACCATAGTTATTGCTGTCTAGAGAATTGTCATGAGCTTATCTAAATGTTTATAATTGCAGTATTAAAGCACTGCCATTAAAACAAAGCCTATTATATATCCCCAGATTAAAAGTTATTCTACCTCGTGTTGAGGGATTTTTTAAACTATTGACATTTTCTTTTTTGCTCAAAAACATGCTTTCAAAATCTGCCATTATTTTGTTAATGATTTTGAGTCTGAAACCATTTAATATTGTGTTTATTAATGTTGGTGTTCTTTCACTTTGCTGTTAGGTCAAAATTATGAATGTGCATATAGCAACTTCCAGCAGGAAGGGTGGGTAAAGGTTTTAATACGTACAGTTTGTTCCAACTACCATCTTATTATGCTGTATTCAAACTTGAAAAAAAAAAAGATATTTTAAGATGGTAGGATGGTATTTTATGTCTTAGATGAAATAAATAACAAGATTACTCTATTACTTTCCTTTTCCCTTCAAGAAAGTTGATTGTTTATTGCATGAGGAAAAGGGAGCTTTCAGGGTCTTCGAAATACATTTTAGTAATGCTGCTTTTTCAGTTTTGCTTGCACATATTTTGTTTATTTTTGGGTCTGGCAATTTAAAAACAAAATCAAAAACAAATCATATCCATCCATTACTATCTTTGTGATTCAAGTGCTTGAAATTTCCAAGAGTATGTCTGTATAAGTCTTTATCTGTTTGGCCTCATTTTGGTATACTTGCAGACTTCATTTTGTTTTCTTTCTCTTAATTCTGTTAATTTATTTAATCTCATGGGAGAGAAAACATGATCATTCTTTTATATACTGTACTTCATTCTTTCATCCAGTTCATATTCTTAACTGCTTTGGATTCATATATTTGTTTTTATTGGTGTAGTCGCTGCAGTTTTACCTGCCATGGTGGTGCTCAGGTATAACATAGATGGAAACAAGTTATTTCTCCAGTAGAATTTCATTCTTTTTATTTCTGCTGTGTGTCAACTATATAATCTTAAATCTTTAAGAACTATGTTGTACTGTCAGAAATATCTTACTTTTACGTTTAAAAATGTATTTACAGTAATCCCCCCTTACCTGTGTTGGGTACATTCCAAAACCCCCAGTGGATGCCTGAAACTGTGTATACTACTGAACCTTATATATGCTATGTTTTTTCCTATGCATATATACATATGATAAAATTTAATTTATAAAATAGGCACGGTAAGAGATTAACAACTAATAATAAAAGAGAACAGTTATAACAGTATAATGCAATAAAAGTCATGTGAGGCCAGGTGCACTGGCTCACGCCTATAATACCAACACTTTGAGGGGCCAAGGCAGAAGACTCACTTGAGGCCAGGAGTTTGAGCCAGTCTGGGCAACACAGTGAGACCCCATCTCTACAAATGTATATTTTTTACATTAGCTAGGCGTGGTGGGACACACCTGTAGTTCTAACTATTCAGGAGACAGATGGGAAGATCACTTGAGCCCAGGAGTTCAAGGCTGCAGTGAGCCATGATTGCATCACTCACTCCACTGTGGGTGACAGAGTGAGACCCTGTCTCTTAAAAAAAAAAAAAAAAAAAAAAGTTATGTGATTGAGGCCTTTCTCTATCACAATATTGTACTGCACACACTTATTTTCAGACCACAGTTAACCACGGGTAAATGAAACCATGGAAAGTGAAATTGCGGGTAAGGGGGGACTACTGTACTGCTAACAAGTCAGGTAAACAATTTCTGTAAGTTTTAGCGTTGAAAAGTTAAGTGTTAGTAAAAGTTATTTTGTTGCTTTGAATGTATCTTACTGGAAAAAAAAAAAATCTTAACCAAGATGAAAATTACTTCATACCTCTGTGTCAGCAAACTGATTGCCTAATGGAAAGTTACTTTACATTTTATGTTTTAATAAAAATGTTTCAGGCATCACTTTCATGAATGTCTGAAAATGAAATTTGTTTTATAGCCATTCTGGTGTTGACTGAGTGACATAAAGTCTTTTTTTTTAGCCCTAAATTTTTATATATAAACATTGCTAGCTGGTTTAAACATCTGTTGATCAATTGTCCTTATCATATTTTCTCAACATTTTATATTTTGCATAATATGATTTCTTTTTAAAACGTTAGTTTAATTAAAACTTAAAGCACCTATTACAACTTTAAATTTTCCTACCATTTAAATTCATGGCATACTACACAAAAGTATTGAACATGCTTGAGAAATAATTTGATCCTCCTAATTCATTTGCGTGTTCTGAATAGTTCCTATCTTTTGCATGTCTATGGCTTGCTGCTTATGTTTAGAAGAATTGTAGTTTGTTGTACTTAGAAACTTCTTTTGGTTTTACATATTAAGCACAAATATGCTATTTAAATCAATTGCTATATTGACTTTATGTATTCTTGTTAGCAGCCAACAGTCGACACCATCTTTGGTCACAATGATACAACTCAATCTAATGAAATTTAACAGGATGCATTTTTAAATTTTTTTAATTTATTTTTTGCTTTAGTTTAGCTCTTCATGGTACAGGATATTATGGAAAAGAGAGCTTCATGTACATTTAATACTGAAAACATTATGTTTACTATTTATAAGTGTAAACCATAGTGTCCAATAAAATACACAGATAAACACACACACACACACGCACAATTTCTCTCACAATAATAAAATCCCTTAATAATTCACACCTTTAAAATATTTATACTCAAATATTTTGTCAATACTTTTCTATAGTCAGTTCATTATTTGTCTTCTTTATGGAAATTCCTAAGTAAAAATAGTGGCAAATTGGTCTTTTAACTAGAAAAATTACAAAATCCTCCTATCTAAAAAATGATACTACCTCCAGGACGTCTGCAATTTTGTAAATTTTTCTTCCTTAGTAGACAACATACTTCCTGGTAAAAGAAAGCCAAAAGATGGTAAACCTCTTTGAATTGGATTCTTCTTTGATCCCAACCCACTCTAAATTTTGGTAGCTAGACCTTTAACTTGAAACGATCAAATTAAAGACCCTTTCAAATATTATACATGCTGCCTTAATTATTATTTAGTTGTATCTCCAACATCTTTGGGGGAGCAGGAAGGAAGGGGGGGTAACAAAAACTTCATTGCTTCAGGTAGGTATAAGTATAGAGGTCAATCACATTTTTAGTTGTACATCAAAAATAACTAACATCCATTAAATTATAAAACTTCTCCAGCCCTATTCACTATTTAATTGGGTATGGAGTTATTCATTTGTATCACTCTTATCATTGCCTGTGTAGAATATACTTATTATTAATACTATTCTACTAATTTTTCTATTATTTCCAATTCTGAATTGATAATCCATGGCTTTTATTTCATTGCTTAACAATGTTTGTATCCTTTATTTAGCAAATAGTTTACACTGGCCTATTTTGTATCAGTCAAGATTTTTCTCAGGTAACAGCTTTATTATTATTTTTATTTTAATTAACAAAGGTAGGATTACATAAGAAAAGAAAACTAAAATTATGAAAAGGGACCTTAAAGCTAGTGTTTCTAATTTTATGGACATTGCCATATATAATCTAATCAAAGTGGAAGATTCGTTTTTGTTGTCTATTTTTGTACAAAATGATGCCACTGAACTCAGATGTCTTTGTTGACTTTGCTTTATTATATAGCCTGAATAAAAAGTAATGAAATGTAATTGGTATATAAATTAAACCTCAAATATGAAGGCTGTTAACGTAGGTGAGAAAAATGATATGTATGCATTTTCTTTTATTTGTAAGCATATTTTCTTTTAAAATTATTTCACAAATTACAAATGTTCCTACTAATAGGAAAGCCAAATATTATGCACTAGTGGTACTTACTGGAAATTTTAGAATTCATTTATTTATATTTACTACCTCTTGCATTTATGCTTTTCTTTCTCTAAATTTGTAAACTGTAAGCTGAATATATGTTGCTGAATCTATGCTATATGACAAAACATTTTTAATCGTTATATTTTTACTAATGCATCAAAGGGTTGGAATGATCCTCTTCGTGTAGTTTCATCTTTAGGCAGAACTATATTCTTTGGATTGAGGCTTTACTTGAAAGCCTATTTTTTTAATGTTCTAGAACTTTATTAGAAAAGTTTAAAAGAGCCCTCACAATTTAAAAAACTAATTTTATTGTTTTAAAATGTTTTAAGGGTTTATCCCTAAGAAATTAAACAAGCACAATCTATTACTTGCAATTTTTATTTCACAGCACATATTGCTAATAAATGCCATTTTAAAAGCAAAAGAAAATCTATCACAATCGTTGCAAGAGATATTTAATAAGGAAACTAATGTAAATCATGCTTCATGCTATCTGTCAGTTAAATCAAGATATAGGTGAAGATTTAGGTTTTATCATGTGAATATTGTGTGGTAGTGCACATTAATTTGTATTTAAATCTTTACATTGTTATCATTGCATGTGTTCACTGTATTTTTTAATGTGTCACTGTTTTCTCTTTATAGATTAGTATTTCAAAGTAACCATTCCATACCAATTCAAACTACCATCTGGTCCCTAAGCTTGTTATATGAAAATCTTTTATCATTGTCTTCCATTGTAAGTGTTTTATGATGAGCTACACCTGAGTTGTACATTTTCTTTTTCTTTTATTTGCTTCTGTATACAGGCTGGCTTAGCAGGAGCTCCAGCCCGTGCTGTATCAGCTGTAAAGAATATGAATCTTCCTGAGATCCCAAGAAATATTAACATTGGTGACATCAGTATAAAAGTGCCAAACCTGCCCTCTTTTAAATAAAAATGTAAAAAGGCCACTCCCAGGTAAAATCCAGGGGGAAGAGTCATCTAAGTTTACCATGCAGTTGTTTACCAAAAATAGAGGAGGAGAGTCTTAACTTTTGCTCTTGGATTTAAGTCAAGGTACTGTATAGAAGTTGTGTAAAATCAGTATGAAAGTTCAATGTTGCTGTTCTTGCTCAGTGATTTTAAAGAAATTGAGTAGTTCCTATGTGATTTTTTTTTTTCTTTTCTAAACTGCATTCCTGTGCCCACCTACGGCATGCCTCTATGTATTGGCTACTACAGTGTTTTAAAAAGTGTTTCAGATATTTCTCTAATTATGTACAACCTAAAATGTTGGTGTTTTGTATGGATCACAAGTGCAGCATTCCTTAATTCCTTCTGCTATATGTCACACAGTTGTTATTTGGAGAACCAAGTATGTATTGCATGAAAACATTATGACTTTTTTCTCTTAGTTTAAATAAACTCCAAGGTAACTGGACTTCTAAAGCACCTTTCTGTTTGCCTGATATCTACTTTAGCAATAATTTTTTTTACAACCCTCTGACTCAACAAAGTAAATAAAAGTATATTTTATCACTATTAAGCAGATGTTAATGTCGATTTATTTTTTACTCATATTTTTAATATTCAGAAACTCAGTAAATTATTCGGAAACTCAATTATTTCACAAATCAAGAGCAGTGTATCTTAGGCATATTGCGCAAGATGAGATCTGGAGTGGGGGGGCGACAGTCTTTCTAAAATGTATATTGAGAAAATGTAAAATCTTTTTTATACAAATAGCTTTAAGCCTTGCCTCTTGTTCCTTCTTGCCCAGATGGTAAAAAATAATTTCAGCCAATACCTAATTGATTTTGAATACAAAAACCCTTGGGACTCTACTTGTCTGTTTCATCCTAAAACAAAGTTAAACTAATGTTTTCTTAAGTCCTAACACTCACATATTCTAGTTTCTTATAATTGGCCCACATTTTATTTGGTCTTCCATGAACTGTGAGTGAGGTTACTTTTCCAGTTAGACTAAGGTTTTCCTTACAGTTCTAGTTCTCCTTCCTCAAATATTCTCTTTGAAATACTTCCATAGACTTGCAGCATGTATGAATTTTACTCCAAGAACCCTAAGATATAAGAAAAGTTACTTTATTTTTTTCTAAATAAAATTAATCTGTCTCTAAGCTCTCCAGCATGTTAGGGTAACAGGAAATTTAATCTGATTATTGGGATTTCCATCAGCTCAGAGATAAGAAAAAGTCCTAGAGAAAGGTTATGCAGAGTAGAGCATTTCAGGAGGTCCCTGGTCTTTAGTCATTTGACAGTGTTTATTAAGTGTTTACTGTGCGCTCCCAAGTCCCTGTCTTTTTTTTTTTTTTTTTTTTTTTTTTTTCCCAGAAGGAGTCTCGCTCTGTCGCCCAGGCTGGAGTGCAGTGCGCGATCTCGGCTCACTGCAACTGTGCCTCCCGGGTTCACACCATTCTCCTGCCTCAGCCTCCCGAGTAGCTGGGACTACAGGCGCCCGCCACCACGCCTGGCTAATTTTTAGTAGAGACGGGGTTTCACCGTGTTAGCCAGGATGGTCTGGATCTCCTGACCTCGTGATCCGCCTGCCTCAGCCTCCCAAAGTGCTGGGATTACAGGCGTGAGCCACCGCACCCGGCCGTCCCTGTCTTTATGGAGCGATATCAGTAACACAGAGTGCCTAGCAGTACCCCCTCCCCTCACCACCACCCCACCCTTTTCCTTTTCTCGTTGTTTTTGGGGAAACAAATTATGGGAAGGTTAAATGTTGGTTTGGTTAGGATATGCCAAAATTAGGGAAACCTCTGGGCCAGAGCATACTTTAACTTCAAGAAACAGTCAAAAGTGTTTTATCTCCCATTATATTCTATCAAATACAATGCCCCAACAACCAACCATCCTTCCTCCCCTTCCATTCTCTCATCTCCCCTCCCTCTCTCTTTTCTTTCCTGCAGAAAATACTTAGCATTAGCTATGTGCCAGGCATTGTTCTGGGTACTAGGATAGAGCAGGGAACAAACTAGATTCTGTTGGAACATAAATTCATGTGGGGTGAAACAATAAATATATGATATGTCAGGAGGTGAGAAGTGCTATGGAGAAAAGTAAACCTGGGTAAAAGATAGGGAATAGTAGGGTTGGGGGTAGGAGCTGGGCTGTTGCTGTGATTTATAGAATAGGTAGGAGGAGGCATCTCTGATGAAGTAACATTTGAACAAAAACCTGAAGGAGGTAAGGAAGGCATCATGGGAACTTGTGGAGCAAGAGTAAATCCACATAGCAAGTAGCAGATGGCAGGGCCCAGAGGCAGGGGCGTGCTTGAGATGTTTGAGAAACAGCAAGGAGCCAACAGCAAAATGGGCAAGAGGGAGAGTGAGCTCTTTAATGTTCCTATTGTCCACCTCTCACAATGTTTGTTCATGGGCAATACACAATAAGGGATATTAGCTTTTAAACTTTTTGATATTTTGGAAAGTAACAAGGCATAAACTTCTGGTTAAATGTACATTATTAAACACTTACTCACATTTGTGCTTTTTCAAACCACACTAAACTGACAGTAAAGACATAGACCCAAATGGACAAAAAGGATCAGACAGGTGATAATAGCTACAAAATTTTTGAAGCTGGAAAGCTTATGAATAAAGCTAGAATATAAGTTAGCAGTGGAATAATCATGAAAGTATGTGGATTTGCACCACGGAATCCCGAAAGACTTTAGGAAGTAGAGGTACTAATGGAACTGTGAATAGAATTATGAGTTATCAAATTGTCGTATAAATCAAAGCAGATAGACTCTCAGATCCCGTACACCATATCACAAACCTTAGCAATTGTCTCTCATTCACCCCTGATCTAAGAGCCTGGAGATTACCCTAAATACCTTCTCAACAGTGGGACTTCAGCCCACTTTGTCTCTCAGCCCCTAGACTGTTAGTAGCCAGGCTTATACTCTACCCTGTCCACAAGCAGGAGATTCTAGCGTATTCTTCCCTAGGGAGATTAGCCCAAGAGAAAAGACCTACAGTTAATGATGTTTTAAGCTTGCCCATTGATGTGGACCATCTGTATCATCCTCCACTAAAGCCCCTCGTTGAAAAGCTTCTCCCATGCATGCAGAGCTTCCAGTCAGATGTTTAGGGGCCTCACACGTGAGCAGAAAGGCAAAAATCACCAAACATTTGAGGAGAGCTTTTAACATGAAAGGTAGAGGCCAAAACAAACAACATAAACTAATAGGAAAAACAATGTAAAATTAAAAGTTATCATCACTTATCCCCTGCTATATTAGACACCTCTTCAGAATCTTCTTGGCCCACCACTTCGGCCACTGCTGTAGTAACTAATTCTTCATAGTCTTGACCAGCTTTGCTCAACTACAACTGGATATTGCCTTGTTTTTGGCCCAAGCTATAACCTCCTGCTTTCTGCCTTGGACCTTCTCTTCACCCCAGCTGAAATGCAGGAACCCTTTTGGTACTTATGTATGTACAATTTGGAGATGAGGGAAATTTAACACCATTCTGACTCCTGTGAGTGCAATAAATACTTCTGTTTTGTACCTTAGCAGACAGTTGAGAGTATTTCAAAAGTCTTTCTCAGTAAGTCCCATGGGATTGAAAACTAGTTGCCTGGAGCAGTAACCAACTCCCTAATATGTCGCTTTTAAAAAAATCCCCCCCGCCTTCTCTGTTTAGTTCATATCCTGTACACCTTCCTGGGAGTACATTTTCCAAAAATTCTCTGTGCATAAGTGTTTATCACAGGCTCTGCTTCCAGGAAACCCAGGCTAAGCAACACACAGGGAAATAAAAGATAAAGAATAAGAGCAAAAAAGGAACATATGGGGAACCAAATGAAGTTTTCGGATATAATATAAAATATTATAAAATTGAATATTTAATGGAAAGATTGGAAGATAAAGTTAGAGGATTTCCAAAAAGTAGAATAAAAAGACAAATGGTTGGAATATAAAAGGTAAAATTAAAGGATCACTTCAGGTAATTCCATATCTGACTGGTAGAAATTCAGCGGGAGGGATGGGGAGAACACAGAAAATACAGGGAAGAAGAAAATTTCCCCCTGAAAAAATTTTTTAAAGATGGCTTAGATCATAAGAACATGAGTTTTCAGATTGAGGGGCCCATTAGGCTGACTAGCAATGAATGAAAAAAAGGACCATACCAAGTGTCTAGCAGTCCATTTTGGCTGCTATAACAAAATATCATAGACTAGGTAGCTTATAAACAACAGAAATTTATTTCTACAGTTCTGGAGGGTGGAAATTCAAGACCAAGGCACCAGCAGTGCCTGGTGAGGCCCATTTCTCATAGAAGGCACCTTATTGTTGCATTCTCACATGGGGAAGGGGCACATGAGCTCCCTCAGGCCTCTTTTATAAGGGCAGTAATCTCATTCATGAGGGTTCCCATCTTATGACCTAATTACATCCTAAACATTCCCCTTCTTAGTACTATTGCATTGGAGATTAGGATTCAGCATACAGATTTTGAGGGGCACACACATCCAGACCATAGCTCCAAGGGACATCACTGTGATTCTAAAAGATTCTAAAATCTGTGGATATGGAGGGAAAAAGCAAGTCACAGAGGATCAGGAATCAACATTTGAAGCCAAAAGACAAGGAGAAAGAAATGACTTCAAAATTCTGAGGAGAAATTTTAAACCCAAAATTGTGTGCCAGACAAATTTTCAGGTATATATGTAGTTATAATGAGTATGTTTTCATACATGCAAAGTCTCAAAAAATCCATTTCTCATACTCTCTTTCTCAGAAAGCTACTGAAAGATTGGCACCACCAAAGTAAAGGAATACATTATTTTTAAAAATCAGGAGATCCAGTAACCAATAGATACGGCACAAGAGAAAGATGAAGGAAAGTCACAAGATGTTGGTGAATCTTAGAACCATAGCTTTATGGCAGACCTAACGGACAATTAGCCTAGATTGAAACAGGAAAATGAAGAATTTAAGGAAAGGTGGCTCTTTAAAAAAGAACATGGCCAGGTGTGGTGGCTCACGCTTGTAATTTCAGCACTTTGGGAGGCCAAGGTGGGCAGATCACTTGAGGTCAGGAATTTGAGACAAGCCTGGGCAACGTGGTGAAACCCCATCTCTAGCAAAAATACAAAAAATTAGCCAAGTGTGGTGGCGCACGTCTGTAATCCCAACTACTTGAGAGGCTGAAGCAGGAGAATTTCATGAACCCAGGAGGCGGAGGTTGCAGTGAGCCAAGATCGTGCTACTATACTCCAGCCTGGGCAACTGAGCAAGACTCTGTCTTAAAAAATAAATTAATTAAAATTAAACTTATAAAATAAACACATTTTAGTAAATTTGAGAAATATGATGTAGGGTTACATTATTATTTATCTTGATTATTTTGTAAGTTTATTGATAGTCGACCTTTGAACAACATGGGCATTAGGGGCATTGACCCCCTACACTGCACATTAAGTGGAAGTGGATCATCGTAAAGGTCTCCATCCTTGTTGTCTTTATATTGAACAGGCTGAGGAGGAGAGGAGTCTTGCTGTCTCAGGGGTGGCAGAGGTGGAAGAAAACTCATGTATAAGTGCATCTGTGCAATGCAAACCCATGTTCAAGGGGCAACTGTAATTTCAATCTTTATGTTAGTGGAAGTAGCTTTTTACTTGAAAATAACTTTAATGTTTGATGAAATAAAATTGAGGTAAGAGGGAGGCTCTTCCTTTCAGAAATTTGTATTTTAAGACAGCTAGGCTTATAGAATGTCAGGATAAACATGAACCAGATGTTGTAGCTTTTAGAAGTTCTTTTAAGCATATGTAGAATGCCCAAAAAGAGCGAGCTTTATCTTGCTGTAGTATATGGCAAGGTTTAAGATATTTTTTGTTGGCCCGCATACTAATTAGTATAATTTGAAATAGAAGGTTGATATTTCGGATATACCAAGAGCTCACAAATTAGAAAAAGACAATCTAATAATATGCTAAGGATAGAAATAGACAAGTCATAGAAAACTAAATCTCAGTGGCCCATAAATATGTAGAGATACTTAACCTCACTAGTAGTCAAGGAATGCAAATGAACAATTAGATTTTATTTTCACCTATCATATTGACAAAAACTAGAAGAGATGACAACATCCAGTACTCGAAAAGATAATGGGATAATGTGAACTCTCATATTTTGATAGTGGGAATGTAATGTACTACTACTTTTTTAAAAAAAGTCGAGTTCTGCGGAAATTTAAAAAAATTAAAAATACACGTATCACACATACCCCATGACTTCATTTGGGAACTCTATATAGCACTTCTTGGTTCATTTGTATAGAAAGGTATTTATTATATCAAATATTTTTGTAAATTAAAAAAAAACCTGGAGATGTATTAAATGCCCACCAGTATGGTAATAGTTGAATAAATTGTAGTAACTGCCGCACTTGCAATAGCAAACAACTGGAATGACTTGAATGTCTGTCAGAAGGAGACTGATGGAAAAGCTAGATTACATCCGTATTACGGAGTCCTATGGAGCTACCAAAAGGAACGAGAAATATCTCTTCATATTGCTACGAAGTTATTCCTAGAATATAGGGTTAGCTTAAAAAAGCAAAGAGGAAGGAGAGTACATATGGAATGCATATTAGGGCTGTCCAGAGAAGAGATATATGTAGAAATATATATACTTCTTTATAGATTATACATATACATATTATATATAATTTATAAATATAAGGAATTGGGTCACATGATTAAGTAGGTTGACAAGTCCCAAAGTCCGAGGTTGAGTCAGCAAGCTGAAGACCCAGAATCACTGATGATGCATTTCCAGTCAAAGGCCAGCATGCTTGAAACTCAGGAAGAGCCAATATTTCAGTTCGTGTCCAAAGCCAGGAAAATGTCAGTGCCCCAGTTCAAAAGCAGTGAGGAAGAAAGAATTCTCTCTCACTCTGGGAAGGATCAGGAAGGTCAGACCTTTTGTTCTAGTCAGGCCTTTAACTGATTGGGTGAGGCTCACCCACACTAGGGAGGGGAATCAGCTTTACTCAGTCCACCAATTTAAGTTTTAATCTCATCCGAAAACACCCTCAACAGAAACACCCAGAAAAAATGTTTGGCCAAATATCTGGATACCCCATGGCTCATTTAAGTTAACACATGAAATTAACCATCATAGTGTGCTGTCAGTTATCTAAGAAAAAGAGAGAATGGGTATGTATGTTTTGTAGATTTTTTAAATGGAAAGATAAACTATACTTTTTTGGCGGGGAGGGAGACAGGTTCTCACTCTGTCACTCAGGCTGGAGTGCAGTGGCATGATCTCAGCTCACTGCAGCCTCTACCTCCCAGGCTCAAGCAATCCTCCCACCTCAGCCTCCTGAGTAGCTGGGACTTCAGGCACATGCCACCATGCCGGGCTAATTTTTGTATTTTTTGTAGAGATGGCGTTTTGCCTTGTTGCCCAGACTGGTCTCAAATTCCTAAGCTCAAAGCAATCTACCCACCTCAGCCTCCAAAAGTGCTGGGATTACAGGTATAAGCCACCATCCCTGGCCAACCGTACATACTTTTTTAAATGTATCAGAGGAAAGAAACAGGACACAGGTTGGGGATAGAATCTAGCTTTGTCTGAATGTACCTTGTTTTGGAACCATGTAAATATTTTACATACTTAGTAAAATACATTTAAATTTTGAAAATGTACCCTCTAAAAACTGAAAGCAGAGCAAATGTATTGAACTATGCAATGAGTTGTGGCATAATGATCCAGAGGGGAACTATTTCACATCACTCTGAAACACTTGACAATACACCACTAAAGACCTGCCGTCCACACCCCTGAAAATTAAATTGTTTTCAGTAATCATAGTGTTGGTGATATTTTTTTCTTCCGAGGCTGGGTATGTGGATTGTGGGGTAAGCTAAGGAGAAAGTATGTTGGCACCTGTAGTGGATGCTCTTATGTGCATCTGTCAGGACTGCGGCACTCGTTTCTTCAGCTGCTGGCAGTGACCACTCAGTTGAGTTACTCTTTGAGAACTGCCACCAGCTGTAGAGATCTGCGTCACCCAAAGCCATGGCTCCTCACAAGGACGTCCTGCATCCAAGTGCAAAAAGCTTAGCCCCTTTAGCTAAGGCACAATAGCTCTGAAAGGCCATTCCATCAGCTCCAGTGCTACCTATGGGATCAGCTGAGGCCTTCATTGTGACTGCACTGCAATTTACCTCCTCCTCTGCCCTATCCTACCTCCTTCAGACTCTCACAGGCTTTGATCCCAGTGGCAAACTATAGTAAATGGGCACATAAATCCACCTCAGTCTGTTTCTCAGGGAATTCATCGAAGCAGTTATTGCCAAGAATGGTCTGAAGAAGCAGCCTTTTTTTTTTTTTTTTTTTTTTTTTTGAGACAGTTTTGCTCTTGTTGCCCAGGCTGGAGTGCAATGGCGTGATCTTGGCTCACTGCAACCTCCACCTCCAGGTTCAAGTGATTCTCCTGCCTCAGCTTCCCGAGTAGCTGGGATTACAGGCATGCGCCACCACGCCTGGCTAATTTTGTATTTTTAGTAGAGGCAGGGTTTCGCCATGTTGGTCAGGCTGGTCTCGAATTCCCGACCTCAGGTGATTCACCCACCTCGGCCTCCCAAAGTGCTGGGATTACAGGCATGAGCCACCACACCCAGCCAGAAGCAGATTCTAAAATGACATTTTGGAGCTGGATCAGCATTGGCAGGCTGGCAATGATGAAGGACCCTATTACTGGTGGCAGTAAAAGTTATAGCATTGCATGCTATAACAATGTAATTGTGGAAACTTTCACTGGTGGTGAACTGGGATGGGATACTGGGAATGCCCTGATACGAACAATGTTTCAGGCATTTGAGAAGTCCAAGGGAAGTAGTAATTATAAAGAGCATGGGATTGGATGGCTTTTCTGGGCAATCACTGTATAGAGAAATGCTGACAGTAATTAATCACCAAGCAAGGCTATTTATGAAGGCCAGAGGGCCTCCTTGGCAGCATATGAAAACTCTCATCTCCTGCAGCTGGAGGACAGGAAAGGCTGAGGAGCAGCCCCAGGGCTTAAGTTTGGCTGTAGAACTTTGCCAAAACAAACCTGGAGGAGCTGAAAGAGTACAGGTGGGCCTGGATCCTGAGGGTTCTGGGTCAAGGGGGAAGGAACATAAAGTTGAATGAGAGGTTATTTAAGCACTTTCCAATGATAAAAGATATAATAATCTGGCAAGACAGTGCTACCCCGTGGCTAGGGTAATTTTGGGAAGCTTGGAGAAAGCCTGAGCCACTTACTTAGGCCTAGCTAAGTGAAGTATAACCAGAACTACTAAGGCAGCTAAGAGATCAAAAGGCTCAGAGAAGTATGTGTGCTAGAGTGAACATACTGTGTAAGGCAGGAAGGCCCAGAGGTGACTGTTTACCAAAGCAATAAAGAATGTGCTGTTTAAAGGGGCATCAGCATCATTCAGAAGCTCAGAAGTGGCTGTCCTCTGAAGGCCAGGGCTGAGGGTAGGAAATGTTACAGAACTGGGTGCTCTGATAATAATAGGGATGATGGGGTCCTGAAATAACAGCGGTTAGGTCGTGCACTTCACTGCCGGGAGAAAAGTGGATAAGTTATCTTAATGAATTGCAAGGTGTCAGCCAAGTGTTACGGTCTGCAGTTTGCTATAGACATGTTTAATGGAACATGGCTTCAGTAGATGTAAGATGGATGGGCAGCCAGTAAAGACATTGCCTAATCTGTACAACCAAAAGAAATCAAGAATGGATCATCAGGAGGCTGAGAGCAGCTGCTGGAATAAAAAGTCATGAACCCTTTACTAGTGTCTGGTTCTGAGCCAGTTCTCAGATCCAGAACTCATTGATTAACAGAAACGCCAAATCTCCAGGAGGAAGCACCCTGCAATACCACCACAAATGCATAAGCTAATTATTTTCCCAGTGCTTCCCCTGAAGGGACTTTCTTGGGTAACTGTGCACTGGGTAATGGAAAACCCAATGTACTGGGAATTATTGGGCACAGTTTCCAAGTTGCCATTGATTCCCAGGGACCAACCATCATCATCGCCCCTTCCCCTATTACACTGGGAACATAGGAGGGCTGGGTAATACATTTAGTCCTGGCCCAGGTCTAGTTTATATTGAGTCCACTGGGTCCACAGGTCCACCTCATGGTTATTATGTTTTCCTTATCCTCGAATATATCTAACTGGTATGAGTGTTTGGTAAAACCTTACAGTGGTTCCCCAGTCTGTGGGATAAAAGATACAGTAGAAAGGAATACTAAGTGGAATCTTTGAAACTGCCCCTACACCACTCTTAGCCAGGATAATAAGTAAATGACAATATTGTAACTTGGGGGCAAGGGCAGAGATTAATGCCATGTTTAAAGACCTAAAAGGATTCAGGAATGGGTCTCCATCATGTCCCACTTAATTGACCAGTCTGCTCCCTACAGATGGATCCTTGAGGATGACAGTGGACTACTGCAAATTGGCCAATTATACCTGCTGTGGCAGATGTATTATCTTTGTTAGGGCAGATTAATAAGGCCCTCAGATAGTTGGTATGTGGCCATTGATCTGGGAAATGCCTTCTTTCCCATCCCTTATAGGAGGGAAGTCTAGAAAGTTCACATTCACTTTGGATGCACAACTGTCAACTATAAATGTTAACTCATCTGCCCGTCGTCATAATATAGTCAAAGGATCTGGATCCTCTGGACATTATATCACATTAGTCCACAGATTGATAAAATTGTGTGATTTGGACTGCATGAACAAGAAATTACAAACATATCAAAGGCCTCGGTAAGATACATGCCCACAGTGGTTGAAAGAGAAACCCTATAAAGATTCAGGGGTCTGGGATCCAAAGGTCTATGATATCCCTGTCAAAGGAATATTGTATTTCATAACTTCCCCACTCAGAAGTAAGCACAGTGGTTGGTAGGCCCCTTCAGATTCTGGAGGCAGCATATGTCATACAGAGAACACTATTCCAACCCATTTACACAAATAGCATCCAGCTCCGAATGAGTCTCAGAACAAAAAAGGGCTCTGCAGTAGGTCCAGGCTATGAGGCAAATGATTCTTCCTCTTGGACCATACTACCTAACAAACCCAATGATATTAGAGCTGTCAGTGATGGGAAAGGGTGTCATGTGGTGTTTCTGGGCATGTTCCAGTTGGAGAATAACAACATAGGCCCCCTAGAATTCTGCAACCAAGCCATGACCCCCATAGTAGAAAATTATAGACCATTTGAAAAACAATTCCTTGGGTGCTACTGCGCCCTGGTTGACACAAGTGATCATGCTTCCAGAACTGACCTGAGATCTGTCCAGCCCACAAAATCATAAGGCTAGGCAGACCCAGCAAAGATCTCTGCTAAGATGGAAGTGGTGTACATGGGAAAGAATGGGGCCAGAGTGCACACGTTAGCTGCACAAGTCCTGGCCCCAGTTTCGTTTTCCACTGTTGACCAATGCCTTTCCCTCAGCTCCTGGGTAAGACAATGGTGAGGAGAAACGCTTCCAATGGGCAGAACATTTGAGTTGTGCACATGGGCATCCACTGGGTATGAAAGTAAAAGTGGCCCAAGGTAAGAGTACTTATGGAAGCATAGGCAATAGCTAATGGCTTGGCTGGTTAGTTAATGGATCAGAAGATCAGGAACAAGGAGGTTTGGATAGGAGGCATGTGGGTGAATCTATGGGAATAAGCATGAAAATACAATCTTTCTTTTTGTTTGGTATCTGAAAAGTCTGAATCGTATGTTACCTGACAGAGAGCATCTATCACAAAGAGGTGCTTACACAATCAAATAGACAGAAAGACTCACTAGAATGTCACTCTGCCTCTGTTATTGGCCACTGCAGTGTTGGCACAATAGGAACTTGAGTAGAGAAGCCATAGTGACAGGGATGGAGGCTGCACATGGTCCTAACAGCAGGGGCTTCTGCTCACCAAGGCTGATTGAGCTACTGCTTGTGTCAAATATCCCATCTACCAGTAACAGAGAGCAAGGCTCAGCCCCTGATTCAGCACCTTCGCTTGAGGAAACCAGCCACTTGGTGGCAAGTAACTTTGGATGCCTTCCATCTTGAATAGGGAGCAAATTAATTCTGACTGGAATTGATACATATTCTGGATATGAACTTTCCTTTCCTGGCTGCATGGCCTCAGCCAACAACACTATCCAAGGACCTACAAAGGGTTTGATCCACCTACCTAGGATCCTACATAACCTCACAAAGGACCAAGGAATTCACTTTACAACAAAGGAGGTACAGCAGTGAATACAGATCAATGAGACTGATTGACTGGTCTTGTCACAAGCCCCGAAACCTAGAAGCTGCTAGATTGATAGAGTAATGAAATGGCCTTTTAAAGGGACACCTGAACACCAGCTTGGAGATGATACCTTGTGAAGAGGGACATATTCTATAGGATGTAACATATACCCTAATTATAACAAATATATGGTGCTGTGTCTCCAGTAGGTAGACTCCGTAAGTCGAGGCATCAAGAGGTAAAAGTAGGAGCGGCCCCACTTCTCCCAGTGATCCACTTGGGAAATTTGTGCTTCTGGTCCTCACAAGTCTAGGATCTATGGGTATAGAAGTCTTGGTTCCCAAAAAGGAAATGCTGCTTTCAAGCAGAACGAGAGTCACATTAGCTTTTAGTCTGCAGCTGCCTTCTAGTCCTTCTGGCTCCTCAAATCAGGAGACCAGTAGGCAAAGAAAGGAGTTTGCATCCACCGTTACTCCACAGCTCATTGAAGTCTGACCAAAAGAGTGTCTTTCAGAGTACCATAAATAGTAGCTATAATGGCTCATCTAGTGGAAATCACAGCCATTTTGGAGACAGATTTCATTAGGACTCTGCTACTACTGACAATACAGCTCACTCAGTGAGATGCCAAAACCAAAACATTTAACATACTCTGCCTCCTCACACTATATATATATATAGCCTATCAAGTTACCCACTGCATATATATATATATATATATATATATCCTATTATATACTAGGTAACTTGCCTGTGTAAGATCACAGGATTTGGGAAATATAATTTCTATGTTATAACTAGCTTCTATAATAGATTGCTTAGTAAAATGAATAGGATTGGGAAAAAGATAAAAAGGAACTTACTGATGGCTGGGTGTGGTGTCTCAGGCCTGTAATCCCAGCACTTTGGGAGGTCGAGGCAGGTGGATCATGAGGTCAGGAGATCGAGACCATTCTGGCCAACATGGTGAAACCCTGTCTCTACTAAAAAATGCAAAAAATTAGCTGGGCGTGGTGGTGGGCGCCTGTAGTCCCAGCTACTCAGGAGGCTGAGGCAGGGGAATCACTTGAACCCAGGAGGTGGAGGTTGCAGTGAGCAGAGATCGCGCCACTGCATTCCAGCCTGGCAACACTGCAAGACTCCGTCTCAAAAAAAATAAATAAATAAAAAGAAAATAAAAAGAAACTCACTGATATCCAACGTTTCAACCATCCACACCTTAACAAGTCCCTTTACTTTGAGCCCATCATAAAATAAACCATTGTCAGTGTTTGAAAGAATTCCATGTCCTGCATATCCGAGGGTGATTAATTACATGGCTTCTAGAGTCAAAACACGATTTCCAAACCTAGTTTGGTCTTTTAATTAAACCAAATAATCTCTGTAAGTCTGTTTTCTCATCTGTAAATAGGAATGCCAGTGGTACTTACCTCATAGAACTATTGTGATGATTACATGCCATATAGAGTGCTTAGCATGTGCCAAACACAAAGAAGTTCAGCATTTCATAAAATTGTGGCTTTTTTTTTTTTTAACTTACATGCCTTTGCCTCAGCAGTAAGACCATACAAATACAGAAGGAACAAGTCACTGGTTAGTAAATAGTTTTTCACTTTCAAGTGTTTGTTCCTTGGAACGTGCTCATCTGGAACCTTCTCTCTCTGATACCGTTCTTAACTACTCAAGCTCCCGAATTTTGGTGTGCTAAGACCTTTCCTCACCACTACGCCAGTCTCTCTTAGGGTTGGGGAGAGACTGCATATTGCAGCACAGAAATTAAGATCAGAGTATTTTCCACAGTGAAGCTGTTTTAGTTTGAAGGGGCAGAGGTTCTAATTTTTACATTTAAAACTCCCTTTGTAGTTTACCTTCCACTTCCTGGAGTTTATTTTTATAGGTACTTTTCATGTTCCAATGAAACCAGAAGAGATACTATACACAAACCTAAAAAACCTTTATTCTAGAATTATTAACAATACATATTCATGTTTTTCAAAGACCTCTCCCCCCAATATGGAGGCTAAAATAGATTATTTTCATATTCCATCCTTTGACACTAACCGCCACCACCACTCTATCCCTACCCCCACTCCAATGAGCTGGCCCTGTGAATGTGGCCTGGGCCTCCCAGAAAGTTGTCCCATGTTGGCTTTAATTAGATATTATTTCCCATACATGTGGTATATTTTATGCTAGTTATTTGTAGAAACAACAGACGCTGGTTACTGACTATTCCTTCTACCTTTAAGCTGCTTTCTAGTGCCCTACAATGGACCACATAGGATTAGAGACACTGGTAAAATTATTTTTTGCACAAAAAGAGCTTCTAAACAGCTTTATAATGTGGAAGTCATTATCTTTTCAGTTTTCACTGGACCAGTACTACCTATGCCCTGTTCAAATGATCTTTAAATGTACTTTAAATGTGATTGCAGTAAAATCTACCAAACTAAAATGCATGTTTAGATGACAGAAATTAGCTACCCTGTAGTTCTGGAGATTTGAAACAATTTGCAGATTTGCTTGTTTAGTAGTCTGGCAGTGGCAACCTGGAATAGGCCACCGTGTGCCAAGATGATCTTTTGCACATATCCACAATCACCACTTTCAGATTCACTATATAATACACTCTTTTTAATGCAGCCATCACTTATCAAAAGCCTAATTCATAAGAGCTTGTGATGTTTTACACCAGGTAGGAGAGGCATAGTTTTGGAGCACAGGGAGGACACAGCTGGGGAAGGATTTCAAAAGAGATTGAACTGCTGGACACAACTGACTGAGAGAAGATCCAGCCAGAGCAGGATCTTTCAACCTCTGCACTTACATTTTGGGCTGGATAATTCATCGTTGTTGGGGGGGTGTCCTGTGCATTGCAGGATGATTAGCAGCAGCATCCCTGGTTTCTACCCACTAGATGCCAACAACAGCCCCCCCTCCAAGTCGTAACAGCAAAAATATCTCCAGACACTGCCCAACATTATTATGACACCTATGAGTCAGGGTGCATCAGGTAATCGGAATGAGTCAGGGTGGAGCAGGTAATCGGAATGAGTCAGGGTGGAGCAGGTAATCGGAATGAGTCAGGGTGCATCAGGTAATCGGAATGAGTCAGGGTGCATCAGGTAATCGGAATGAGTCAGGGTGGAGCAGGTAATCGGAATGAGTCAGGGTGCATCAGGTAATCGGAATGAGTCAGGGTGGAGCAGGTAATCGGAATGAGTCAGGGTGGAGCAGGTAATCGGAATGAGTCAGGGTGGAGCAGGTAATCGGAATGAATCAGGGTGGAGCAGGTAATTGGGAATGAGTCAGGGTGCAGCAGGTAATTGGAATGAGTCTGGGTTGCAAAGCCAACCTCAGTTGAGAACTACTGACAGAGAGAATTCAGAGTTCTAGGGAAACACTTGGTATATAGTCTGTACTTTGTTAGGGCCCTGATGGCAGTGGCACCAACTATGAACTACTAAGAGGCATTTATCATATGCTGTCAAGAGGCTGACATTTAAAGCCCCTTTCAGTTGGATCCCAGTCTACACTTCTCAGAGTCTACTCTCTTCCTTGAATGCCAGTGTTAGATACTGATTAAGGGATTATGCAATCTATTTAGTGGGTCCTAACCAATATTTTTTAAAAAATGAAATAATGGAATAGAATAAAATAATACAGAAAATATCAATACATTTTGTGGAATAATACTGATTTGCAAGATTTTTTATTCTGTGTGTGTGCACAGCTGTATGTTTAGTCATATTGTTACCAGAAAGGAGTCCCGATCCAGACCCCAAGAGAGGGTTCTTGGATCTCGTGCAAGAATGAATTCAGGGCTAGTCCGTGGTGCAAAGTGAAAGAAAGTTTATTAAGAAAGTAAAGGAATAAAAGAATGGCTACTCTATAGACAAAGCAGCCCCGGGAGCTGCTGGTTGTCCATTTTTATGGTTATTTGGGGTGGATTATTCATGCCTCCCCTTTTTAAACCATATAGGGTAACTTCCTGATGTTGCCATGGCATTTGTAAACTGTCATGGTGCTGGTGGGAATGTAGCAGTGAGGAAGAGCAGAAGTCACTCTCGTTGCCATTTTGGTTTTGGGGGGTTTTGGCTGGCTCTTTTACTGTGTTATAAAGTTTCAGTGCCACAAAAGAAATAGTACTCGAAAATAAATGTTTGTTTTTAATTCTCAGCAAGGCAAGGTACTTCTATAGAAGGGTGCACCCTTACAGATGGAGCAACGATGAGCGCACACTTGGACAAGGGAGGGGAAGGGGTTCTTATCCCTGACGCACGTGGCCCCCGTTGTTGTGTCTTTCTGCTATTGGCCAGGGTTAGACCGTGCAGGCTAAACTAATTCTGATTGGCTAATTTAAAGAGATCGACGGGGTGAGTGGTGTGGCGGGAAAAATGGTTATGACAGAGCAAGTAATTGGAATGAGTCAGGGTGCATCAGGTAATCGGAATGACTTACGGCGGAGCCGGTAATTGGAATGAATCAGGGTGGAGCAGGTAATCGGAATGAGTCAGGGTGCGTCAGGTAATCGGAATGAGTCAGGGTGGAGTAGGTAATTGGAATTAGTCAGGGTGCATCAGGTAACAGGAATGAGTCAGGGTGGAGCCGGTAATCGGAATGAATCAGGGTGGAGCAGGTAATCGGAATGAGTCAGGGTGCGTCAGGTAATCGGAATGAGTCAGGGTGGAGTAGGTAATCGGAATTAGTCAGGATGGGGCAGGTGATCGAAAAAGGTTGCTTTACGAGGAAGTTAAGTTTAAAAGTAGAAGGCAAAAAATTGAACATACTGACATATTGATTCTTTGAAAAGAAATTTAGAACTCATATCTAACAATTGCAACCTGTTTTATCATCAAGGTCTTTATGACCTGTATTTTGTGCTGACCTCCTATCTCATCCTGTGACTTAGAATGCCTTCACCGTCTGGGAATGCAGCCCAGTAGGATTCAGCCTCATTTTACCCAGCTCCTGTTTAAGATGGAGTTGCTCTGGTTCACACGCCTCTGACAATATTGGATATTGATGTAAAATGTATTCCTTATCAAAAGTTGCAGTCAAAAAAGTTTGAGAATCCCTGTTCTATTTTAACATATCCCCTGGACATACACTTCTCTCCTAATGCCTAACATATCAGTGTCCTATTGCCGAAACAGATTATTACAAGTTTAGCAGCTCGAAACAAGACAAGTTTATTCTCTTGCAGGAGGTTAGAAATCTAAAATCAGTTTCACTGCTCTAAAGGCAAAGTGAAAGGCTGGTTCCTGGAGGCTCCAGGAGAGAATATTTTCCTTGTCTTTTCCAGTTTCTAGAGCTGCATTCCTTACATTCCCTGGCTTATGGCCCCTTTCTCCATGTCCCAAGTCAGGAGTATAGCATCTTCAAATCTCTCTCTGCTCCTCTTCATATTGCCTTCTTTTTCTCTGATCTTCTGCCTCCCTCTTCTAGGGCCTCCTGTGATTACATAGAACCCCCCAGGATAACCCAAGGTAATCTCCCCATTTGAAGATCCTTCACTGAATCACTTTTGCCAAGCACCTTTTAGCATATAAAACAACACTTACAAATTCTAAGAATTAAGACACGGACATCTTCACACGTAATGTGTGCTTTACTTTTGTGAGAAGCCCATTGTTCTCTGTACTGACTCAAATCAACCCCTCAATTAAGGCTTTCATCTCACTTCCCAGAATTGGACATGTTGAGTAAGAAAGGTCCTTATATTTCTAATCCATAAGATGAGGCTAGGCTAAATCCTTGGTGTTCAAGCTCCTTTTCTGAAGCTCTTGAAATTTTGGTTCACACAAAATTTTACTTGGTATGACAATATGTGAATAAGATGAAAGTTGAACTGCTCTGTTCCCCCATAGTGACCTGCCCAGTTTCTCACCGCAGAGCCATCCCACTTGCATCTATAGCTGTTAGAGCCAGGGAGACCTGAGAAATTTTCACATTAAACTCCTACCTTTGCTATGCAGAAAGTAATGGCTACAGAGGTGAAATAACTCTGTGGTACTGGCTCTGCTGTTAATCAGTGGAGTCATTGTCATATACTCTCTGAGACTCAATTTTGTTAGCTACGAAAATGAGCATTGAAAGACTTTGTAAAGAAGTGGGATGTGAGAGAGATTTTGAGAAGCATTTAAATTGGTAGGAAGGAGTAGGATATTATGATACGTAGAATGTTTAAGATAGTCCCCCAGATCTGTGCATCCTAGTGTACAAACCCTGAATAATCCCCTCCCCGTTGTGTGGGCAATGTGTGGGAATATGATACGACTTTACTTCTGTGACTAGATTACATTATGTGGCAAAGGTAAAGCGACTTTTGTAGATGTCATTAAGGTTCCTACCCAGTTGACTTTGAATTAACAAAGAGGAATATTTTCCTGGGTGGATCCAGTCTAATCAGGCAAGCTTTTAAAAAGAGGGTAGGGTCCAAGCATTTGGGGCAGGGAGAGATTTGAAGCAAGAGAGACATACTTTTGCTAGCCTCGGAGAAGCAAATAGCTATATTGTAGAGTGGGCCACATGGCAGGAAGCAGCAGCCTGAGATAGCTGAGGAGCTGAGAGAGATGCTCAGCTGACAGCCAGCAAGACAACAGAGGCCTTGGTCCTACAGCGGAATTCTGCCAACAGCCAATGAGCTTAGAAGAGGACCATGAGCCTCAGGTGAGATTGTAGCCCTGGACAACATTGGTCGCAACTTGGTGAGACCTTAGACAGAGGATGGATTCCAGACCCATGGAAAATTTGAGGTTATAATGGGAATTGTTTTAAGCCTGTAAGTTTATGGTAATTTGTTATACTGCAATAAAAAAGCTAATAACAGTATTCAAGGGATTCACCAGAGCAGAATCTAAACTATGCAGGTGTGGTATATGAATATGAATATTAAGTGATTTTATCCAACAACATGGAGGAATCTCAAATGCATATTTGCTCATTGAAATAAACCAGACCCCAAAGGCTGCATACCGTATGAGTCCTTTTAGATGACATTCTGGAGAAGACAAAACTATAGGGATGAAGAACAGTGGTTATCAAAGGTTGGGAATAAGGGAAGGAGCTGACTACAAAGGGCAGCATGTGCAAACTAAGGTAAGTGACCTGTTCTGTATTATGACTGTATGTTCTGTATTATAATAACATACAGGCTTATTAGAAACATGACATGCTGCTTTGACCAGCGTCACAGCTGCATATGGCGATCTGGATCATTCATGTGGCATGCATGCAAGTTCAGACTGACTGTGTTCCACTGATGGCCAAGGAGTCACCGGCATCACACACAGTTATCCAGTGTTCCTTAAGATAATATGACCCAATAGGGTAAATAAACGGGAAAAATGGTGTTAGTCATTCCTAACAGTGCGGTCATGGTAATCACGACTGGTTATTCTTTTGAGATGGGAAGAGTAAAGTATGGAAGCTAAAATCTGTGAGCCAAGGTCAAGTTTATGCAATGTTTAGCCACAAGGCTTATCTTTGAATGGCCTGTAAAGCAATAGTACTTACTCTCCAACAGTAAATGCCATGTCTTTTGACCTAGCACTTGCATGCTTGCTTTTATTCACCCCAAGTAAAAAATCCCAAAGAATTCCATCTTCTTTTAAAATTAAATTTAAATTATTCTGCAAAAACCTTAAAATGTTTTCCTAAAGCTTGTCTGCTTTGTAGATCCCTCCACTACTTTTCAGTACCACTAAATATAGTAGAACAAAGTTCTTAATGTGAAACTTCAAAGCTTATTTATGCCATGATGATACAAGTGCTTACTATTAAGACATTTCCTTTTTATTCAATAAACTTCTGACTTATATACAAAGGATTCATTGCTCAATAAAAATCACATTACCAAATAAAAGTGAAACGATTTATTGTATTCTGTGGGCTGCATCTACAAAGATGAAAGTATCCTCAATAGAGGGTTTATTAATTTATAAAGAATGTAGACTATCCATGAGAGTTCCCTGTACATTAACAGTCCGGCAGGAATATTAAAAATCCAGGGATTCAATTTCCATTTGCAAAGCGGGGAGGATGCTGCCCTACCTATCTCTGGTTTGATGATCATCAAAGTTTTCAATGCAGGAATCCCAGAGTTTGCAGCCAAATAGAAACAATTTTGTGGTAACCTTTACAATAGGCTTTTCCCCTCACTTAATCCACTTTCATCAAGTGAATGTAAAAAATAACTAACAAGCTAAATCACCATACTTATTTCAGGGCTGGTCATATATATTAGATCACCTGGCATTATGTAAGCAAGAGTACAGGAGCTGGAATGAATTGGCTTATTAAAGGAAGTAAAGATCAGGCTTTCAGGAGTGGAGGGCTGCAGAGAGGGAGTGGTGGGTGTGTTGTTTGAGAAGCAAACTAGGCCTTGAAAATTAGGCTGAGGAGTTCTGATGTTATTCCCTGAAAACTTTTAAGCACATTGACAATTTTTTTTGATAAATGCACATTCAACCAGTGTTTGAAATATCTAGCTTCATCAATTTGGAAAAGAAATACTTAAGAAATAATTATGTGTTCCAGTTAAACATAATTGAATAAGCGTTCTTAGTACACCATTCTCCTCAAAACTGACTCAAAAATCTAACAATAATAGGACAGAAACAAAAAGATCTTCCCACCGCTGCAAACCAAAACCAAAACAAAACAAAAAACCCTCTATCTTCAATAAAATAACGAAATGGTCTTAAGTCCAGGCCACAAACTGAAAGCATACTTGAAATATTGTGAAAGCAAAGTGAGGGAGAACAGTGAAAATTCAACCTACCTTCTAAGATCTTTAGCTGGAAACATTTCCTTGCAAGGAATTGTTATATTGTAGAAAAGTTTATCTTAAAAAAATCTTTTAGCGTGGTCATGCCTAAGGATGTAGATGGCCCAGCAGAGAAGCAGGGAATCCCTCGAGACAGTTTAGGAACCACAGGACGCCGGGCCGTGGGGCTGAAGGAGAGCTTTGCTGATGTGCCACCCTCACCCACATCAAGCCTCCTTGTCTGGGGAGATCACGTGAATCCACATTTGAAGACCTGCTCTTCGGATACCAGCACACAGAGCCTGGGTCTTAAAGCTTGGGGTGCCACATTGCCTCTTGAATGGTAACATTTAAAAATTAAAAAAAGACATGCTTCCAAAAGAAATAAGATACTACTGAAATAATCTGAGACAAAGAAGACAGCTGCCCTAGTTCACTCTCTTACCCCTCCTCACACTATTTTTTGACCCTGGTTGACAATATAAGCAACGATTTTAAATGAATAACATGGCACATATACATAGATACCACCAAAAAAAGGAGTGAGAGAGGAAAACAGCAAAATGCGCTCAAAGACATAGGAATTAATTAAGCCCTGTAGAGTTTCAAAGAAATGTTAGATAGCATGATTTCTCTAAAAAGAGAACTCAAAGAACAGATGTGAGAATTTAAAGAACATAAGAGAGAAGAAAATAAAAAGACCTGGATAACTCAAAAAGAAATAAAAGAAAAAATAATTATACTTTAGAAGAGATGCAGGAAGGAAGGGAGGAATGGAAGAAAGAAAGATTAGGAAGAAAGAAAGAAAAAACGAGCTTAAGAAAAATCATACCATGAGACAGAAAAAAACAAAGGACATAAAAATTGATTCTAGAGAATGTGATAGTTATGGAAGATAGATAAAGGAACTTCAACAGTCACACACTTAGTATTTCTAAAGTACAGAACTGAATAAATAGAACCCCAAACATATTTAAGAATATGATTTTTTAAATAAACTTTGTAGATGTAAACAAAATCTTGAGTCTGCAGGCTGAAAGGGCCCAGGAGATGCAAGAAAAAAATACATAAGTCCATATGTACACAAATTCACTCCAATATAGGGTCTGCTGGAGTTGCTAAATTTCAAGATAAGAAAATTGATAGGAAAAGTGAGTTACGTAGAAAAGGGGAAAATCAGATTCTCTTTATACTTCTCCATAGTTGTATTATCTACAAAACATGTGGTAATGGATTAGAATTGGAGACATCTGCGGGAACTCATGTTTAGCTGAATATAGATACAGCTGGATATATATAGAAATATTTATACATATGCTTATTGTGATACTATGATTATGTATAGTCATAATATATATTATGTATGTGTATATATATAATCATCATACATGTATGAAATAGGCTTTTGTCCGAAGTTCCTGGCTCATAACTCCCATAGCCCTTGTTACACTTGTTACAGTCTTTTGTTATAATCTTGGGGCACTTCAGGCCTCAGAAAACTGAATCTCTCTCTCTCTCCCCTTTTCCTGTCCTCCTCTTGCCTGCTGAAGGCAGGACTCTAATCTGGTTGTGGATCAAAAGGCCCTGCTTCCAGAGAGGCTCCTGCCCCATACTCTGGAGGAAGGAATGCTGCACAGAGAGACCAAGAAGAATCTGAACAGGTCTGGCCTCCCTGGCTTTCCTCATCAGTGTATGAACTCACATATGAGATCACACCCTTTTTGTCCAATCACCTTTCTACGTGGTTGTCAATTTTGCCTATAATGAAGGTTCCATTAAAAACCCCAAAGGATAGGGTTTGGGGAGCTTCCAGAGAGCTGAACACCTAGAGGCCAATAGAAAGGTGAAGAACTCATCCATGTGCTGAGAGGGTGGTGCACCCCAACTCCACGGGGACAAAACCTCCTACATTCAGGGCCCTTCCAGACCTCGCCCTTTGTATCTCTTCCTCTAGCTGTTTATTTAAATACTTTAAAATATTCTTTGTAATAAACTGGTAAACATACGTGTTTCCCTGAGTTCTGTGAGCCAGCCTAGCAAATTAGTCAAAACCAGAAGGGGTCATGGGAACCCCAACTTGAAGCCAGTTGGTCAGATGTTCTAGAGGCCCCAGACTTGCACCTCAAAGGGAAGGATTAGGGCAGTGTTGGGACTGAGCCCTCACCCTGTGGGATCTGATGCTGTCTCTGTGTAGACAGTGTCAGAACTGAATTGGAGGATACCCAGCTGGTGTCCACTGCTTGGTGTGTGAGGGAAACCCGCACACATTTGGTCACAGACATCTTCATCTCTGTTGGTGATTGTTGTGGTGATGTGAGAACAGAGGAAGAACATGGTTTGAGAATTTTCCCTATACACATATATACACTGGTTAGTACACACACATGTTTCTTTGCTCTGCCAGCTGAGAGGGTCTAGAAGAAGCAAAACAAGAAGAAGTGCTACCCTATAGGGCAATAAGGACACCCAGCACACAGATCTTGTATTCCAAATGCCATTCTACAATAAAGGGAAACAAGGCTCCCTGGAGAAGTAGCTGATACTAGAGCTGGGGCAGGGCTGAGCCTGCAGCGTCCCATGGTGCCAGAAAGTAAGGAGATGCTCAAATAACAAAACAAAGGATATATGTCACCTGGACTCGGAAGCCAACCGAAAGAGCTCCTCATGGCCAAAGCTGAAACAATTTGAGCAACAAAATAAATAACAGTATTGGATTATAACCAAAATAATAAAATACATATCCTTGTGTCCATACTGACACAAATAAATATATTGAGTAAATAAATAAATAAATACATAAATAAGAATAGGCAAATCTGTACAAAAGAATTCCAAGTAATGTATGTATGCACTGTCCCCCTCAAGTAGGTAAAGCATAACATCCTGTCCCTTAAGTCCAGGCTGCAAACAGTGACTTCCATCCGATAAGTACAGTATAGAAAGGGGAACAAAGAGTGGAGAAACCTGACAAACACTGCCTTAGCCCTGGAATCAAGCCCAGCATTGGTGATAAGTTGTGTTCATGGCATGCACCCTTGATATGATAAGATGAGAATGATGCTTTACCTCTGTTCTCTTCCTCCCACGAATCCATAACCCCAAATATAATCATGGCAATAACATAGACAAATTGAGGGCCAGTCTCCAAAGTACCCTGATTTGTACTCCTAAAAACTGTCAAGGTCATCAAACACAAGGAAAGTCTGAGAAACTGTCACAGCCCAGGGAAGTCCAAGGATACACAATGATTAATATGATGTGGTATCCTGGATAGAATCCTGGATCAGAAAAAGAAAAGCAGGTGAAAAGAAATTCAAATTAAGTGTGGACTTTAGTTAATTATAGTATATCAATATGTATTCAGTAGTTTTAACTGACTAATGTATTTAATATACTAATGTGAGACATTAACAATAGGAGAAACTGTGAGGGTTCCCTTACGCCCTTGGTACTATCTCTGTGACTTTTCTGTAAGTGTAAAACTATTTAAAAATTAGAAAATATTTAAAAACAAAATTTTTCAACCCAGAACACATATATGGCATGAGTTTCTTTCCTTCCTACTTTTTTCTATCCATCCATATCTCCATCTCTCCTTCCATCCATTTTTCTGTCGTATATACATGGAGAAATGTCTGTCACACAGTCCACCACAGTTAAGGGCCACTACACCTAAACAGTGGATTTTGTAGGCATTTTCTGAACTGTTCGACTTATGTTTTAAAATCATGCTATTTCTATTAAAGCATTAAAGTCACTGTGCTTTTTAAATGAAGAAGTTGGAGAGAGAGATGTTAATTATCAAGAATTTTTTGTCCTGACAATATGCTAGCTGTAATAGGAGTCAACATACTGTTTCATTTTATAAAGGTATGCACGATATTTGGTCTAAGAGAAGGTTTGCTGAATGACCACAATCCATCAGTACATTTGATTGCAGTTAATTACATAATCAAAACCAAAAAACAATCAATCTGAGAGGGCTGATTTAAAAAAAAAAAAAAAGAAAAAACAAAAACAAGAAAGCATGTGCTTGATTTTTTTTTTCCTGTGGGAACACATACACACTCAGTGCCTTAATTGTGTGATTTCGCTATTAAGATACATCATGTCTTTTACAGTCAGCCCCCACAGGAAGGAGAAATACTCAATTGATCCTATTTCTATCCAGGAGAGCTCAGTTAGTTTCTAGTTAAGAATTAAACATATCTAAAACGAACAATACACTACTGACTTCACAGTAGAACTCTGCCTAATATCAGAGGTGGTTCTGACTTGATACAAATAATTGTTGTTTCAGGATAATATAATTGCAATAAGGAGTTTGTTATGAATAAATGGAAAGAATACAAATCTTGAGAAGAGTCACTGCCTTTTCTCCCTATCCCTTTGTGGAAAACCAGAATATCTCACCCTAAAATATGAAGGATTGAGCTGAAGGCAATGAAGAAGAAGCAGATTCAGGAAAGCTCTTTGCTCTTCCTCTATTTGCCTAAAAGCAGGATATAGACTCACAAAGACAAAAGATATCCTGCCTGCTTCTCTACCAGGGAGAATAAATGTTAAGCACTGGAGACGGTTTTAGAACCTTATGAACCCGAATATGGATGAGCTTTACTAACTGGCCTTTATCTGCCATTCATTTGCCTTCCAGGCATTGCCACCCCTGGAGGCTTAAAATCCTTTCACTTTGTCTTGTCACTACTTAAAAATGTACTATTCTTTGTTGACGATGCTATTTAGCTGGAATTCAAAGCCACCTTTTTGAAAACTACTCGTTCCCTGGGAGTCTCCCATGTATATATGAAATATATATATAAATAAACATCTGCTTGTTTTTCTCTTGTTAATCTGCCTTTTGTTACAGGGAGCTGTTCTAACTAAGAACCTATGAGGGTTGAAGAAAAATTTATTTGTCTTCTCCTACACCTCAAAGCAGCAAAGGTGGCCAGATCTCTCACCTTTCAAAATTTTGTGTTAATTGGAGTTAGATTTTTAAACTGCAGAATTTTAGTACTGGTAGAAATAATCAAGATCAATCCAAGAGTCTAAGCCCTTCATGTTGCAGATGAGGAACAAAGGATTTTCATACTCACTTTTTGTTTTTGTTTTTTGAGACAGTCTCCCTCTGTCACCCAGGCCGGAGTACAGAGGAGCAATCGCAGCTTACTGCAACTTCTGCCTCCAGGGTTCAAGGGATTCTTTTGCCTCAGCCACCTCAATAGCTGGGATTACAGTCGTGCACCGCCACACCTGGCTAATTTTTGTATTTTTAGTAGAGATGTGGTTTCACCATGTTGGCCAGGCTGGTCTTGAACTCCTGGCCTCAAGAGATCCACCCACCTCAGACTCCCAAAATGCTAGGATTACAGGCATGAGCCACTGCACACATCCTTCAGCTCAGTTTTTAGGAAAACTGATAAACCTAATTCTGCTGGCAAAATAGATAAATTGAGGTAGATATTCATTTTACAAAATGATCCAATGCAGTATTCTTTTAAACATGCCCCCCATATGTTTTAAAAGTATTATTCAATTTATAAAAATGGAATTCACACACAACTTTCAGGAATTCACCTACAATTAGCAAATACACATTTCTGTAATGTCTCCTGTGTACAAAGCTCTGTGTTAGGCACCACAGGGATTGCAGAACCCCAGCTCCACTATGAAGTAATATATGACCTTGAAGAAAACTTTATTCGTCCTGCCTCCCAAAGCTACCGTCTTCCAGGCTCACAGAATCGGTGGTGGCAGCATTTTTCTTTTTGAGGTGTGTCCAAGGTCAAGGTTTGAAGTAGTTAGGAAGAAAATCTGATAAGAAGAAAAACAAAACCCAATAATGAAAACAACATATGGAATAGGGAGAAAAGTCAAGGAGAATTTACATTTCTAAAGATGCTATGTTTCTGGCCAGGGGAAATAATACATTTTGCCAGTTGGCTTCATGGTGTCCCAATCTGGGCCCAGACACAGATGGAACAGATGTTGGAGCTTCTTCCTGGAACTGTATGGCCAGACTCTTATCCCTTAAGATTCTCTGACTTAATCCTTGAAGAGACTGGAACTTCCTGGTCTCTGAATTCATGCATGTTCTTATCCAGAGGTAACAATGCTGAGGCTGTGCTCTGCTCTTATGGGACTAACAAGTGCACCATGTTCTTGGCAGTCCCTCTTTCTTTCTTTCTTTTTTTTTTTTTGAGACGGAGTCTCGCTCTGTCGCCCAGGCTGGAGTGCAGTGGCGCGATCTCGGCTGACTGCAACCTCCGCCTCCCGGGTTCGAGCAATTCTCCTGCCTCAGCCTCCTGAGTAGCTGGGATTACAGGCGCCCGCCACCACGCCCAGCTAATTTTTGTATTTTTAGTAGAGACGGGGTTTCACCATGTTGGTCGGGCTGGTCTCGAACCCCTGACTTCGTGATCCACCCGCCTCAGCCTCCCAAAGTGCTGGGATTACAGGCATAAGCCACCGCGCCCAGCTGGCAGTCCCTCTTCCTTAATGCATTCCTTAGACACTGCCGCTCCTAGGAAGTTGCTTATGTTTCAGCTTCACCCTTTCCCTCCCTCTTCCTGTCAGTAGGACATGCCTTTCTCACCACATTGGAAATTCCCCTTGAATTTTGTTAGAGTCAGTGTACAGTCAACATTTGTGGGCCTGGCCATATCTACATGTCCTTAGCAAACTAGAAATCTCCATAGGCTTGAGGGGAAGTTAATGAAACATGAACTGACCACACTAACATTTCACAACCAGGAAAGTCTTACAGAAATGAAATGGAAAATGAATTAAAATATCAAGATCGAGGCTTAAAAAAATGTGAGAAGAGCACTGATATCCCATGTGGAAAACATAGGGGACTGTTCTAGTTATTTTAGGAAGAATCGGCTCACAGCTGAGAGATGCTCACAGCTGAGCGTTCTGAGCAACTTGCACACTGGGGCAGGGGGAGGAAGGGCAGAAGGAGAAGATGTGAACTGTCGGCCCGAGCGTTTCATGGACACTCCTCTCATAGCAGAGCTCCTGAGCTGCTAGGAATCTTTACTTCAGGTTGAGTCATCTGAGCTCATACTTAAAATAATAATGATAATAATAATAGCAACCTATATGAATCATATTGTACTTAAGTTTCAATTTCTTTTTTTTTCTTTTTATTACACTTTAAGTTCTAGGGTACATGTGCACAACCTGCAGGTTTGTTACATATGTATACCTGTGCCATGTTGGTTTGCTGCACCCATTAATTTGTCATTTACGTTAGGTATTTCTCCTAATGCTATCCCTCCCCCATTCCCCCACCCCACAACGGGCCCCAGTGTGTGATGTTCCCTGCCCTGTGTCCAAGTGTTCTCTTTGTTCAGTTCCCACCTGTGAGTGAGAACATGCAGTGTTTGGTTTTCTGTCCTTGTGATAGTTGGCTCAGAATTATGGTTTCCAGCTTCATCCATGTCCCTACAAAGGACATGAACTCATCCTTTTTTATGGCTGCATAGTATTCCATGGTGGATATATGCCACATTTTCATAATCCAGTCTATCACTGATGGACATTTGGGTTGGTTCCAAGCCTTTGCTATTGCGAATAGTGCCGCAATAAACATACCTGTGCATGTGTCTTTATGGTAGCATGATTTATAATCCTTTGGGTACATACCCAGTAATGGGATGGCTGGATAAAATGATATTTCTAGTTCTAGATCCTTGAGGAATCACCACACTATCTTCCATAATGGTTGAACTAGTTTACAGTCCCACCAACAGTGTAAAAGTGTTCCTATTTCTCCACATCCTCTCCAGCATCAGTTGTTTCCTGACTTTTTAATGATCGCCATTCTAAGTGGCCTGAGATGGTATCTCATTGTGGTTTTGATTTGCTGTTCTCTGCTGACCAGTGATGATGAGCATTTTTTCATGTGTCTGTTGCCTGCATAAAGGTATTCTTTTGAAAAGTGTCTGTTCATATCCTTTGCCCACTTTTTGATAGGGTTGTTTGATTTTTTTCTTGTAAATTTGTTTAAGTTCTTTGTAGATTCTGGATATTAGCCCGTTGTCACATGGGTAGATTGCAAAAATTTTCTTCCATTCTGTAGGTTGCCTGTTCACTCTGATGGTAGTTTCTTTTGCTGTGCAGAAGCTCTTTAGTTTCATTAGATCCCATTTGTCTATTTTGGCTTTTGTTGCCATTGCTTTTGGTGTTTTATTCATGAAGTCCTTGCCCATGCCTATGTCCTGAATGGTATTGCTTAGGTTTTCTTCTAGGGTTTTTATGGTTTGAGGTCTGACATTTAAGTCTTTAATCCATCTTGAATTAATTTTTGTACAAGGTGTAAGGAAGGGAACCAGTTTTAGCTTTCTACATATGGCTAGCCAGTTTTCCCAACACCATTTATTAAATAGGGAATCCTTTCCCCATTTCTTGTTTTTGTCAGGTTTGTCAAAGATCAGATGGTTGTAGATGTGTGGTGTTATTTCTGAGGCCTCTGTTCTGTTCCATTGGTGTACATATCTGTATGGTACCAGTACCATGCTGTTTTGGTTACTGTAGCCTTGTAGTATAGTTTGAAGTCAGGTAGCATGATGTCTCCAGCTTCGTTCTTTTGGCTTAGGATTGTCTTGGCAATGCGAGCTCTGTTTTGATTCCATATGAACTTTAAAGTAGTTTTTTCCAATTCTGTGAAGAAAGTCATGGTAGCTTGATGGGGATGGCATTGACTCTATAAATTACGTTGGACAGTATGACCATTTTCACGATATTGATTCTTCCTATCCATGAGCATGGAATGTTCTTCCATGTGTTTGTGTCCTCTTTTATTTCATTGAGCAGGGTTTATAGTTCTCCTTGAAGAGGTCCTTCACATCCCTTGTAAGTTGGATTCCTAGGTATTTTATTCTCTTTGTAGCAATTGTGAATAGGTGTTCACTCATGATTTGGATCTCTGTTTGTCTGTTATTGGTGTATAGGAATGCTTGTGATTTCTGTACATTGATTTTGTATCCTGAGACTTTGCTGAAGTTGCTTATCAGCTTAAGGAGATTTTGGGCTGAGACAATGGGGTTTTCTAGATATACAATCATGTCATCTGCAAACAGGTACAATTTGACTTCCTCTTTTCCTAATTGAATACCCTTTATTTCTTTCTCCTGCCTGATTGCCCTGGCCAGAGCTTCCAAAGCTATGTTGAATAGGAGTGGTGAGAGAGGGCATCCCTGTCTTGTGCCAGTTTTCAAAGGGAATGCTTCCAGTTTTTGCCCATTCAGTATGATATTGGCTGTGGGTTTGTCATAAATAGCTCTTCTTATTTTGAGATACATTCCATCAATACCTAGTTTATTTAGAGTTTTTAGCATGAAACACTATTGAATGTTGTCGAAGGCCTTTTGCATATATTGAGATAATCATGTGGTTTTTGTCTTTGGTTCTGTTTATGTGATGGATTACATTTATTGATTTGCGTATGTTGAACCAGCTTTGCATCCCAGGGATGAAGCCAACCTGATCATGGTGGATAAGCTTTTTGATGTGCTGCTGGATTCGATTTGCCAGTATTTTATTGAGGATTTTTGCATCGACGTTCATCAGGGATATTGGTCTAAAGTTCTCTGTTTTTTTGTTGTGTCTCTGCCAGGCTTTGGTATCAGGATGATGCTGGCCTCATATTTTTGTTGCAGAAGATCCAGAGGATGAGAAAATATTTTAAGAAGAAAGTGAAACACAGGCTTAATTTCTATACTCCAGTGATAAGCAGATATTTTATATGCATTGAATCTTTCCATTTTAACATATTTAAATGCTGCTTTTTTAAATAACATGTTATGGATATATACCACGCAAATAAATAGAGCTTATCATTATAATTTTAGTGTCTATATATATTCTACTATATGGCTGCATGACCAGTTACTTAATCTTCCATTAATGGGTATGTGAGTTATTTTCAGTGTTTTGATATTGAAACAATGATATGTGGTGTGCATGAACCTTCTCTCCAGGGCCCCGCCATTAATGCCTCTCTGCTTCGATACCCCCCATTCACAAGTGTTTCCACTACAATTTACACATTCCAGAGTAGGAAATTGGATTGCATCAGCTTGGGTTGAGTGTCAACACTGGATCAATTGCGTTTGATGAAAGGGCCCCACTGTGCATCAAAGCTATTCCCACAGTAAAAGGAATCCATGTGACTGGGAAGCCCATCCATGAGGTATCTGCTCAGCTGGCTGTAGCCCTTGAGGTCAATTATTAATGTCTCAATCTCCAGCACTTAACACAGTGCCTGGCACAGAATAGATGCTCCATAAATCCTTACTTGCTGGATGGATGGATAAACGTTAGTGGCAAGCTCAGTCTTGCTGCCTAACTTGTAAAGGCGCTCATGTCTGCAATTCTGACTTCCTTTTCAAGAGATGAGATTAAAAGACTTGAATGGGACGAGGAATAAAGAGGCATTCCTCCCTCCTTGGTGTGGACTAACCCGTCAGTGTGGTAGACACAGGTATGAACCGTTGAGATCCCCCTTCAAGGAAGGATTTGCTGACAAGCAGTGATAGTGCAATCAGAAACAGTCTACAGCTGTTAGCTTCTTCTAGTTTTGCCTCAGCTGCAGAGACTCACTTTGCCCAAAGTCATGCCCATCCTGGGCACTGTGCATCTGGTGACTGAACAAGGCCTGGCCATTTGTTTCAGGAATATAAAGCCCTGGATATTTGTTTTGGGACAACTCTGAAGGACCATACCCACTCTAGAGCTCCCTGCTGGGTTGACCTACATTGCTGTTGACTTCTCCCTCTACCTAATCCTGCTTTAACCCCCTCCCGTCATAGGTATTGATCCCTAATAAACATCTTGCAACCCAAACTCCATCTCAGCATCTGTTTCTGGAGAACCAATCCTACAACATTTAGCTTACTGTACTGCATGCCCTGCATTTATCAAATATGTATAATAAATTGGAAAAGTTGGGCCGTTCAAGAATGTACAACTTCTGCACCTAACCCTGGCCCTCACTAGCCTCAAGGAGCCTATTCCAGAATCATTTTAGAAGGAGTAGTGTTAGTGATGGCAGTAAATTTCTTTTTTCTTTTTTTTTTGAGAGGGAGTCTGGCTCTGTCGCCCAGGCTGGAGTGCAGTGGTGCGATCTCAGCTCACTGCAAGCTCTGCCTCCCGGGTTCAAGCCATTCTCCTGCCTCAGCCTCCCGAGTAGCTGGGACTACAGGCACCCACCACCACCCCTGGCTAATTTTTTGTATTTTTTAGTAGAGACGGGGTTTCATCATGTTAGCTAGGATGGTCTCCATCTCCTGACCACATGATCCACCCACTATGGGCTCCCAAAGTGCTGGGATTACAGGCGTGAGCCAGCACATCTGGCCTGATGACAGTAAATTTCTAATTCATGTTGACAACATCACTAGGAAGATATCTAGGGCCACAGAACCCCTGGACAGAAAACACTGGAATTTCTGCTAGTAAGTGGGCAAAGTGGTATCTTTGGGGCATTACCATACATGTGACCTCATTTATGTACAAAACCTGGATATATTCAAAGGCCAGTACATATAGATAGCTTTAAGGTCATCATTTGGTGGTAGCAGAATTCCTGAGCCTTCAGACTTCCACTCTGGGTTACTTGCCACTGCTCTTGGCTTCCATGTTTGTTAGGCCAGATAGAAAGCACAGAGCCTCATTGTCCTTGTTTCCGGCCCACTCTCTGCTCTTTCAGGGTGGCCCCGCCTGGCATTACAGTAGCAGTAGGGAGTTTTCGCGGTACAGGCTGAGGTGACAGGCAGTGATGGGATAATTTTCTTGCTGATCTCTAATTCTGTTTGCTCACAACATTGGACAATGTGAGGTAGCATCATAGGCATATACCTTGTGCAGCATTGCAGCCCAACTTCTTGCATGAATGAGGCATACAGAATATGTGGCACATGCTTATGTACTCCTGCATCCACACATTCCTGCACATCATCCTCAGGGGGTTTATTTTTCCTTCCATTAAGTCGTACCTGAAATCTCTTTGCCAGGCTTCTCTTCCAGTAAAAAGAATATATCCTTCTTTAAAGGAAAATGGAAAAGGTGATTGAGAATTGAGCATCTGTTGGAACCATTTTTCTCAATTTCCATGTTACCTGATCCAGAGACGATGTAAATGATGCAGAGACACTGAGAGGAAGCTCTCTGTTTGCTCCACGTCATTACAGCTCAAGCCTGAGGTGGTGTGTATTGTGTGGTGGACTTCTAGTACTGCAGTCCTTCCATGACCTCCCTCAATTGTTGACTCATTTTGTGGAGTTGGGAACTGTTGAGACATACCAGACCTAATTCAATGAATTAGCAGGAAATGACACCAAGGAGGCCTAAAGAAAGTCAAAGTACAGGCACAGATAGGTAGGTGCTTATGGCAGAACCAGCCAGGGATCACCAATTGTCCATGAGCTTGTCTACATTTCCCAGTCTCCTTTGCAGTTAAGATGGGACATGTGACTAGTTCTGGCCCACAGACTATGAGCAGAAGTCATGTATGGCACCTCTGGGCTGAGGAACTTAAGAGTGTGGGCTTCCTCCACAATCTCTCTTCTCCTATTCCAATGTACTTGAGGACCACAGGTTCAAAGTGATGAAGCAACAAAATGGATAAACACCATTCAAGCTGCATTAAATATCTTTTCTCTTCCTGCCTTCCTTGGTTCCTAGAGCCTCCTTGAGCTTTCTCTTCTTTGTGCACCCCAACTCCCTCTTCCTCACCTTACATCTTTCCTTGGTAAAGAGGCCAGGAGTAGCACTTTACAAAACAATATATGTGAGTAATATAAGACTCAGAGGCATACCGCCCCATGTGGAATTTGTCTATGCCACAATAATTTCATGTTTGCCTATGTTGCCTGTGTCTCTGTGAGGCTCATGATGTCACAGCAGAACCCCATCATGCATATTTTTATTATTGCTTCTACAACTAATGCTTTAACATGATTCTTTTAACTAGGACTCATCTAATTTTAACTTTTCTCCAGGAGAATGCCCACTTGGTCGGATTTCATACATACTTAGTCTTTACTCTTTATTATCTGCAATTAACAATAGGATATATTTACATGTCAATGATTTTAAGAACAATTTATTTACTCTTGTTTTTTTCAAGCTAATAAAATTTTATTTCCATTTGATGATGTTTATTGTAACTGAGCAAATACTCAATCTTTTCTAAATCAGGATAAAAATAAACACAGTAAGTTACTACATTATATAGGTATCATCAAAAGAGTTACTGTTTAATCCACTGACTATGAAAAATCAGCTTTTCATACTCTTTTATCAATATTCCAGATTGAAATTCTGTCACAGGCTAGCAAAAGTAGAGACCTTTATATATGACATCTGAACAAATAAGAGCCTCAGGGCCCAGCTGCAGATATTCAGTGTTATATAAAATATGGATCTAAGTCCTAGCTCTGTTTCCAACATGAATTCCCTCATGGAGCCTGGTGTATTCTTCTGGCTGCTTCTGCCCCTGCTGACTCCACAACAAGGACATCAGGACTCCAAGGACACCATGCCTCCTGGATTCGACAAAGGACCCTGCAGAGCCTGGCTTCCCCATGGTGTTCACATCAGTCATTGTCCTCTTCTCTCATTCCACCCCACCCCCTTTTCCAGCTGTCATGTATGAATACTTGCCAGCTCCTTGTTATTATTGCTTTTTGGAGTCTTTTCGGTTTAAGGATTGGGCAAGTTTGCAATTTAAACCTTATGGGTTTGAATTTTCAAGTGTGAACTTTGGTGATTACTCTTGTCCAAATGCAGCTTCCTGCCCTCGTGGAAAAAAAAAGTCTCCAGAGACATTTGGACATCTATTGCAAAAGATATTTGGACACCTATTGCAAAAGAACATATTGCTGATGATCTAAGTATAATGGAACCAGAAGTATATGGATTATATTTCCTCTTAAATGAGCATGATTTTCAAAATGAAGGAAGTGAGTGAATTATTTGGCAATATTGAGTTTGGAGATGGTCAATTTTTAAGTATTGGAAAAGTGAGACAGAAAACCAGGCCTGCTTTTAGGATTCTTCCTCCTTGGGTGGCAGGGAGTTACTATATTTGGTTCTGTTGCGGCCACTCCCCAGCTGTGAGAACTGTTGCACAGCCATCTCCTAGCATGGATTGGAGACTGCCACCATTCAAGGGCATTATTAAGTGATGGCCCATCACTCAAATGCATTTAACACTTGTAAATAAGTGGTTCATAATTGTAGGATATAACACTAATGGGAGTATTAAGCAGTTGAAGCCTTTGTAACAGATCAGCTACCAGCCTAGTCTTTTTTTTTTTTTTTAAATAGATTTCATTTTTTGGAACAATTTTAAGTTCATAGCAAAGTTGAGTGGAAGGTATGGAGATTTCTCATATACCCCCTACCTCCATTTGTAGCTTCTATCATTATGAACCTAACATTGACACACCACGATCATCCAAAGTTCATAGTTTATATCAGGGTTCACACTTGGTATGGTCTGTTCCATGGGTTTGGACAAACGTATAATGCTGTGTGTCCACCAATATAGTATCATACAGAGTTGTTTCACTGCCCTAAAATTTTTCTGTGCTCCACCTATTCATCTGTCCCTCCCCACATCCCCTAGAAACCACTGATCTTTTTACTGTCTCCATGGTTTTGCCCTTTCCAGGATGTCATCAAATTGGAATGAGAGTATGTAGCCTTTTCAGATTTAGTCAAGTCTTTGTAAACAGGAAGATCTGGTTTCAAATCCTGGCTAAGTGACCTTGGACAAGTTCTTTTGCTTTTCTGAGACTGTTTCCTTATCTTTGAGAATTAAATAAGACAATGTTTATCAAGTGCCAGGTTCAGACCTTGAAACATTCATTACTGTGCAGATTTACTTGATTCCTCAATAGAGAGAGAGGTGATTTTTTTGATTAAGGAGCACAACTATAGTAGGAAAAATCATTATAGCACTCCTTATGTCGGACCCAATATGACATAGATGTGTGTTTCCAAAATTTACACAATATGTAGAGATTGGTCAATGACCTGATTTAACAAGCATCTTCAGATCACCAAGTGGGGCTTCCCGCCTTTTCTCTTTAGGCACCATTAATTATTGGTTTCCCTTGGAATTTTGTCACAAAGAAGGAAAACCAGATAGAAGAAGGCCAGAAATGCCGCAAACACACAGGATGAAGTCATCCAATATGTGTGATATTGTTCCACAAATATAAATGTCTTAGAATTAACAAGAACAATTATACAGATCGTGCAAAGTCACAAAAAAGCAAGCTAAATGTCTGTGCAGAGTTGTAGGGCAATGCTGATGGGGCTGGGTAGGCATGAGCTGATGGTACAACTATCTTTGTGTTTCAAACATTTGGTAAAATAGTAAAAGTGAAAATCTACATTTGAAATTACTACAAGAATTATTGAGCAGAACTTATGTGCAACACAGGGAGTTAACTCGGTGGGAATGCAGATATTGAGGTGAGCCAGCCGGGACCTGCATTCAACAGACAGAAGCCAAGAAAGTCCTGCAGCAACAAAAACATCATATTATAAATAAACTGCCATTTAGCCCTCTGAGGAAAGTGGAAACTTTCCTTCTACTTCTAAATTTCTGTGGAGTTGTAGCAGCCTCTGAAATCTGGTCCCTGATGTGTTCTGTCATTCTAAAATAAGCCCAGGTCCCCAAGAAGCAGGGACCCCACCTGGCCTTCTGTGGGAAGAGCAGTCTCACATCACTGTTTTCTGATCACTTCATTAAACATGTGTCTCCTTCACTGTCACTAAAGAGACAACACGTTTAAAGCTGCCTTCTCCCACTGGCCCAAATAGGTTGCCTTGGAAATATCTTGGACCCATTCCTTTACTTCATTTCCCATTGCACCAAACTGCCACACCTTGTTAACTTTTTTTTTTTTTTTTTTTTTGAGACAGAGTCTTGCTCCCATCCATGTTGGAATGCAGTGGTGTGATTACAGCTCACTGTAATCACAGTAATCACAGCTCACTGTAATCACAGTAATCACAGCTCAAGAGATCCTCCCACCTCAGCCTCCCAAGAAGCTGAGATTACAGGCACATGCCACCATGCCCAGCTAATTTTTAAATGTTTTGCAGAGACAGTGTCTCATTATGTTGCCCATGCTGGTCTCAAACTCCTGGGCTGAAGAGATTCTCCTGCCTCGGCTTCCCAAAGTGCTGGGATTACAGATGTAAGCCACTGCGCACAGCCCTGTTGACTTAAAAAAAAAAAAAAAACTTTATTGAGATATAATTTATGTATCCTACAACTCCCCCATTTAAGTTATACAGTTTAACAGTTTTTAGTATAATCACAGATAGGTGCGATCATCACCATAGTTAATTTTACAACATTTTCATCACCTCAAAAAAAAACCTCCATATTTTTAGCTCTATGCTCTCCTGTCCCCTATATCCCAGCCTAAGCAACAACTAACCTATGTGCTGTATCTATAATTTGCCTATTCTGAATTTTCATATGAATGTAATTATGCAATGTGTGGTGTTTCATAACTGGCCTCTTTCACTTGGCCTAATGTTTTTGAGGTTCGTCCATGTTATAGAACATATCAGTACTCATTTCTTTCTATGGCCAAATAATATTCCATTGTATAGATACACCACATTTTGTCTATTCATGCATCAGTTGATGGACATTTGGGTTGTTTCCAATTTTTGGCTATCATAAATAATGCTGCCATAAACACTAGTGTACAAATTTGTGTGTGGATATATGTTTTTATTTTTCTTGCGCATATACCTAGGGGTGGCATTGCTGGATCATATAGTAACTCTAAGTTTAATCATTTGAGGAACTACCTGTTTTCCAAGGCAGCTGCACCATTTTACATTCCCATGAATAGTGTATGAGAGTTCCAATTTCTCCACATCTTCTTCAACACTTGTTATTGTTTGATATTTTGATTCTGTCTATGCTGTTGCCTTTTACAAAATTATTTTCCTCTGAAAAAAGGCAACATCTCTCTTACCTAGACAGTTTTCTCCTTTCCTGATGTCGTTACCTCAGTCTAGCTCTTCATCATCTCACACAGAATTCTGAAGTCAAATCTGCTTTTTATTTTTCCCCTTTCCAGGTCATGTTGCAGCCCTGCCAAACTCTATATGAGAAATATATTTTCATCTCCATTTAGTCTTCCTCAGATCTCTCCAGTGGCTTCTAACTTGTTATCACTCCATCACTGAACAACTCTTGTTAGCTTTCCAGGTACCCCTGGAAAATTTGCCCCCACTCATCCTACTCAGCACAGATCCTCCTCCCTGACGAATCTTCCAGATGGCGCTCACCCTCCTCACTTTTTCCTGCTCACTTTTGCAGTGATGCTGCCTGTTTACTTTTGCCTCTTCAGCATTAGACTCCTCAACCATGAATGTCCCGTTTTCTGTTTCCCTTGATCAGAAAACACCACAGCATTCAAGAAGATTTCTCTGACTTTTTGCCCCTTCCTTTCCATGTCCAAGGGGTGGATAGAGCCAATCATGTGTTAAAGGTGTAGGCCAATCTTGTACTTTTTCCCCGGATTGTAAATCTGAGACAAGTGATACAGGATTGAAAAGTGGTGACATTGGTCTCCCAAAGAGACTCCCCATTAATTTTATATATATCTACAAGGACATCTGCCCAGCAACTGCCTGTCCAACCTCAGACTGGCATCACCCTTGTTATTGATCTTCGTAGACAAGGATAATTATTTTAAAACAATTGTGTAATCCTTCTCATTTTTTCCTTTAAAAATCTTTGTCTTCCTTTACCTTCCTAAATATGCACATGGTTTCTTATGGCATGCATATTCCCATTACAACGCTCTATTCCCAAATAAATATCTTTTCTATTAGAAAGCCCCTCTCTGTTATTTGGTTGACAGTACCAATCAATTCCTTTTTATTTGTTTGTTTGCTTATATTAGCCAAAGTCAGTCTCTATTGATTAAACCAGATAATCCTAACAGATACATCAAGCTCAGTAATACTAGTAGGACTATTTCTTTAGCACTGCTGTGGACAAGGCACCATCTAGATTATTTTAGTTAATCTTCATAAGCACCCTGTGAAGTAAGCAGCATTTTGTCTCCCTTTTATGAATGAGGCAATTATATCTTTGAGAAGGCAATAAACCTGTCCCAGACAACACAACTGATTAATGGCAGACAGGTTGAATCCAGGTTTGCCCAGTTCCCAGGTCTACGCGCTTAGCTATTATGCAGTGAGGCCTCCCCTGGCATCTGTCTGACAGCCAGTGAAGGTTCCTTTCTAGAGAGTGCCTCGTACTTCTTGGTATTGTAATTCAATACCGAGAGTTATATTCTTGGTATTGAATATAGCTCACAGTCTTCTGATCACAATTGCATTTCATCATGTATTATAATTATTTGTGTACATGTCTCAACTTCCCTAGCCCAGAATCTGGCATATATATAACAAATATTTTGGAATAGATAATTGTGTCTAAAGAAAACCAAATGAAATTCCAATTATAATTGAAGTAAGTTGCTTTGTCGGAGCAAGTAGAGGGAACTCACGGTGGCAAATATGGCAGCAGGTACCCTTTTCCCATGAATGCTTTTATTGTTTCTTTTTTAAAAAGCTTGTCATGGTTATTAGAAAATACAGATCTCATTTCCAGTGCTTTTCACACAAACATTTAATAGTGGATTGTGGTTTTGGTCAACAAGGCTACTTTAATTAAATTCAGTACTTAGCAAATACTTGCGGCAAAATTTTCCCCAAGCTACATCATTGGCCAGTGTAGCAAACTGCTTTTCACCAGCATCTCTCTGCTGGGAGGTTTTCCTCCTTTGTTTCGTCATTTAATTTTCTTTCTTTTCGTCTTGCTTCTCCTGGACTTTTATGATGACCCAGCTGAACTAGCTGCTTCTGTCTTCATAACTTTAATGTTGAACCCTGGAGGGATTGAAGGAGAAACAGTTCCCCAAGTGACTATTGGTAAACATACTAATAAATGAAGGGGAGTGGCCCTGTTGGAATGAGTGATGCCAGGCTAGCTGGCTAGTCCTAGGTGGAATTAAGCAAGGTGGCACAGGCCAGCACAGATGATGTCAGTAATAACATTGTAATGTTTCCACAAAGTGCATGAGTTGTCTAACTGAGGTGATTTTTTAAAACTTCCATGGAAAACATGCAAAATCTAACTTTTCCTTTTACATTTCCCCAGCTGCTACTATTTATTCTTCAGGCTTTGGTGTTTTAGGGATTTATGTCCCTCTTATTAAGGCCATGGGATACAACATTTGTGTTTCATAACCCCTTTGGTAATATAGAATGCTTTAAACTGCTCCATCAGATTAACTGTGTGATACAAAACCAATATAGAATGCTGCCGTTATGAGAAAGTGGAACTGATAGTGTAACTGGAGATGGAGATTGGCTGAGGCAGAGCCTGGAATCAGGTAACTTCAAGGAAAAAGGAAGCCAGTCAAAGAAGGTCAATAAGAATAATGAAACTTGAAGATATCGAAAAATTTCCTTTCTTTTTTAATAAATATATTCTGCACATTTTAAATGTTTCTTTTTGCTTCATTTAAATGCCATTTTCAAACATTAGTGAATAAACAGAAAGATTCTTAAGATTAGTGAATAAACAGAAAGATTCTAAACATCACACATGCTGAGTGATGGAAGTAGCATGGACTTCAGGCAGGGCTCAGAGACCTGGGTTTAAATGCTGACTCTGCCTGTTATCAGCTCTGTATTTTTAAGCAAATTGCTGAAGCTCATTGAGCCCCAGTTTCCATTCTTGTTCAATGGAGATAAAAACAAAGGCCTGTAGAACTGTTTTAAGGAGTAAATGAAATGCATATACATTAAAGTGCTTGCTAGAGTGAGTGGCACATAAGAGCTCCACATGAGATAGCAATATATATGCTCTTCTGCTACATACATTGGTAGAACCAGCACATTGGTTACAATTTGTCAAGCTGATCACCAGCCTCTTTTTCCATGATTAATGAAGTGGGCACGATAGATTTAGCATTTCTTCTGCAAAGAAAGGAAGAAAGTTAAAAGATTAGGTAGAAACGCTTCTGTAACAAAGAACATTTTTAAGAACATATTTTTCTAGTTTATAATGTTCATGGCACTATAGAAGTGTCCAAACATCTCTTATGTAGCAATTGATGCAATTGCACCTTTCGAGCAGAACTGCAGACTAAGTAGATCAAGTAAAGTGGAGCTGCCTAGTTTGTAGGGACTTTATGACCTCAATATAGTTGTAACAATTATAATTCTTGCTAATTCAAGCCTGTGTGAACACTTAGAAAAGCTAACCTGAGTCCTAGGAAGAAAAAAAATGTATGAAGCAGTGGTGTTGTGCTGAAAATAAAAACAGTGGGGTAAAATTAGCCATATATATATATGGGTATATATATAAATATACATGCTTTAATAACCCGTGATATAAATCAACAATCAGCCTTATGAGTTATAAAGCCATTGGATAATAATTGGAAAATGGATTACATAATCACAGCCAAAAAGCACGGGAAATCATAGACCTTTTGATTTTATCTTCGAAGATAGATTTAATTTGGATTTAAACATTTTAATTATATGCATTAATCTTATCTTCTCCAGTCCTCTAGTTTTTGAAAGTGATTCTTGGCCTTAGTAATAACATTCTTGAAGCTGAATCTATGCTAGTAGATATAACTTCCATGGTAATAAATAGAGTTGGAACAAAGAGGAGAAAGTGGACTGTCAAAACTTGTTCATTGAATTTGTAACTTTTTCCATTAAACAATAACTTGTAGTTTATCAGGTATTCCCAGGAAAAATGAACTGCTCTACCTAAATAAATTTTGTAGGCAAGAACCCTACCCCACCTCCAATTTTTTATGTTAACTATTTCTGTGAGAAAATCTTACATTTTTCATTCTCCTAAAACAGGGTAGGCAGAATATAACCAAATACCTCTGTTGATTTTGTCCTGGACAACTCAGGGTAACCTCATTACTACTCAGTGTGCTAGTTTCTACTCCCACTTCTACCTGTTTATAGCCTGCTGCTCCTGGTGAATGATAGTTATAACCTAGGCAGAATTCCAGGATTTCCAGGGGAAGCTAAATAAAGTTCTTAGGACAGTAAGATTAATTTTGTGTATATTGCTGCATTAATAGGTCCTATCTGTGACAATGAGGGAAAAAGGGACTGGAATGGGAGCGGGAAGCCTGGAGTTCTAGATACTACTCTTCCACCAAACAGCTGTGTGATAGGAGCAAGCAACATGATTTCCCCATCCATATCCCTCCTGTGCTCCAAGGTTCTGAAGATATCTTCATAGGACTGCAGTAATGCAAAGTACATAAATTTGTGACATCTTTTGCTCTCATTATTGGGAAGATTTTTTTCTTGCTTTTGGATTTGGGGCTAAGTAAAAGATGTGTTCGCTTAAAGTGAAATCGTAGTTAATTGGAATTCAGGAATCTTATATTCTTTCCCAAATTTTATAAAAGACTAATTAGGCATATACTATGCCAAGCAGTGTAACAGGAACAGTAAATAAAGTGATGAATAGGACAGCCCTTATCTTTGCCTTCATGGAGTAAACAGTCCTGTTGATAAGATGGGCCTCGAAATTAGCAATCCTATATCAGGAGAAAAGTTAAGAGGCTTCTGCAGGGCACGAAGTCAGGGGTGATGTTAGCGTGGCAGGGGAGTGTGTTGAGGCACTGAGGGGAGAGAATATTAAAGAGATATCTTGGAGGTAAAACTGATAAACTTGGCAATTGATTCCATGTGAGGAGTGAAGAAGAGGGAGGAAACATGGCTAACTCCCAACTTTCTGGCTTGAGCAACTGGGGGTGGGAAGGGAGATACCATTTCCCAAGAAAGAAAATATTGGAGGAATTGGAAGAGCAGCAGATATTGCGGGGTGAAAGGTTGAGAGAAAGAACTGAGTCCAGTTCAGACCGAGGAGCCTGTGACACAGTCAACACCAATGCCAAGGAGCCAGTGGATACAGGGGTTGAGGTTGCAGACATAAACACAGGATTCATCAGCATATGTGTGGTTTCTGAACCTATGGGACAGGATGGCATCACTCAGGGAAAGAGCACAGAGTCAGAAGAAAATATGACCCAAGACCAGGCCTTGAAGAACTCCGATATTTAATGTTTGGGTAGAAGAAAAGGCAAACGAAAGTATCTGAAAAGATGGGCCAGAGAAGAGAGAATCAACCAAGGGGAGATGGTCCCAGAAGTCAAACAGAAGGGAGTGATTCGCTGTGATGAATGCTGCAGAGGCCAAATAAGGTGGGAACTTTGGCTTTAGACATGTGGACATTAGAGTGATCTTAGACTGAGAAGTTTTAAGAGATGATAGGGTTGGAATTTCATTGGGAATAATTTGAAGAGTAACAGGGGAGAAAATAGAGACAACAAAAGCACATACTCTTTAAAGAAGTTTTGCTATACAGGAGATAGAATAATGGATGGGCAGGCATAGGAGATCAAGGAAGCATCTTTTTAAAAACTACAGACGTCAGCATGTTTAAACAAGAAGAGAGAGTGTGACAGAGAGGGAGAGGAAAGAAAGTTGGAGTAAGAGTGAGAAAGAGTAAGATTAATAGATAGCAAAATATAGCTGGGCGAGGTGGCTCATGCCTGTAATCTCAGCACTTTGGGAGGCCGGGCGGGGGGAAAATGTTTCACGAGGTCAGGAGTTCGAGACCACCCTGGCCAACATGGTGAAACCCCGTCTGTACTAAAAATACAAAAATTAGCCGAGTGTGGTGGCTCATGCCTGTAATCTCAGCTACTTGGCTGGCTGAGACAGGAGAAGAATCCCTTGAACCTAGGGAGGCAGAGGTTGTAGTGAGCCAAGATCGTGCCACTGCACTCTAGCCTGGGTGACAGAGAGAGACTCCGTCTCAAAAAAGAAGAAGAAGAAAAAAAGCATAAGATATCCAAGAAAATTAGAGAGAATAAGATTCAGAACCTAAGTGAGTGAACTGACCTTGGACAAGAAGCACATGTTATTTGTTGTGTCCAGAGAGAAGAAAAGATGGGTGTGGATGAAGATAGGTCTGGTATGGAAAGTTGAAGTGGTTCCCAATTACTGACTTCTGTGTGCTCTGTGAAGTAGGAGGCAAGGGGGAAGGAGGAGGAAATTATAAGTGAGGAAGGTGGTGAAGGTGTGAAAATAGTGGCAGATAGTGAAAAAGCAAGACATTAGAGAAAAGTGGTAGGACTGGAGGCACAGCAGGGGCTGGTCACTGGTCATTATGAATCCATGGCGTTACCAGCCTGCCTTCTGGACTTATGGGTTTGAAACTGCAACTGGACTTACTAGTAATTTCACCTTTTGATACTGCCTTTGCAAAAATTATAACAGTGGGAAAATTATGACAGTGAAAGCGATCTGACCTAACCAACTCCATCTTGCTTCTAACCTCCAATCTGTCCTTGTTTATTCCAGAGCATAGGCCAAACTAGCTTTGAGAGAAACTTAGTTTATAGGTTAACATTGAAACAAAGATGATAATAACTCCCTCATGAAATAAACCTCCTTCTTACCTAGAGAGCACACTGTCTTTGTAAGACTAACAAATTAGCCATAATACAAGAAATTCTGGTTTAGGGAGTCATGGAGCTAGAGGCCATAAGATTCTGAACCTCCCCAGTTGCTCCTAGGCATAACATCACTATTGTAACATCTAAAATTGGTGCTTGAGATGTTTTTTGGACCCTGAGTTCTGATATACCAGCTGGTGCCACCCAGACTGATAATCTGGCCTAACCAGTTTTGCAATCCCACCCAGGAAAAGAAGACAGCAAGAAGAAGCCACTTTGAGCCCCTATGATTTCATCTTTGATCCACTCATCCAGCACTCCATACTCCTTGATCCCTACCCACCAAATTCTCCTTAAAAGCCCTGGTCTCCAAATGTTCAAGGCGACCGATTTGAGTAATAAAACTCTAGTCTCCCATTTAGCTGGCTGTCTGTGAATTAAATTCTTTCTCTATAGCAGTTCTCCTGTCTTGATACATTAGCTGTATCTGGGCAGTGGGCAAGGCGAACCCGTTGGGCCATTTCACTATAACGTCTTTCTAGAAAAGATTTCTCTCACAGACATCAGTAGCTCAAGCTGGTGACACAGCATGGCCATTTGTGCAAATAAAGGCTCTTCTTTCTTTGCACATTGGATGTCTCTCTGACCTCCAGTGCTCGCCTGTACTCTCTTTCTCTTGCTATACCATATCCTTTGCCTTTAAGTAAATGCCTATATGAATATACTCTGTGGAATCTGGTGAATCCATGCAAATAACCAAACTGGGGAAGTCTTTGCAATGGTGTAACTATACAATATAATACTATACAGCTGCAGAAAAGTATGTGAAATGTATCTGTGGACTGATATGAAAAGATATCTAGAATATATTGTTAAATGAAAATGCAGGTGAGGAACTGCAATATAGTATACTGTTTTTCTTGTACAAAAGAGAGAAATACAAGGGCATATAATTGTATTCACTTGATTTGCATGAGGAAACACTGGAAGGTTACACACACAAAAAACTATTTAAAATGATTAACTATGGAAGTGATGGAAGCAAGATATCTTAACATATAAATTTTCATATTGAAGATACTTGCACACACATGTTTATAGCAGCACAATTCACAGTTGCAAAATCATGGAAGCAACCCAAATGCCAATCAATCAACGAGTGGATAAAGAAACTGTGGTGTATATATACAATGGAATACTACTCAGCCATAAAAAGGAATGAACTAACAGCATTTGGAATGACCTGGATGAGATTGGAGGCTATTATTCTAGTGAAGGAACTCAGGAATGGAAAACCAAACATCGTATGTTCCCACTGATACGTGGGAGCTAAGCTATGAGGATGCAAAGGCATAAGAACGATATAATGGACTCTGGGAACTTGGGGGGAAGAGTGGGAGGGAGTGAGGCATAAAAGAGTGGAAGGGAGCAAGGAATAAAACAAATATGGTGCAGTGTATACCACTTGGGTGATAGGTGCACCAGGATCTCACAAATCACCACCAAAGAACTATCCATGTAACCAAATACCACCTGTACCCCCAATAATTTATGGAAAAATAATAATTAAAAAGTAAAAAAAAAAATTCATATTGTTTTGATTTTTGAAACAAATTACCCACTCAAAAAATTAAAATTTCAGGGTAAACAAAAAAGAAAAGAAAAATCAAGTTATGTGGTCTAAGAGATATAATAAAATATTATAGGGTTTTATACTAAGTACCAAGAAATTAAGATGGAAAAATAATAGACATGCCAAAGTATAAACATAAACAACAAAAATAAATAGCAGCACAAGATACAAAGCTGAAGTTCTACCTGGGTAGCATGTAAAAAACTGGGATTGTTGCTTTAGTTCAGGATTTCTGAACAGCAGCACTAATGACATTTTTGGCAGGATACTTCTTTGTTGTGGCAGGATACTTCTTTGTTGTGGCAGGATACTTCTTTGTTGTGGCAGGCTGTCCAGTGCATTGTTGGAGGACAGCTTGCCTCTACCCACTTAATACCAGTAGTACTTGCTTCCTTGAGTTGTGACAACCAAAAATATGTCCAAACATTGTCAAATGAGGTGCTGGTCATGGCAAGGGCACAAAAATTATGCCCAGTTGAGAATCACCGCTTCCATTGCTCTGAATAAGCAGATTTTCTGAGCAGCTCTAGAAAATGTTTTCCTAGCAACTGGTCTATATTCCCGAACTACTTTTTCATTGAGATGTCAAATATTTCATATAATACTTTTCCAGTTCTTTATTATTAAAATCTTGACTCAGCCAGTATGTTATTTTGCAACGTCTTTGGAGTGACATTAATGATTTATCAGAAATATTTTCCCTTTAATAAGATACTTAAATTGCTGAATCATTTGGTGTGACTTTATTACTTTGAAACTTTTTGTGTGGAAGCCAATCTCTGTTTCTTTAATCATATTAGAAAAATGGAATTAAATGCTAGTGTCCATATATGTACTTAACTGAGGGGAGGAATACCTTTAATATGTTTGAAATAATCATGTTACTGACTTCCTTTCATTTTTACCTTTCCTTGAGTGTCTGGAAATCCTTCGAAATCCTTCAAGAAATTGCCCACGGGTTGTTAAGGCCAGTAATTAGTTAATTAGTGCCACAGCTGTCCCAATCCCAAGCTGAATATGACCTAAACTGAGATGCCCCTGCTAGCGCAGTAGCTCAAATTCTGACAGCACAACTTGTGGTAGGTATATGGAAATAGACAGAGCTTCTCCCTCAGCTCTATCTATGATCTTCTGAGAGTGATGCATGTGGTCATAATTATTTTTAAATATAATCCTTAAGTTTCTGAACAAAGCAAATCCAGAAAAATAAGTCATATGGTCTTAATGTGGACTGGTTCACAGATTATAGCACAACTATCTGCGTGAGCTTAATATATCTCCTTCCACTTTCCTGTCTTATTCCAGAGGGTGATGGTGGTGGTGTTCATTTGATTCACTTCAGTTCAAGGAACAAGAAAGCACTCATTTCCCAGGAGAATCACCGTGGTCTACCCCATCTCTGAACCCAGGCGAAAGGGTTTCCTCATTGCAAGTGAGATACAGCCAAAGCAGTAGTAAAGCGAACACCGTTTTATAGCTGCTATGGAAAAATTATTATATTTTCGCTGTAACACACACACACACACACACACACACACACACACACGCGCGCGAGTCTCAAGACGGGATAGTTTAAAATCTTCAGCCTGCAGTGGGATCTAACTACCTTCCCTTCCGTCCCCAGTGCCTCCTGATGCTTGCAATCTCATTCCCAATTCACCAGCGTGCGTGAATGCAGACTCCAGATCCAGCGCAGACGCCAAGAATTCGCTCAGGGGCACCAGCTAAATAGCAAACAGATGCCATGTCAAACATGTGAAAGCCTCAGCGACTAGGGTACCGCCGGGAAAACCAGTTCCAGCCCAGGAATTTCTGGGTGGAAACACTGGCCGCCGAATTGTTTTATTCTCTTTGCTTGATTCGAGTCGGTTCTGAAAGCAGGTGTCCCCTCTCCCCCGGCTTCAGGAAGGGAAACCCCGGCCCCAGGCAGTTGCAGAGCTAAGAAAAACCATCCCGCCAGGCCCCTTCTTGTGGTAACGCGGTCCTAACCCTGCTCTGCCCCACAACCCCATTTCACCCGGGAGACGCAGACGCCAGGCTCCCTAGCACTTTGTCGCCTCTTCCTCCAGCCTGGCTTCCTGAGCTCTGGAAAAGTTCCGGGCCTCCGGACGTTGTTTCCATCTTCGCCTTCGCTGCCTGGGCCGCATGCCTCCTGGGCTTATTTAGGAAGCGAAGTTAGCGCCACACATTTGGCTCCAGAAATTTGTTCTGACGGCGCGGCCGACGCCCTGCAGGGTCATTTCTGAACGCATTCCCAAATATCCTGGTCCTCAAGCCCTTACCACCCCCTAGCACACGAAGCCCCAGCTGGCGGTGGAGCAGGTGTGTTGCTGGTAGCTCATCGCTGGCTTGGAGATAGAGGTGCTTGGTACCTGTCCCCTTTCCGACAACACCTGAAACCGTATCGGGGCACACCCCTCATCCAAATATCCACGTTTAAGGTGTCCGGATTCGTTTGGCTTGACCACCCCCTCCCCGCGCCAACCCTGGAGGCATCTTCCGTGGGGTCTGTCTCTTCGAACCCAAAGGGGTACGCGTCTGGGTGAGCCAGGTCCGCCTCTTCCCTGGCGCTGGCCGGGGGCGGGGGTGGGTAGGCTGGGACCTGTGTCTGATTAGCTGGGAGGGGGAAGCCATGGTCCCAACCGCTGTCTGCTGAGCTCCAGTCCGTCCAGGCTCTTCCAGGAGGAAGAGGCACGATACAAGAGAGGAGGGGCAGGGGTCGCAGCACTGAACACCCTGGCCGGGGTTTTGACAGCTGCCACAGTCTCTGAGCTCCAGCCTCGCGCCTGAACCCGGTCCCTGCCATGGGGCCCCCTTCCAGCTCAGGCTTCTATGTGAGCCGCGCAGTGGCCCTGCTGCTGGCTGGGCTGGTAGCCGCCCTCCTGCTGGCGCTGGCCGTACTCGCCGCCTTGTACGGCCACTGCGAGCGCGTCCCACCGTCGGAGCTGCCTGGACTCAGGGACTTGGAAGCCGAGTCTTCCCCTCCCCTCAGGCAGAAGCCGACGCCAACCCCGAAACCCAGCAGTGCACGCGAGCTAGCGGTGACGACCACCCCGAGCAACTGGCGACCCCCGGGGCCCTGGGACCAGCTACGCCTGCCGCCCTGGCTCGTGCCGCTGCACTACGATCTGGAGCTGTGGCCGCAGCTGAGGCCCGACGAGCTTCCGGCCGGGTCTTTGCCCTTCACTGGCCGCGTGAACATCACGGTGCGCTGCACGGTGGCCACCTCTCGACTGCTGCTGCATAGCCTCTTCCAGGACTGCGAGCGCGCCGAGGTGCGGGGACCCCTTTCCCCGGGCACTGGGAACGCCACAGTGGGCCGCGTGCCCGTGGACGACGTGTGGTTCGCGCTGGACACGGAATACATGGTGCTGGAGCTCAGTGAGCCCCTGAAACCTGGTAGCAGCTACGAGCTGCAGCTTAGCTTCTCGGGCCTGGTGAAGGAAGACCTCAGGGAGGGACTCTTCCTCAACGTCTACACCGACCAGGGCGAGCGCAGGTAAGGGCTGTACAGCCCGGGGCCCCTCTCGGCCCCCGCCCCTGCGTCCCGGTGCAGGCTGCGGGTCCAGCTGACTACCGTGTCCAGGTGCGCGTCTGCTGCCCTTTCCAAAGAATCCCCTTGCGACGTTTTCTTTTTTCTTTTTATTTATTTATTTTATTATACTTTAAGTTCTAGGGTACATGTGCACAACGTGCAGGTTTGTTACATATGTATACGTGTGCCATATTGGTGTGCTGCACCCATTAAGAAATATACCCATTAGGTATATCTCCCAATGCAAACTATCGCAAGGACAAAAAACCAAACAGCGCATGTTCTCACCCATAGGTAGGAATTGAACAATGAGAACACTTGGACACAGGAAGGGGAACATCACACACCGCGACGTTTTCTTTCAAAGCCAGACAGAGTGCGAGCGCCTCCTTTCTCCCTTTTCCTATAACCTTGCTCCGAATAAAGAGACGGCGGAGACCGCGGTCCTTCCTCTGGCCAGTTTTCAACCCTGTATCTGCTCATCCCGTTTGTTTCTATTGCTGCCCCTTTTTAGGTCGCTGGTACCCCTGAAGCTTATCGTTCTCTTCAGAAAGCACCTTTCCTCTCTAGCCGGAAATTTCTTCACCCCATTCAACAAACCGCTTGCCCCTCAAAGGTTGGTCCTTGGGCCAGCAGCAGCTGTAACCTGGGCGCTTGTTAGAAATGCAGACATGTGTTCTTTTTACACTCATTTGAGATAATATCTCCTACACGGAATGTTTCCTGCCCCTGCACAAGAATTGTCTCTTTCCACGCTCTGAGACCACAATACTGTCCTCCGGCGAACTCCAGGGAAATAGCTTAAGTGGGAGATATCAAAATTTATTTTTTTTCCAACCGGCGATCTCTTTGTCCACTCACACACTGGTGGAGCATTTGCGCCGTACACAACTGCATGTACTTTGCCCTTTATTATTAGAGAAAATGTTCTCAGATGTTCTCTGAGGGAAAGAATCCCACTAAATTACACCCTGCACCATCTCCTGCACTACTTTCAAAATTTCAAAGGTTTCTAAATAAGTTTAAAGAGTTGCTCTAGTGGATGTATAATCTGTAACTTTTGTTTTTAAGGGCAGCGTGCTTGGTTTTTCTTTAAAAAATACATCAATGCTTGAAAAAATAGTTTTGAAATTTTCTTATTTAGATGATGTGTTACTCAACTTGTGAAGAAATCTTTTGAAATTACTGTGTAGGTCAGGGTGCAAAATATTTCAGAGGAAAAAATAGAAACACTTCACCTACATATCTGACTTTTTTTTTTTTCTTGCTGTAGGTCAGTAAATCCTCCTCTGTTCACCTACCTCTTCCTTGGTCCTGTTTCAGTGGGGCTGTGGCCCAGTCAAGCTTGCAAATGTGGGAAAGGGAAGTCCCGTTCAATTTTTCTATTGTGTTGCTAACTCTAGTGTTAACTAGAAACCATATTTTCAGAACATTAAAATTCAAGCAAGAAGAAATCTTAATAAAGTTCTACAGATGTTCATAAACCAAGGTAGAGCTCCAAAATTGTGATGTTTTGGAAGAGTTGTTACCCTTTGGGTCTCTGCTTCTGAAACCACAAGGAAAAGACACCTAAGGTTAAGCTTGAAGCCAGGGTCATGAAGAACCTGCAACAGAAGGATGGCTTGTGGTACGCCAGATTCTGGGAGCCCAGCAGGCCTGAGTTTGAACCTGAGCTGTGTGAATTGAGCTAGTCTCTTAACCTCTCTGAGTCTGTTTCCTCATTCACGGAATAGATATAATAACTGTCAACTATTAGAGTACTGTGAGAATTAAATGAAAAAGGGAGTACACAGTGACACATACAGCCTGGATAGTGGTAACTGCTATCCTTAGGTTGGATTATCATTATGATCAGCTTCCTTGTTATCTAAACGCAGAACCTGCCAAGTTCCTGGTATATATGAGTCTAAGAAGATTCCCAGAGGAGAAGAAGGCAGAAGCTGGGGAGTGGGGAGTTATTGCTTAATGGGTATAGATTTTAGTTTTGTAAGGTGATAAGAGTTCTGGAGATAGGTTGACAACAATGTGAATGTTCTTAACACTACTGAACTATTATACACTTAAAAATGGTTAAAGTGGTAAACTTTATGTTATGTGTATTTTACTAGAATTAAAAATTTTTAATGAGCAAAAATAAATTATAGATCAGGGAGTTTAGAATGGAGTTTAGAAATTTATACGTTTTGACGATTGTCTCAGATAATTCTGATGCCTACTATTGGCACCTCATATGGTTTTGTTGTGTCCCCACGCAAATCTCATCTTGAATTGTAGTTCCCATAACCCAGTGGGAGGTAATTGGAACATGGGGGTGGTTTCCCCCATGCTGTTCTCCTGATAGTGAGTGAATCTCATGAGATCTGATGGTTTTATGAGCCTCTGGCATTTCCCCTGCTTGCATTCACTCTGTCTTGCTGCCCTGTGAAGAAAGTACCTTTCTTCCCCTTTCTTCCCCTTCATCTCCTGCCATGACTATAAGTTTCCTGAGGCCTTCCCAGCCATGCAGAACTGTGAGTCAATTAAACTCCTTTTCTTTATAAATTACCCAGTCTTGGGTATTTCTTCATAGCAGCATGAGTACGGACTAATATGGTATCTCATACTTTTTTCTAACTTTTTATTTTGAAATAATTATAGATTCACCAGAAGTTGCAAAGATAATATAGAGAGGTCCTAGGTACCCTTCATCTAGTTTATCTTACATAATTATAGTACAATATCAAAATCAAGAATTTGACATTGGTACTATGCATATATATGTCTTTGTGTCATTTATCATATGCGTACATTTGCGCAAAAACTACCACAATAAAGATACAGAACTGTTCCACCTTAAAGATCATTCCCATACTTCTCCTTTTTATGCACTCATACCACTCCTAATCATCTCTAACCCCTGACAACCACTAATCCGTTCCATCTTTGTAATTTTGTCATTTTGAGAATGTTCTATAAATGGAATTATATCCTTTAGACCTTTCTGACTCAGCATAATGCCCTTGCGATCCATCCAAGTATGCATCAATAGTTTGAGTCTTTTTATTGCTAAGTACTATTCCATGGTATGGATGTATGAAAGTTTATTTAGTCATTCATCGATTGAGGGTTATTTTAGTTGTTTCCAGTTTTTGGTTTTACAAATAAATCTTCTATGAATAATTGTGTACAAGTTTTTCTCTTTAAGAGGCGGGGTCCCTCTATGTTGCCCAGGCTAGCCTCATACTTCTGGCCCCAAGGGATCCTCCTACCTTTGCCTCCCAAAGCACTTGTACAGGTTTTTGTGTGAACACAGTATTTATTTCACTGGGACAAATGTTCACAAGTGTCATTGCTGCGTCATATGGTAGTTGCATGTTTAGTCCTTAAGAAATTGCCAAATTGTTTTTCAAAGTGGCTATACCATTTTATACTCCTACCAGCAATATATGAGTGATAGATGTTCTCTGTATCATGGCCATCATTTGGTATTGTCACTATATTTTAGCTGTCCTGATAGGTGTATGGTAATATCTCATTGTGGTTTTAATTTGCATGTCTCCAATGACTAATGATGTTAAACATTTTTTTGTGTGCTTATTTGCCATCTGTATATCAGTCAGTGAAATGTCTCTTCACGTCTTTTCTTATTTTCTAATAGATTTTATTTTTTACTGTTGAATTCTGGAAGTTCTTTATATATTCTAGATCTAAGTCTTTTGTGAGATATATATGGTTTGCAAATATGTTCTCCCAGCCTATAGCTTGTCTTTTCATCATCTTAGTAAGGTCTTTCAGAGAATAAAAGTTTTAAATAAAAGTTTTACTTTAATTTTGATGAAGTCCAATTTGTCTATTTTTTAATGGATCATGCTGTTGGTGTCATGCCTGAGAACTCTTCACCAAGCCCTAGGTTCTGCAGATTTTCTATGTTGTCTTCCGAAAGTGTTTTACATTTAAATCTATAATCCACTTTGAGATGATTTTTTAAGATGTTATGTTTAGGTTGAGGTTAATTCTTTTGCCTATGGATATCCATTTTTTCCAGCATCATTTGTTGAAAAGAGTATCCTCCCACTATTGAATTGCTTTTGCACCTTTGTCAAAAATCAGTTGGCCCCACTATTACTGGATTCTCTATTCTGTTCCATCAACATAGGTGTTGATTCCTGTGCCAGTACTACATAGTCTTGCTTACTGCAGCTATACAATAAGTCTTGAAATTGTCTTTTTTTAGAATTGTTTTAACTATTTTAGTTCCTTTGCCTTTCTTTATATATTTTATGATATTCTTATATATAGCTACTAAAAATCTTATTAGGATTTTGATAGGACCTATGTTAAACCTTTATGTAAATTTAGGGAGAATTGCTAGCTTTGCTATCCTTAATATTCCATTCTATGAGCATTAAATGTCCATTTATTTAGATCTTTGATTTCATCAGAATTTTATCATTTTTAGCATACAAATCCTACACATTTTGTTAGATTCACACTTAAATATTTAAGTTTATTTCAGAAATAGTAAATGGTATTATATGTTTAATTTTGGTTTTCTACATGTCTGTTGCTACTATATAGAAATGCTGCTTTGTATGTTGATCTTGTATCCTGTTCTCTTGCTGAACTCATGAGATCTAGAGCTTTGTGTGTTTTATTTTGTAGAGCCCTTGGAATTGTCTACATAGATCATCATGTTGTCAACAAACGGAGACAGTTTTATTTCTTCAATTTCAATCTATCTGCCATTTATTTTCTTTTCCTGCCTGATTGTGTTGGGTAAAACTTCCAGCACTGTGTTAAACATGAGTGGTAAGAATGAACATTCTTGCTTTTTTCTCCTCATCTTAGTGGGAAAGTTTTTAGCCTTTACAACTGAGCATAATATTAAATGTAGGTTTCTGTATATGTTTTTTATCAAGTTGAGAAAGTTGTCTTCTATTCATATTTTTTTCTGAGAGTTTCTTTTGCATGAATGCATGTTGAATTTTTCTAACACTTTTTCTGCATAAATTGATATAATCATGTGATATTTTTTCTTCTTGAGCCTGTTAATATGGGTATTATATTGATTGATTTTTGAAAATATTGAGCCAGCCTTAGTTCCCCACCCTTTTTTTTTTTTTTTTTCAGAGATGGGATCTCACTCTGTCACTGAGGCTGGAATGCAGGGGCACAATCATAGCTCACTGCAGTCCCAAACTCTCAGGCCCAAGTGATCCTCTTGTCTCAGCCTCCTGACTAGCTAGAAGGACAGTTGCCCATCTGGTCCCCCACCCTTTTTGATAAGAGCCCTTGCTGTATAGTAGAGGAGAGTGGACAGTCCTTCTAATGCAGGGAGGAAGGTGGGGGAAGACAGAGAAAAGAACAAATGGAGAAAGCCAGAGTCTTTACTTTCTACCCTCCTCCTTCTGACGGTATAACCCTCAGACAAATTTTTCTATGAAAGTAATTTTTCAGTAAGTATTCCCAGGAAAAATCAGCTGGAGAATGGGCAAGTGTGACTGAGAAAGGAAGGAGGCTAAGCTGGGATATGCAATTAAACAAAGTCCCATGGAGGAAAGTTCTGTAGAGTGTGAGTGGTTATCCAAGATGTGACTTTGAAAGGAATTGCAGCCGGGCTCAGAGGACTGGCCATTCAAGCAATAGCCCAGATGAGGGCCCCCATCCCCAATGGAAACCACTGAGCCTTGACTGTTATGAAGGAATGGTTTACAAGTCATACCATCTGATGAATTCAAAAAGTCTTCTCCTTTCAAGAGGTCTCCTCTTTCTCTCCTCTTTCTCAATATAGCCTTTGTGTACAGGAGGAAGCGTCTTAGTTCTCATGTCTTAAGGAAATAAAAGAGCCCTGGTTTATCCTGTTTTGGGATTCACTGAGCTTCTTGTATCTGCTGGTTTAAGGTTTTCTTCACATTTGGAAAAACTTTCAACCATTATTAATTTTTTTTTCCTGTTTTGTACTTTTTTTCTCCTCTTCTCTGGGACTCCAATTACCTATTAGGCTGCCTGACATTACAGGCAGGTCCTGAGGTTCTTTTCATTGTTTTTTAGTATGTTTTCTCTGTGTGTTTCATTTTGGATAGTTCCCATTGTTTTGTTTTCAATTTCATTAATTATTTTCATCTGCAGTGTTTAGTTTGCTTTTAGTCTCATCCAGTGAAATTGTCATTTAAGATATTGTAATTTTTGGCCTGGTATGGTGGCTCACGCCTGTAATCCCAGCACTTTGGGAGGCCGAGGCAGGTGGATCACGAGGTCAGGAGATCAAGACCATCCTGGCTAACACAGTGAAACCCCGTCTCTACTAAAAATACGAAAAAAAATTATCCAGGTGTGGTGGCATGCACCTGTAGTCCCAGCTACTCATGAGGCTGAGGCAGAAGAATCGCTTGAACTCGGGAGGCAGAGGTTGCAGTGAGCTGAGATCGTGCCACTGCACTCCAGCCTGGGCAACAGAGCGAGACTCGATCTCAAAAAAAAAAAAAAAAAAGATATTATAATTTTTATCTTTAACATTTCTACATTCTTATATCTTTCATACCATTCTTCGTAATGTTCATTTTTAATATCCTTGAGCATATTAGACATATTTATAATAGCTGTTTTAATGTTCTTCTCTGCTAAGTTTAGCATCTCTGTCATTTTTTGTTTTGTTTCTATTAACTTCTTTTTCCTGGGTTATCATGCACATTTTGTTGCTTCTTTATATTTCTAATGATTTTTAAAACAGCTTTATTAAAGTATAACTGACATACAATATACTGCACATATTTAAAGTACAAAACTTGATAAGTTTTGGCATACATATACATATGTGGTGGTGAAACCATCACTACAATCAATATTAATAAACATATTCATCACATCCAAAAGTTTCTTCTGCTCTTTATAATCTCTCCTTTCTACATCACTGTAACCTTCTTATCTTCAGGCAATTATGGATCTGCTTTCTGTAGATTAATTTGCGTTTTGTAGTGTTTTATATGAATAAAATCATACAATATGTACTCTCATGTCTAACTTCTTTCGTTCAGTAGAATTACTTTGAAATACATTCTTTTTTTTTTTTTTTTTGAGACGGAGTCTTGCTCTGTCACCAGGCTGGAGTACAGTGACACAATCTCAGCTCACTGCAACCTCCACCTCATGGGTTCAAGCGATTCCCCTGCCTCAGCCTCCCAAGTAGCTGGGATTACAGGCACGCGCCACCACACCTGGCTAATTTTTTTTTTGTATTTCAGTAGAGATGGGGTTTCACCATGTTGGCCGAGATGGCCTCGATATTCTGACCTTGTGATCCACTCACCTTGGCCTCCCAAAGTGCTGGGATTACAGGTGTGAGCCACCGCACCCATCTGAAATACATGCTTTTTGTATGTATCAGTTATTTTGTATTACTGATAGCATTTCATTGTATTGATATAACACAATTTGTTTATCCAACAAATTACCAAGACATTTGGGTTGTTTTCAGTTTTGAGCTGTTTACAAATAAAGCTTCCAGGAATACTCATATACAAGTCTTTTTATCAATTCATTTTTCTTGAGTAAATACCTAAGAGTGGAGTGGTTAGATCATATGAATATTTAGTTTTTTAAGAAACTGCAAAACTGTTTTCCAAGGAGTTTGGTCATTTAAAATTTTTATCAACGTATGGCAGAATTCTAGTTGTTCCAAATCCTTACCAGCAGTTGGTATTGCCAGACTTTTTCATTTCAGCCATTCTAATAGGTGTATAGTGTTCTTCATTACAGTTTTAATTTATATTTTCCCAATGACTAAAAATGTTGTGCATCATTTTCTGTAACTATTTGTCATCCATCTATTTTAACAAAATGTCTGATAAAATCTTCAGTCCATTTTTCTCTTGGGCTGTTTGTTTTCCTATTGTTGAATTTAGAGAGGATCTTTTCTCAAATACATGATTTGCAAATAATTTTTCAGTTGTGGCTTGTCTTTGTATTCTTTTAATAGTGTCTTTCAAAGAGCAGAAGTTTTACATTTTAATGAAGTTCAGTTTATCAATGTTTCCTTATATATATCAAGCTTTTGTTGTTGTATCTGTGAAAACATTGTCTATCCTAAGCTCATAAAAACTTTCTTCTATGCCTTCTTTCAGAAGTTTTATAGTTAGGTGTATGATCCATTTTGAGTTAATTTTTGCATATGGTGTGAGGTATGGATTAAAGAGTTTTTTTGCCTATGGACATTCAACTGTACCACTGCCATTTGTTAAAGAGTCTATGCTATCTGTACTGAATTGTGTCTGCACTTCTGTAAAAAAATCAGTTTTTCATATATATATGTGGGTATATTTTTTGATTGTCTAGTCTGTTCTATTGATCCATTTGTGTATTTTTATGCCAATTCTGTATTGTCTTGATTCCTGTAGCTTTGTAATACATCTTGAAACTAGGTGTTATTCATCTACCAACTTTTTTCCAGTTATTTAGGATATTCTAGGTCCTTTGCATTTCCATATTAATTTTAGAATTAGCTTGTTAATATCTATTAAATAAAGAAAAAAAAGCACCTGCTGGGATTTTGACTGAGATTATGTTGACTCTATAGAAAAATTTGAGGAGAATTCAAATGTTAAAAATATTGAAGCTTCTAACCCATAAACATGGTATATATCTCTCTACTTATTTAGGTCTTCTTTACTCAGTTTTGAGCTGTTACAAATAAAGCTTCCAGGAATATTCGTGTATAAGCCTTTTTATGAATTCAGTTGTAAATTCAAGTATTTTTATGAATTCAGTTGAAAATTTGTATGAGCTTGGGATAGACAATGTTTTCACAGATACACCACCAAAAGTTTGATATATATAAGGAAACATTGATAAATGAGCTTCATTAAAATGTAAAACTTCTGCTCTTTGAAAGACACTGTTAAAAGAATACAAAGACAAGCCACAACTGAAAAATAGGTTCGCAACTGTTTTATGAATTCAGGTTTTATATGTTTCACTGTATATATCTTGCACATATTTTGTCAGATTCATTCCTAGGTATTTTATATTTTAAATATCTATTGTTAATGATATTTTTAGAAATTCCAATTTCTAATTGTTGCTAATTAATTTTTGCTTGTTGATCTTGTATGCTACAACTTTGCTAAATCACTTCTTCATTTAGCATCTTTTTATTTAAAAAAAAGCTTTTAATTTTCCATTAAATTCTCTACATAGGTTGTCATACTGTCTTGAATAAAGACAGTTTTACTTCTACTTTAGTTTCAACGCCTTTTATTTATTTTTCTTGCCTTATTTCAATGACTAGAGCTTCTAATACAACACTGAATAGAAAAAGTAAGTAAAGATATTCTAGTCTCATTTCTTATTGTAGGGTGAAAGCATTCAGTCTTCCATCATTAATTATTAATTATGATTTTTCCTATAAGGTTTTTTTTGGTAGATTCTTTTCATTAGGTTGAAAACGTTTCCTTTTATTTATAATTTTCCAAGAGCTATGATCAGGAATGGATGTCATATTTTATCAAATGTGTATTCTGCATCTTTTGAGATGATTATATAGTTTTTATTATTTAATTTGTTAATATGGTAAATTACATTGATTTTCTAATGATAAACTAGCCTTGCATTTTTTTTTTTTTCCAGACAGGGTCTCACTTCTGGTGCCCAGGCTGGAGTGCAGTGGTGCAATCACAGCTCACTACAGCCTTGACTTCCAGGGCTCAGGTGATTCTCCCACCTCAGCCTCCTGAGTAGCTGAGACTACAGACACATGCTGCCATGCCTAGCTGATTTTTTGTATTTTTAGTAGGGATAGGGTTTTGCCATGTTGCCCAGGCTGGTCTCAAACTCCTGAGCTCAAGGAATCCATCTCCCTTGGCCTCCCAAAGTGTTGGAATTACAGGCATGAGCCACTGCACCCAGTCAACCTTGAATTCTTGAAATAAATTCCAGTTGTTCTTGATGCATTAGCCTTTTAATATATTATTAGATTTGATTTGCTCAAATTTTGCTTAGAATTTTTGCTCTATGTTCATGAGAGTTATGGACTTGTAGTTGTAGTTTTCTTGCAATGTATTTGTCCAATTTTGATGTCAAAGTAACACTGGCTTCAAATAATGCATTCAGAAGTATTCCCTTTTCCTTGATTTTCAGAAAAATTTATATAAAATTGGTAATATTTCTTCTTTAACCGTCTGATTGAATTTCACCCATGAGGCTCTCTGGGCCTAGAAATTCTTTGTGGGATGGTTTTTAACTATGACTTAAATTTATCTAATAGATACAGGGCTATTTAGGTTATCTATTTCTTCATGAGTAAACTGTGGCAGTTTGTGTCTTTCTAGGAACTTATCCATTTAATCAAAGTTGCCAAATGTGTAAGTACAAAATTGTTCAAAATATTTCGTTATTATTTTAAACATCTATAAAATCTGTAGTGACATCACCTTTTATTCCTGATATTGGAAATTTGTGTCTTCTCTCTTTGGGAGCTGGAGCCCTTATCTAGTACCACTCTACCACTTACTAGTTGTCTAACCAGTTTCTTCAGCTTTCATAGGTTTCTTCTACTTCTAATATTCAATAAGTTTATTTGGTCTGCCTTGAGATTTATCTTTTTTTGAGGCTGGTAAATATGGACTTTTTATTATGGAAAATTCTTTAAACATTTACAGAATATAATAAGCCCCCATTCATAACCCAGCTTTGGGAACACCTTTTTCAAAAATATTTTATCTAGCATTTCTGTTGAGTTTGAAGTAGGAGGTAAGGTTTCCTGTTTTAGCTCAGTCCACCATCATAGTAGAAAGTTCTTTGCTTTTACTACTTCATCTAGTCTCTTTCTAGACATTTCAGTTAGTCTTTTGATACTACAGATATTGCAGACATAGTTGTAGAATGCATTCCTAGAAGAGAAATTGCCAGATCAAAAGGCTTATGTATTTATAATTTATACATTACCAAGTTGTTCATAGGAGGTCATACCAATCTATACACCTACCAACTCTGAAGGTACATTCACTAGAGTTTAGGTAATAGTAAAAGCGTAACACCTAACAGTTTATGATGTTAAAAACTCTTAGTGGTAATGCTGATTGCAATATAAACACTAACAAAACCTAGTTTATGAAAGCAGGCATTTGAAACTATATATGTTATTAAAGTTTTACGTCTGGTAAGCTAGTAACACTTTTCAATAAAAGATCTTAATAAAACTTCTTGGGCGTTCCTTGAAGTCTTCCCATTTCCTTTTTAGTTGTTGATGTGCCTCGTGTCTCTTAGCCATTGATGCAAACTCCTTTGGAACACTCTGGTTTGCTCTTTCCAAAATATTCATCAATTTGGTGGCAACCCTCAAATCATTTCTAGTCACACGTGTAATTGGCACTCCAGTCCTTCCAGCTCTTCCTGTGCACCCTATTCAGTGTACATATTTTTCAGTGTTCCATGGAAAATTGTAATTATAGATATCTGTAATATCATGGACATCAAGACCTCAGGATGTTATGTCAGTAGCAATTAATATTCACTTGACTTATTTTAACATTCTCTAATGCTCTCTCCCGACCAATCTCTCTGTTCTGTATCACCATGCAGAGACTCTACTGATATATTTCCAAGTATTAGGTCACTTGATAAATGATCTGCAACTGCCTTTTGGGAAATGAAGATAATCACTTTGTCTCTGGGTGAAATAAGATCTAGAAAACTTTGGATATAAATTCATTTTTCTTCCTCTGTGGTGATCATTATATTTGCTTCACTAAACTTAATGGCAACCAGATCCAGTGTACCAGCATAGACAAGCATGGGCTCTTTCAAATAAGATTGTATGAGTCAATGAACTGAATATGGCCAAGTTGCCTGGTCATAATATTCTGCCTGTCTGGGCGCACATCTAACAAAATCTTCATTATCTTGGGTTCACACCCCATGTCCAGCATATTGTCTGCTTTATCTAAAACCAAGTAGGTTACACTTCTCAGGCTGACAAAGTTATTCATTTGCAGATCATCCAGTCTTTTGGGAGTTGCCAATATGATATCAACACCTTTCCTAAGGTCTTCTATTTGTTTGTCTCCATCTCCACCACCGTATAACAAATGCTTCTAAACTTTTATTGCATCACTCAGCTTCCACTTAAAGAGTTAGCTCCTGAGTGGGCATAAGGACTAACATGCGGGTCTATTCCTTTTTTCTCTGTGTGTTGGAAGTCCAGATGAATATATCCAGGCATTAAATAGCATAATGTTTTTCCTGTACCAGTTTGGGCTACCCCTGTAAGATCTTTTCCTTGCAGAGCAATTGGCCATGCCTGTGACCGAATAGGTGTTGGTTTTTGAAAACCTGTCTTTTTAATATTTTCCATAACTTCAGAACAACATTGAAAGGCATCGTCAAATGTGCAACTAGGATTGGGGATAGGACGTTTCTTACCATTTTTCACGTCATCACACATTATATTAAAATTTGCCTTCCTCCGGTTGTCTGCTTGCACTTGGGATATTGAACTTGTTGTTGACTCTTTGTAAAAGGTTTTCTCAATTGGTTTTTAAATCAATTCTGTGTTCTGAATTGTAATTTGTTTTTTAAAAAACACATTTATCTATTACTACTTTTGCTTTTGTTTGCATCGCCTTGCTGCCAAAAATGTTGACTAATGATTCCAGATGTCCTTTTCTTTATCTGGATTTTGATGTTTGTTGTGCTTTGGCTATCCTTTATTTTTGACCCACCGTGACTGATCACCACACCAACTAAGTCGTTCTTCAATCCGAAACAGAGCAGTGGCTCCCAGTGACTAGCGGCCACAGCCTCCGGGGTTTAGAGGGGTCTCTTCGGTCCCCACTTCTGCCACCCCTATATCCTTCACAACCTCTTTGATTCAGTTCCTCTGCCAGTCTCCTCTCTGGTGCTCAGGATACTGTTGAGCTTCGCCAGATAGCAATGACCCAGATAATGGCATTGGCTCCTACTTTTTGGTTAGATGAGAGTAAGTGCATCTGACCAGCTCTGCGCTACCTGACCATGCTGTTGTAGGACTGGTGTCAAGATTTATCTATTTTACTAATCTTCTTGTAGAACCAGTTTTTGGCTTCATTGATTTTCTCTATTGATTTTCTGTTTTTTATTTCACCGATTTATATTTTGATCTTTATTATCCACTTTCTTCTTACTTTGGGCTTTATTTTTACTTTTTCTATACTATGGTTGACACAAACTTATTACTTTAAGACCCTTTTATTTCTCATATAGGCATTTAATATTATAAATTTCCCACTAACTATTGCTTTAATGCCATGCCACAAATGATGTTATGTTGTTTTTATCTTTTTTTTGGAAGTTCAGAATACTTTCTAATTTCCATTTGGATTTTATCTTTGACTCCTGTGTTATTTAGAACTGCATTATTTGCTTTCCAAATGTTTCAGCATCTTCTCATTTTTTATTGAATGCCTGACATTTAAATTTTTATGTTGTTGGATGCTGGATTTGGTTATATTGCTTAGAGAATGCTGGCCCTTTTGGATAGTAACTGAAGTTACTTGGTGATCCTGTTGATCCTTGTTTGATTCTCTTGAGCCATGTTTTTAAGCTCTTTGAGAGTGACTCTAAAGAAGCCTTTACTCTAGGGCTACTTTAGGCCACTACTCAGGCATCACCCATCTAGTCTCCCTCTGTTGAATAATCTATATATTCTGAAGATTTCAATACTCTGGCTTGAGAAAATTCCAACAACTCCAAACAGTATGTGAACTCTGGGAAGTGTTCAGCGTACCCTTCCCTGGTACTTATTCTTTCCCCAGCAGCTTCTCTTTGCCTGACCTCATGATGATTACTATTTGTCCAAAGACTTGAGGGGAATCCTATACAGATTTCTGGAAGTCTTTCTTTGCATAGTTACCTCTTCTCTTATACTCTACTCGGCAAATTCTAGCTGTCTAGGTGTCCCTGAACTCTAACGTCTGTCTCTTCAACTCAGTGAGACCACCGAATTGTTTCAGTTTCCCTTTCCTGTGCTGCAGTTTAGAAACTGCTTCGAGGCAGAAAAACAGGGTAATTGTAGCATTTGCTTTGCTTGTTTCTCTTCTCTTGAGGATCACAGTCCTGTGCTTCTGGTTGTCTTATGTCTGAAATAGTTGTTTTATATATTTTGTCAGGTTTTAAAACTGTTTTCAGCAGAAGGCTGATTTGAGCCTATGTTACTCCCTGTGGTGGCAAACAGAAGTCTCATTATCTTTAGATTTGGGAATGCTATTAATTATAAAGTTAATCTCTAGTCGTCTTCATGACATCTCAGTTTAGTTTAGTTTTAGTATTTATTACGTTATGTACTTCAAAGCAGTCAGTGCATTGGAAAGGACCCCAGGCTTGGGACCTGGAGCCCTGATTCTGGTACCACTGTGCACTTGCTGGTCGTCTAATCAGTTGCATAAACTCCTGGGGAGTCAGTTTTCACATCTGTCAATTAAGATGGTGGGACTCTTTAAGGTCTCTTCACTTTTGTAATTTAATGAGAGAACTCATACACTCCCACTTTTGTTCAAAGATTCCCAGAATACTTCTTGCATTTTTGATTCTAGCATTCCCTTGATTAAAGAAAAGAAGGAACTGAAAGATATTTAAAGAAATGAAAATAGAAAGATCAAGATCAAATAAGGAAAGTGTGAAATAGTTGGTGAAAATTAGGATATTTTGGGGGGCCAAATAAAGGTGAAAGCAGCATGATTAAAATCAATGAATTTGTGCAGGTTTAGACAGAGTGAACAGAGAATAGAAACAGACTTTCTTGCAGTTGCTGTTTATGCTAGGAAATCTGGCATGGTGATTAGGGTATGACACACAAGAGAGAAATTTGAGCAGTATCAGGAAAAGAATTTGTAAGTCTCAAAACGAGGTCAGAGAACTTAAGTGCCAGACACATGATGCTGGTGTCACAGAGGAAAATGTCATTTCATTATCCTATAAAGGTGTCAAACCCATATATTTCATGTGGCTGAGCAGTCCTCTCTGGGAGATGGTTTTGCACAGCAAAGATTCAGATCCTGTGTCTTTTGAAAATACGTATAGCTAGCATATTGAAAAAGCATAGCTTACAGATTAGTAAAAACACAACTTCGTTTTTCCATTGTCCTTTTACAGTGGGAAATTTAGTCTGTGGGGTAACTTTTCTGCTCTGCATGAGGACCCCAGCAGCCTATAAGTTCCTGCTTATTCTTAAGTGACAGGTGATCTACAGTAACTAAGTCACAAGTAAGTTAGATGAGAAAATTAGAAAATCCAGTCCTGTGTAATATTCAAACCTTTGAACTTAATTTACTGTTAAACCTCTTTCTCTCCCACCTCCATTTTTCTCCCATCTTCCACTCCCTACTCTTGGGCTAGTTTTTAGGATGGAAGCCTGCATTAAGGTACAGGGTGGTAGTCCTTCTTCTTTTCTTTACCTCACGTTTCTACTCTTCTTTGCCTATCTTGATAGCTGCTATTTTGATTCCACGGGAGTCCATGGGGCTGGGGGTGACAGGGAGAGGTGACACATAGGACTTCTTACTTGAGCTGGCACTGTTGTCATTTGGTCTCATTCTGGTCTTACAGATGCATTTTCCCCTTGAGATGTCATTTTCCTGGATTCTTCAGTGTTTTTCCTCTTTTTTTCTACAATTTCCTTGACTCAGCAACTTCTATTTCTTTGTTCTGATAGTCATCATGACTTCTTCCTCAGCCCCTAGACACCAAGCAGCGTATCTCAAAGCTCCTCCAGCCTCCTCCAGGTGGCTCTACTGGACTAAATCAAGACAGTCCCCATATTGGCTCACTTTGTATGGTAGGGGACACAGCTCTTGCAAGGAATGCTCATGCTTCCCTGGCCTGGGACTGGCATGAGTCCCAAGGCAGCAGCACTCCAAAGAAGTCAGCCATTCTCATGCCTTTTAGATCCCCACCTGGTAGGAGTTAGACCTTGGCCATACCATCAATTTCATCTTTCTCAAAAGTGAGTTGGGCTTCTAAGCCTCTCAGCCTCAGGAAACACTTTCACTGCTCTCTGAGGGATTCTCTCCTCCAAGCCCATAGTTAGAAGGTTGCCCCTCCTCCCAACTCCCTGAGAGCGTGGAAAGCTTGGCAAAGTAATGCTTCCCCCTCCCCTCCATCAAGAGATAGCTTCTCCAATCTCTTTTGTCTCCATTCTCTGACCCTTCTTCTGGGGCCCTCATGTAGCTGAGAAGCCCAACAGGCATACCCAGGTTCTCAAGGCCATTTATTTTGAAAATCTTCATAACATGTTTTGGCACCTTTCTCTGGAATTTTATATCTATTATGTTTTGTTGCCTGGTGAAAACTTCAGTTTTCAGATTCTATTACACAAGTAATAAACAAACGTGATTCATAAGCCAACCCTTGAACCACAGTCCAGTAGTGTAACATCTGGCTCTACTAAACATTTTGATTTCTGAGTGTGTTATTGTGTAAAAAAACTGTGGGAGGACAACTTGCCTAAGAGTTTTATTTAATACTTGACCGGCTATGCTATTCAGCACTTGTTAAGTAGAGCTGTAGACATACAAAGTTCATAAAATAATTTGGAATGAAATAGCTTACTGAGTGGATGTAGTAGATTTTTGTTTATGTTGTAGTAGGTTTATTCTCCAAGGGTGTCATGTGGTTCTTGACCACAAAGAAAGCAGTGAGTCCATGATCCACTTCCAGCACAAGAAAACAGTGAGTCCATGATTCTCTTTCCAGACAAGAGGGCAGGAAAGTTGCTCTGCAATACTGACCCACAAGGAGACAAATTCTCCCAAATTAACTCCCTCACCAGCTGACCATTCTAAACACAGACTTAATGGACACCATAATAGCATGTTTCAGTGAGATTTGAAGGGAGGAGAGGGTGGTGGATGGTTCTATTTTCTGAAGTCAAAATATCGTTACAGGGTAGCTTGAGTCCAAAGCACAGAGAAAAGGGAAGGAAACACCACTGTGAGGTTCTCAGAGGTGGCATAACTAGATCATATGTGCTGCTGGTTAGACTTGACTTTTGCAGTTAAGGTTGAGAGCCAAAGGCTGTGTGTCGTAGGGATTTTCCCCTAACTTTTGGTTTGTTTGCATAAAACTAGGGAGGGAAATAGTTGAATTAAATTTGAGAGACTTTATTTTACTTATTTGGAGACCTGAATCATGGAATTGGAAGATGCTTGCTTGATGTTTGATTTGCTGAAGTGGTGACTCTTTAAGCTGGCGTCTCCACCTGCTTTTACACTCCAGGTTCACTTTTGGAACCTGTAAAATAAAAGTTTCCCACTTCCTTAAGGAGTATAATTTTCTCTCCGCTCCCCACCTTGCAGTCTCTTTGAGATTCATAAGCTTTGTGAGGTCATGGCAGCTGAGAACGTATGATCAAGCTTTACTTCCTATAGTTTCTGTTACAAAGACAATAGGCATTTGTTGGCTTTTAAAAAATACATGAGCATGTATTTTTTAATATGCCACCAGTTGTACAAAATATCCTATAATTTCAGAGGGCTCAAAGACCTCCTGAAGGCCATGCATGAACCTGGAAGGGGGTTGTTTCTCCCAACTTTAGATGACTCATGGGCTCTTTTTCCATCCTGCTGGATATCTTAATCTCTCTTAGAATCACAGTTTTAGAGTTCTGAGTGGCCTTAGAGATCATCTACATTTCATAGAAAATTTAAGTGGTATATTAAGCAACTTTCCCAAAGTTACACAACAGTCTTTACAGATTCCGAGCAAGAATTCAGGTGGCTGAATTTCCTCTTCACGCCTGTTCTTTCCACTATATTGTCAATGGCTTGAATTTTCTCTACTTTGTCCAATCCCCTTAAAGACAGTAACCAAAACCATAAAACAAATGCCATTATAACAAACTCTGCCAAAGTACTTTATATTCTTTTGCATATACTGATATCATGCTGCTTTTATTTTATATTATTTCTTGGCTAAACAAATACTTATACAATTGCTATGAACCCAGATTTTTGCCAACTATTATAAATGATACAGAAGAAAAAGATACATAACCTCTCATTTCTAGCAGTTTCAAATTTACCAGGGCGACGAATATGACTCATGTTTAATCTGTGGTCAGCTGTAGCCCCTAGAACACTTTTTTTCAATTTTTAATTTTTGTGGGTATAATAGTAGGTGTATATATGTGTGGGGGTACATGAGATACTTTGATATAGGCATGGAATGCATAATAATCACATCATGGAGAATGGGGTATCCATCCCCTCAAGCATTTATCCTTTATGTGACAAACTAATTATACCCTAGTTATTTTTAAAAGTACAATTAAATTATTTTGACTGTAGTCACCCTGTTGTGCTATTAAATACTAGTTATTATTCATTCTTTCTAACTGTTTTTCTTTTGGAACCCATTAACCATCCCCACCTCCCCCAACCCTGGGACTTTTAAAGATGCATCTGTAACTAGTGATTTCCAAGCATCCATTCCATCCTGTAACTTATCCCTCTTTGAGTTCTTCTATAGTTCATCTGTATCAAGAATGATTTGTGAGATCGGAAGGGATATAGGAGAATTCAAAGGTGATTTATTGGTAAATGTAATTACCAATAATTTAAAAGTTCAAACAGCAGTACAAGGTAAATAGTGTCATTATTTTCTAGGTGGGGAAACTGGGGCTTAACAAGATTGTGTGACTGTCCTGCGTTGCTCAGTTGGTAGTAGATGGAGTGGAGTAGGGTCTTACAGAGAAAGTAGCTGGTGCCAGAGCCCACAGGGCTCGTTCCAGTCTATGCCAGTAAGCATATAATAATGTGGGCAAGAGCAAGTAAGCCAAAACAGGCCTTACTATAAATTATTGTTTTTGTCAATACAATGAGGTTATGACACCTCAAAATGGCTGACTGAGAGTTGTTTGCACGTGCCAACCGTCCTATGTGTCCTTCCTAAAGCTGTGTGAATTCTTATGCAAGCAGCAGCCTTATGATGGTGAAGGAGGGATCACAAGGGTAAGTAATGGATGGCATATACTCTTGAGATATCTTTGTTGAATTCACCTCTTATTTATCCAAGAATTGGGCCTGATGCAAAAACAAATGTATCAGAGACTTTAAGTCTCAGGATCTTGGTTGAAAAAGGAATTTAGCATCCACAGTTGTCATCTAAAGACGGGTTCCCAGGTAAGCAAGTCTTGGCAAATGGGATAATGAGACTGCAGGGTTTTTTTGTTTTGTTTGTTTTGAGAAGAAAGTTGTTTGCTGGGACCTGTGCTGTCATCAGACTCAGGCAGTGTTTGCAGGGGGTAAACCTGACGTCTTCTCGTCTGCTCGGGGTATTCTTGTCCCTAAGCTTTTCCCTGTAAGTCACCAGTGTGTGGTGGGATAATGTCACTCTTTGTATTTTGCCATGGAGATGGAGGAAGAATCAGCAGGGATTTGATACCTTTACCCATATATAATTGAAAGTTGTTTTGTTCAATCAGCATGTACCCATATTGTTTACTCCCAAGAGTGTCCAAAATAAAACTTTTTGTAAGTTTTTAGCTAGGAAGAAGAGGAGGCATGTGAGAAAAAGAAAAAAAATAGACATTCTTCCCCTGACTTTTACTTTAGTGGAAGATGAAAGCAATGGACCATTCTCAAAGAAGTAATCCTAGCTTTATAAAGAGCTGGTTCTCAAAAGACTGATGTTGCATATTCGCTATATTTGTTTCTATTCTGTTTGTAAAAGGTTTTAAAGGTTTACGATGTAATAAAACAAATATTATTTTGTGGTTTAAAAGTAAAGGGTGTGCTTGTATTTTAGGTCTTAGGAGAATTCTAAGGTGCCATGATAATTGGAGTGTGTTGGTGTGATGGGATGGGCAGTGAGGAAGATGAGAGGAAATTTCCTCTAACACACCAGGCTAACTTACAAGCCATCATCTCTCAATGTTTTTTTATTCCACTGGGTTGAAATAAAAATAAATAAAAATTTCCCCAAAATGTATTTCAGGGCCCTGTTAGCGTCCCAGCTGGAACCAACATTTGCCAGGTATGTTTTCCCTTGTTTTGATGAGCCAGCTCTGAAGGCAACTTTTAATATTACAATGATTCATCATCCAAGTTATGTGGCCCTTTCCAACATGCCAAAGCTAGGTAAGTAATGCTTTCTGTCTATATCTAGCTGTCTATCTATATAAGCTTTGTAATCACATTTATACCAGTAGCTTTTCTAGGCAGTGTATTATGGTGTATTATAATTACAGTCTACTATAATTAGGTAGAGCAGTCACCTGGGATATGTGTCAGCATCCACACCTTGGAGATGGTAAATCCTGATTCCTTTGGTATAAGAAGCTGAGGATATTACACTGTTCTTATAAATGGGCAGTCTGCCTGCCACTTAGTTTGGGCTTCAACTGTTGATCATTAGTGATAACAAGCTGGTGGGCTTAGTCTGAATCTGGTGCACAGCTGTGTTTCAGTTGGCTCATGTGCCTTTTTTTCTTTTGATTAAATCAGTTTCCAACTTAAAAATATCCAGAGATTTTACATAAAAATTTAAATGTGAAAACTTAGAAGTTCTAACAACACTGGACCTACAGCTCTTACGTGGCAGTGATCAGTGACATTTGAGAAGAGCCTTTAAGTCTCAGGACTTTAGTTGAAAAGGGAATTTAGCCTCCACAATTGTCATCTAAAGGCAGGTTCCCAGGTCAACAAGTCTTGCTGTCTCCAGCAGGAGGTTGGCTGCCTCCTGCAGCCGCTTCTCAGATGATCCTCACCACTCCCTATTAGGTACACCAACCCATTTCACATCGAGTGCCTGGCCCTTGTAGGCATTTGAGTTTGTGATTTCAGCTTTAAAGGCCCCAGATTGCTTCCACTAAAGTCTTAGTTTGAAACCTGAGAGGAGTAGAATTGCACCTTGTTGACCTACCGTGGGGCCTAGGCAGCTCTAGATTAAGTGTTGTGAGAAATGGGCTGGACTAGAAAACAATAGAATTAGGTGGGAGAGAAAGGAGGCAGATTGGGGGCTAAGTTTATAGTGCTCGTGGATTTGGCCCTCAATCAAGTCTATATTATTCAAAATGCTGATTCAGGCCCAAGATGCTGTTCTGAGATTTTCCTAATGTGGTTTTGGATAGCTTAGGAGTAGGTGGAGAAATCTGAACTGCTAGACTATGAGGAATAGCTGGAAAGGAGTAGCTGGGTGACAATTGACTTGACAAATTATTTCAAAGACATGTAATTGCTTAGATTTGCTGTGATTTGAACTAAAATAAAATTCTCTAGGTCAGTCTGAAAAAGAAGATGTGAATGGAAGCAAATGGACTGTTACAACCTTTTCCACTACGCCCCACATGCCAACTTACTTAGTCGCATTTGTTATATGTGACTATGACCACGTCAACAGAACAGAAAGGGGCAAGGAGGTGAGTGAGGAAGATTCTGTAGGTAAGGGAGATTGTACTGGCTGCAGATTATTCATCTATTCTTTCTGCATCCAGTGGTTATGGCTGCATATCCCCAAATCGCTTCCTAGTTCTCTCTCCCAAGCCCTGTAAAAGTTCTTAGTGTGGCTTTGCAGAATGGGACATAACATTTCCTACTGCCATTCTTTGGATAGGTTTTCACGGAAAGAGTCCATATTAAGCCCACTCATCAAGGCAAGGTCTGTGCCCCCTCTTCCCAGTGTGTTTCTGCTTTTGCAGAAGACAGGAGAGAATGGGGAGCACTGCTGCACTGGCACCTTGATGTTTGCGTTTAGTATGTGATGTGTACTTAGCCCAGGGTTAATGGTGTCTTGAAGCTTGGGTGATACTCAAAACAGTTAGCAACCAGCATGGCCAGGCATCAACGAGTCAAAACGGACACCAGCCAGGAACAACTGCTATGGCTGAAATGGTGCATGCAGGTTAAAATATTATCCCTATTGTTCTGTGAAATGGCCATATAAACAAAGCGACCCCCAAATGCAGAAGGAGCTGAGAAACTGAGGAAGGAGGCAGACAAATCTAGTTTGTTGGTTTGGAATGTTTTATTAAGGGAACTTAAAGACAGAAGCATGGTCTTGGGTGGCCACAAGACAAGTAGATCTTTGCTCTGTAACTCTCCAGACCCAGGGCTTATATCTTGGGGGAAAAGCATACGTGCCCCGGAAGGAATTTGTAGTTGGCCACATCACAGCCTATGATTTCCAGAACAACAAGGGTGGTTTTGAAGAAAACTTACAATGAATAGGTGTTTCTACATAATGAGTTAACACATTAACTAGACATTTAGAGGCACTCTCAGACTCAAGGTTAGTCAGAAGTTACATAGTGGATTAGCATTTAAAATAAAGTCACTCTTGTCCCCATACCTATCCAGAAGCTGAACTGCCATGTTCTTCAGTTCTGGAGCATGCAACACTTTTTCTGAGTTGTGTAAAGTCAGCACTCTGTCCTGAAATAGCTGGTTTTCACCCAATTACCCCCTTTATAATAATCCTTTAGGAAAATATGGAGGTCGTGCTGGCAGTGCTTTATATGCTTGTTCACTCCCTATTATAGCGGGCCTTAGGCCCAGTTCTTTCTAGACACGTAGACTTCATCAAGCTGAGAAAAATCAGGCCCTATAGCTCGCTAACATACTCTCCTGGGCCCAAGGGGCCCAAGGTCTTCCAGGCTTGCACCATTGACATGTGGAGAAAAGGAAGCTGTGGGTGAGCCAAGCCCCTCATCAGGGGAGAATTACTCAAAGCTACTCCTCCTTTACAACTCCTAACCTAGTGATGAATTAGTAATATTGTGTTGGCTGAGCGATTCTCAAAGCTCCTCCTAACTTAATGAATTAATAATACCGTTTTAGATGCAAATGGCAGCTTGTTATCTTCCTAGGCTGTTGGCTCCAGTCTGATTTTCCTATTGAATAATTACTAGTAGAACCTTGTCATCTACAAATATAACACTGGCCAAGTTAAACGTGCATGGCTTATATTTTTAAATCTGCTCAGGCATGATTTGGAAGCACGTGCTTTGAGCTTGGTAAGGAGGAATGGGCTCCCATAGGTAATGACAGACCAAAGGTGATTCCTTGGCATCCATTATCTCAAGTGCCTTGCTGTGGTCAGTGCTGCTGCACAGTCAACCATTCTTGTAGCGGGATGATATCGATTTATCTGTGAAAGATCACCCCGAAAAGGATGCCAGCTGCCATAGAAACAACAAGGAAATGGAGCATACCTAAGAAAGTCATGTTCTTAGCCAGCACACTGAAGTTTGGCATGAGTCTATCAGTGGAATGTGAACATTTGGCTACAGCTCAGCTTTACAAAGTTAATGGGTCCATTATATACTCTGCAGAGGAACAAAAATGTACACTTGGAATAGAGTCCAGCCCATTTACAAATTTCTCATTAAGTAACAGATAAAGATTTCATGAAATGGAAAGTGTGGTTAATGTGTGGCATGAGAATAAACATAAGAAACATGTAAGTAGTTCAGAATTTACATAATTCTAGAAATACTTTTAAGCAGAAATAAAAGCAAAGTAAGACGAATATGTTCTTGGAGGGCACAAATCTGTAAATACTGTGATTCTTTCATTTCCTTAGCATTTTCTCTAATGTTTTGCAGAGCGTTCTTTCTTAAATTAACGGCATTCACAACAGGACAAATATTTTAATTATCTCACTTGGTAACTTTCATTCCAAGATCTTTAAGTTTTATGCATGTTCTTTAACATTAATGCTGGCAATTCTATTAAAAATTACTTACTTTTTTTTTTTAGAGTTTACAATACTTTCAATTTATAGTAATAATTAATGTTAAAACAATAGGATATTACTCACAAAATCACACAAATAAGCTCCAATTACACAAACAATAGTGTGGTCACACAAAACGGACAAAACATGGCAGAGATTTCCTTTTACTTGCTAAAGTGGAAGTGTCATTTGGCAATAGAAAAACAAGAGAATTATAATTCACTTGCTTTGACAGTTTTAAAATTATGAGACATTTGATGAACTTTTTTAAATTAGGAGAATTAACCTTATTTCAAATTTTGTAAGTAAAGTAGGACTATTAATGTTCTAACTGCTAAACAATTTTAAATGTGCATGATTTAAATATGCTTAATATGTACCATACTATATAACCCCCACTCACAGTGCAATTCTGTTTTGGATCATTAGTAATATATCCTGAAATGGGAAGCAAGGGCCCAAAGTGCACAAAATGCCTATAGAATCTACACTTACTGTAGGGGTAGATGCTGGTACAACCCATTCCAGGGGTTGTTTTATGATTCCAGATTGTACATGCTATTGTCAAAGATTGAAATAACACACTTTCGGGGGAATCACTGTTCATAACTTAGTGAACAGCCTTCAGGGGTTTTCTCAGGACATGTAAGCATGCAAGCATTTTATTATGCAGCTTCTTCTGGAAAGGTAAGACTTTGGTTCAGCAGCAGGGAATTGGAGCAAGCAGACTACCTCTTTCCAAAATCACTACTGGTTTTCCTAATCACTGCTTAACTGTTTTGATTTAGATACGCATCTGGGCCCGGAAAGATGCAATTGCAAATGGAAGTGCAGACTTTGCTTTGAACATCACAGGTCCCATCTTCTCTTTTCTGGAGGATTTGTTTAATATCAGTTACTCTCTTCCAAAAACAGGTGAGGTAATCTTTTCCTTTCAGTGCATTTGGTTTCCTGTTATTTGGGCCCTTGGTTGAGGCCTCAAGATACACAGACAAACCCATAAGGATTCACCATCACCATTTAGCTGCTGGTTTGGAGTTAGCCTCCTGACCTATGCCTTATACCTTCTGAAACACACAGAGGCTCACCTGCTCTTTCTCTGTACAGAGCCATGTGCTCAGCAGCTGCTGAAGAGCTCTCAGACTTTTTAGGTCTCTCCTGGCTACTCAATGGCAGCCTCCCGTCCTCTAGACCCTACTTTCTCTTTTGAGTTCAGGCCTTTTCTCTCATACTGCAAGTCTGCAGTGCTGAGTCTGGATCACTTTAGCTAGCGGGCTTTCAGAAGTTACTTCAGTTCCCTTTAGTAAGTTTTTTTTTTTTTTAAATATCCATTAGCTGTGAATCATTGAATTAGGACTTAGTGGTCCCAACTATGAATTTTCATCATATAAAATTGGAATCATATGTGAATATAATATGATCCTTAAGGAAATATGTAAATATTTAACCTTTCATAGATCTGTGTGGTATGTTCTTAAAATTGTATGAGCCACTCAGCTCAGAAAGTTGTTCATTGTTTTTTCTCTAAATTGAAAGTATCATGTAAATGTATTTTGTTCTTCTGACATGTTAGTTGAAGACTTGGAAAAAGTATGCGCTGCCTATACTGGCAGATAGTGGAAGAAGGTAGGGAGTAAATATTTGGGAGCTTGAGCCTTCTGAACCCCAGGAAGCCAGGGTCTCTGCAGCTTGAGCATTCTGGCTAAGGAGGAATGGGGAATGAAGGGATGGAAACCAGCCTCGGCCCATTCAGAAATCCTGGAGGAAACACCTATCACTCAGGGAGTTGGAGGCAGCAGGAGCTCAGGCATGGAGACCAAGCTCCTGGCATTTCTGGGGCTGGAGGCTCCCAAGACGCCCCTTGTCTTGGCAAGAAAAGTTCTATTTGTATTTATTTAGATGAGAAGTCCAGAGTCATCCTTGACATCCTGTCCCCTTGAAGCACACCCTCTATCTAATTAGTCACCTTATCGTCCCCTACATCCATCCATCCACTCACTTCTTACTGTCCCCCTAGTTCTCCCTAGTTTTCATCATCATCTCCACCACAGCTGTACTCTCATAGCTTCTCCACATTCCCTCCAAGCCATCCTTTATATGAAACCAGAAGGATCTTTCCAGAGAAAATCTGATCATGTTACTGTTCTCTGTAAAACCTCTGTGTGACCTCCCATTTCCCTGAGGGTTAAGTCCGAAGTCAGTACCGTGTCTTTATAAAGGTGCTTCTCTTACCAACCTCTCAGGGCTTTTGGCAGTTCCTGAGTGGGAAGGATGCTCTAGCACTGTCTCTGCTCACTCCTATGCATTCACCTTCCTCTTGTCTCCTCCAGGCTCTTACACATGCAGTTTGCACATCCTGAAATGGCTTCTATCCACTGGTTAATTCAATTCTGTTTCTCAACTCAGTGCCTCCTCATCCAGGAAGCCTTCCCTGACTTCTTTTCTCACACTTCCACAGTATCCTGCATATTCCACCATCTGAACTCTTGACCAATTGTATTTTAATTATCTCCCTCATTAGACCTCGGAGTTAGGATCTGAAGGGTCTTTTTCTTTGTGCCTCTAGAACCTATGGCAGTCAGGTGGTCAACAGTAAACTTTTTGTGGGATGGAGGAAATAAATACATGTGACTAGTTCAGTAATTCCACGTAAATTCTGACCAGATTATTAATTCCTGGACATCAGGGATACATTTGATACTTTCTTTGTAACCTTCATAGCATCTCAACTGATGTTACCCTATGAGCGCCCATAGGAGGTACTCAATGAAAACCTTATTTTTATTGATAGGTGATTAAGATAAAGAGTTCCTCTATTATTGGGTTTTTGGGAGAAAGATAACTAATGTTTCTTAATTGCTTTAACTCTTTGCTGAGTCACAAACAACAAAACAAAACAAAACAAATGCCTCCCCTACCAGCATTTCCCACATATGCCATACTCTTACCCTCCTCTCTGAGGAGGTGAGTTGGGTGAAAAACGATTTGGTTTATTTCTCCTGTGTTGTTCTCTTAGCTAATTTTCTTGTAGCTTGCTCAATGAATTCTAAACTTTAGAATCAAAGATTATATGAACTGTGTTCATGTACCCCTTATATAGAACAGTATTTTTTCTCATGTTGCTATCATTTTAATTCACTCTCAAGTCAAAAGTTGGACTGAATGTCAAAATATTATAGTGACTGGTAGAGCTAGGTGTTTGGGTTATTATTGTGCCAATTGACACTTTCCCTGTAGGCTATATGCCAGATTTCCTATGCCTATACCAATATTAATTATTAGACTCCTATGTATTTTAAAGATATATCATTTTAATTTTCAATTTTTGATAATTAATGATGAACATTTTAAATAAGATTTTTGGCTGTTTGAAGTATTTCTTTGGTGCATTGTTCACGTTTGGCTTTTTCTCTGTTTTGTCAGAGTTGTTTAAATATTGAAAAGTTGTCTAATCGCTTGTGGTATATGCTTTAAATATTTTTCCCTAGATTATTATTTGCCTTTCAAATTTGTTTATAGTGTATTTTGGTGAACTAAAGTATTTATTTTTATGTATTCATTTTTTGAGACGGCATCTCACTCTATCACCCAGCCTAGAGTGCAGTGGTGCAATCCCCCCCTACTGACACCTCCGCCTCCTAAGTTCAAGTGATTCTCCTGCCTCAGTCTCTCCAGTAGCTGGGATTACAGGTGCGCACCACCATGCCCAGCTAATTTTTCTATTTGTAGTAGAGACAGGGTTTCACTATGTTGGCTAGGCTGGTCTTGAACTCCTGATCTCAAGTGATCCGTCCGCCTAGCCCTCCCAAAGTGCTGAGATTACGCGCATAAGCCACCATGCCTGGCTAAAATGTTTAATATAAATAGACTATTTTTAGAGCAGTTTAAGGTTTACAGGAAGATTGTGCAAAAAATACAGAGAGTTCCCATATATTCTCTCTTTCCTTTCTTCTCCCTCCTTTCTCCTGTTGTCAACATCTTGCATTGGTGTGGTACACTTGTTACAATATTGAAACATTATTATTAACTAACCTCCCTAGTTTATCTTAGGGTTCAGTTTTTGCATTGTACAGCAATATGGGTTTTGGCAACTGTATAATGACCAGTATTGACAATTACAGTATCATACAGAATAGTTTCACTGCCATAAAAATCCCCTGTTCTCCATCTATTTATCCTCCCCTGCTTCCCCCGAATCCCTGACAACCACCAATCTTTTTATTATCTTTAGAGTTTTGCCTGTTCCAGAATGTCATATAGTTGGAATTGCATAGTATGTAGCTTTCCCAGACCAGCTTCTTTCACTTAGCAACATGCACTTAAAATTTCCCATAACTTTTCCTAGCATGATACATCATTTCTCATCACTGAATAATACTCTGTTGTATTGATGTACTGCAGTTTGTTTATCTATTAGCCTATTTAAGGGCATCTTGGTTGCTTCCAACTTTTAGCAATTATGAATAAAGCTTCTATAAACATTTGTGTGCAGGTTTTTGGGTGGGCATAAGATTTCTGGTCATTTGGGTTAATTCCAAGGAATGTAATTGTCAGATCTTATGGTCAACCTATAGTGACTGTACCATTTTGCATCCCCACGAGCAATGAATGAGAGTTCCTGTTGCTCCACATCCTCATCTGCATTTGGTGTTGCCAGTATTTTGGATTTTAGCCATTCTAGTAGGTGTGTGGTAATATCTCATTGTTTTAATTTAAAATTCTCTAATGACAATTGATGTTGAGCATCTTTTCATATGTGTATTTGCCATTTATATATCTTCTTTAGTGAGGTGTATGTTCAGATCTTTTGTCCATTTTGTAGTTGGGTTGTCTGTTTCTTTACTGCTAAGTTGTAAGCATTCTTTGTGTATTTGAATACAAGTCCTTTATCAAGAATATTTTATGTTAACATAGTGAAAATAATTTATTTGCTGGCTTTTGTCTTTGGCATTAGTCTTTAAAAAGCCTTCTCTCCGTTCAGGTTATAAATATTCCCTTGAATTTTTTGGTAATTTTATGATTTCATTTTGAGATATTTAAAAAATCCCATTTTTTGGAAAAGATTATTTTATTTTCTCCTCCATTTAAATCCACTTAGATATAATTGCCTTGCCTAGTTTTGACAACCATGCAATGGAAAACTGGGGACTAATGATATTTGATGAATCAGGATTGTTGTTGGAACCAAAAGATCAACTGACAGAAAAAAAGACTCTGATCTCCTATGTTGTCTCCCACGAGATTGGACACCAGGCATGTGGTAAAATGTTCTTTTTATTTCACTTGAAGTTATTCTCCAGGTGCGCTACCAAAATAGCATAAAAACCCCAGTAAGACCCTGCCATATACCATATTTTAAAAAGAAAAACATCTCAAAGTATGACAGTGAGTAAAAATGGGGAAGACTCAGATTCAGGGTGGATTTGAGCTACTGGTGACAGATCATAGGGAGGAGACCGTACAGTTTGGCTGAGGGCTGGGTATTTACATCTAACAATTAAGTTTGCTCCACAAAGTCCTCTTCAGGAAAAGTTAAACCATGCAGACACAGGAGTATTTTATTTTCATTTCACCTAAAATAAGGGCTATTCAAAAGGATCACTGAAAGATACCCACATTTCATCAGCAGATTGTTATAAATTTCTAGTTGTTGTTGCTGTTGTTGGAGAGAGGTTAAATGGATACAGGTAATAGATTAGCAAGGTGGCAATAATTAACCCTTGAGCTGCATTCCCAATGGTTGTGTAAATGACAATTCATTTAATCAGATCTATTTGCTTTTGCATTGGGATTTTAGAAGTTTAGCTGTTTAATTTGATGAAGATTTTCATATCTGCATTTCAGTGTCTGCACCATTAATACAAGTCTGTTAAGAAAGAAATAATTTCAACGATGTTATCTTCGTAATGTGGCTCCATAAGAAGTTTTGGAAAAGAGCAGTTTACTAGGATTGATTAATACCCTGGTGCACAGTAAAACAAACACAATCACAAGTTTTATTAAGTCACCCGAAGTGTCATTTTCTATTATAGCCTAAGTTACACATTGTTTTGCAATACAGGCTATTAGTAATTATAGCTGTTATAAGAATTTGGTGAAATACCAGGGCTTGCGTTTGTTAGTTTGGAAATCATTGTTTTTCTTTCCTAATTCTGTTCATCATCCATTTGACACTGTTTTTTTTTTTCTGTTCAGTTCAAACAGAAAATAATTAACAGCTGAGCCATATTGCATAACGTATGATTACTTGAGTGATTTGTACATGGCACAGATCAAATTATTTTCTTAAAATATAAACAACTGCTTAAAGTAAAATCCAGTTGCAGCCTACTTAGAGTATAAGGTGCTAGAATTAGTAGGTGGCAAGTCAGCATTCAGGGCTTCTGTTTTATGGAACTAAAAACAACTTTTGGGCCAAGTGGACAGTTTAAGAAATGCTATTCTAGCTGACCTTATGTTTAAACATTGCAGTTTTAAAACAAAAATTGCTTTTAATAATTGAACATGGAATATTTCTGAGAAATGCATGACTAATATCTATTTATGTGAAAACAACAACTTGCTTTTTTGGTGTCCTGTCTTCAAGTTTTGTTATTGATGGCAAATAAATTTTAATTATGTCTTTTGACCTTACATTTACTTAACATGCAATTACAACGAATATAACTTAAAAATTAAATTTAAGAAAGCTCTTTTTTTCTTCTCATTTCCAAAAGTGGTTTGGAAACTTGGTTACCATGAATTGGTGGAACAATATCTGGCTCAACGAGGGTTTTGCATCTTATTTTGAGTTTGAAGTAATTAACTACTTTAATCCTAAACTCCCAAGAGTAAGTATGTTTACTAAGTTTATTTAACATTTTTCTCCTAATTATAAAAGTAATGCATATTCATTCTTGAAAATGTATAAAATACAAGAAAATACAAGAAATAATAAATTACCTATAATACCAAAAATAATTTGTGTTAGCTTTTTGATATTTTTTTTTAATTCCAGGCTTTTTATCTATTGTAAATGTTTTTGAAGGTGGGAATTACATAAAATTTTGTATTGCTTTTTTTACTTCATATTCAACTTCATATTTCTACATATTCATATTTCTACTTCATAATCCTGAGTATTTCTACAAATCATTAGATCTTTTTAAAAAAGATTTTAAATGACTGCCTAAGATTATTTTCACTTATTCCTACTACATATATTTCTTAGTCCTGCTATATAGACTATATATATATAGTCTAGGTCTTGCTCTGTCACCTAGGCTGGAGACATGGTCTCGCTCTGTCACCCAAACTGGAGTGTGGTGGCATGATCTTGACTCAATGCAGTCTCGACCTCCTGGGCTCAAGCAGTCCTCCCACCTCAGCCTTCCAAATAGCTGGGACTACAGGCATGTGCCACCATGCCTAGATCATTTTTGTATTGTTTGTAGAGACGGGGTTTCGCCATGTTGCCCAGACTGGTCTCAAACTCCTGGACTCAAGGGATCCACCAGCCTCGGCCTCCCAAAGTGCTGGGATTACAGGCGTGAGCTACCGCGCCCAACCTAGACTGTATTTTAAAGCAACTGTAACAGCAGTGTGTGACTTTTATGATAAGTAATATGCTACTTCATATTTAATTAATATTATTGCTGATATTGTTTTGCTAATTTGAGTAAATAATAATATTGAAAGATAAATACATCAATGTGAAAATCTAATTCTTTCAACTGTAGGTTTTACTTCTGATATTTAATTTATTTAGAGTAATTATGTAGTGCTTTTAGAATGCCATGATAAAACCAAATTGATTTGATTTAGATATCTAAATGTTTAGACTTAATGTTATCTTTTGATATAAACCTTACTTCTGTTATAAACCAGAGGTTCTTTCTTGGTTTGCATCTTCTTCCCCTCCTCTCTTCTGTCTCCTGTAACCTCTCTGGTCCTCAGGATTGCTCCTTCCTGCCTCTCTTTGCTGGTCCCCGTCTCATCTCAGCTCCCAGTTGTTCCAAGGCTGGATTACTGACCTCTTTTCTCCTCCCTACCTTCACTCATTCAAAGGATTTATTAATATTGAAATGCTATCTCTACTTGCTGGATCTTCTTTACAGGCTAAATCTATTCATTCTGAAGGAGATTCTAAGATGATATTCGTCCTATTATTTTGGAAGTAAGCTTTCCTTTTTTTATGAAAATTGATAATCGATGGTAGGTAGATGGTACTTGTTTTGGTCGATAGTTTGGCAGGAAAAAAAAGTTGACAAGCCTATCTTAGTGCCACAGAAACCTTTTAAAAAATCTCTTTTTATCTGTTTGTGACATCACAGCATCTGGCAAGCACTGATGTAGTGCACGCTTTTAACACCCGAGTTCCATGCCACCTCCCCGCCCTTTACAGACATGCTATAAGGTCCCCAGCCCAGTCACTCCGCAGTGCCTCTCTCTTCCTCCCCATGGACTATACACAGGCCCTGCTTGTCCTGGAGGAAAGTTTGGACGTCATTATATAGATCAGGAGACTGAAGTACTGAAAGGTTAAATGACTTGCCAAAGGTAATTTGCCCAACTGGGACAGGCCTGATTTTATAACCAGCTGTCTGGGTCTAGTCTGATGACAAGGATGACGATAACAACAATAATACTGTATTTACCATTCAGTGAGTACTTAGAACTTAAGTGCCAGGCAGTGTGAGCACTACACATACATCATCTTACTCAGTCCTCAAACCAACCATATGAGTGCTGTTGTTATTTCTATTTTACATGTGAGGAAACTGAGGTATAGAAGCATTAAGTAAGTTGCTCAAGCTCTCATAGTTATTAAATGTCAGAAGTGAGATTCAATTCCAGGTCAGGCCAACTGCGAAGCCCATGCTTTTAACCACTGTGCTCTATAGCAAAAACACACTGGAGTGTTCTTATCCTCAAGAAGCTAATCGTGTGTGTGTGTGTGTGTGTGTGTGTCTTTATCTGCATACAGTATGTGTTTATTGTCTTAGCTCTCTCCAACAGTCCTTTCCACTTACTCTATGCCTACAAAATTGTTTGTATCTCTCTTTCATAACTTTTATTCACTCATGGTTAGTGCCATCTTTAACTTCTTTTGAAAGCAGTTGGGTATGTCCTAAATTAACTCTGTGGATAGAGTAAATAAGGGAAGAAGTTTAATTCCCATAAGACAATGAAATTTACTCTATTTTCTTAAGTAGATAGAATACATCATGAGCATCAATTTCAGTTACCTCTTATAATAACTAAAATGGTTATTATCAATATCTTGCAAAACTTGCCAAAAACATATTCCTCATATTTTTGAAGCTAAGATTACAACGTTAGTCTCTTTTTGTACCTTTTAATTATTTCTTTTTATCATTAGTTTCTTAGCCACTCTTTTCTATACCTCTTAGTTGCTTGTGGAGCTGAGTGAAAGCATCAGATCTTGGCAACTGAGGACATTGCCACGTTCTTTGTTTTTAAAAAGCTTAAGCTCTCCTTTCAATGATTTTTGGAGATCAAGAACTTTAACCTCCTTTTAATCTAGTAATGTGATTGAAATTGAGTAACAGAATCATAGACCCTTATGCAGAAACAGATTTACAATTTTTTCTATTTCGAGGTCTAATTTCAGCTGATATGAATGGATTATGCTCAAGGGGTCAGAACATTAGGGACGAAGGCTTTCTGGAACTCTGAAGCTCTGGCCCTGACATTGCCACTCACTGACTTTCCTCCACCTTCCTGCTGCCTGATCTAAGAAAGCAGCAGTCTTGGTGAAGGGAAAAGGTACATATGGGCACTGCAGCCATCATATGTTGCTCTGCCTTTACTATGATGGTAAGCTGAGGCAGGCAGATGAACACCTCTGAGCTTTAGTTCCTCATTTGTAAAATGGGTTCTTGCAGTCATTCAACAGATGATAATTGCATCTGCTAGGTACTGTTGAGACAACTACCACTAACTAGGCACTAGTTTTATGTACTTAAATAGAATTATTTATATTATCTCATTCAATCCTCAGGGCAATTCTGAAGGATAATAATAAAAATAATGATAAGTAATCACCGCAGTGGTTAACCCTTATTGAGCATGTCCTATTTGCTATCCGTTGTGCTTGGAACATCATGAAAATTAATTTAGTACTCATAATAATCCATTGAGGACATTGTTGTTTTACCCATTTTCGGACGGCAACTGAGTTTCAGAGAGATAAAGTTGGTGGTCTTTGATGAGTCACATAACTCCTAAAGGGCCGAGGAAGGATTCGTACACAGGCACTTTAACTCCAAATCCTGCGTTTTTAATCATCATGATATTCTATACCAATTTATTACAATAAATAATGTTATATTTCTAAGGATAAGAGTAGATTTTATGCTATGTGTGGTGGCTCATGCCTGTGATCCCAACACTTTGGGAGGCCAAGGTGGGAGAATCTCTTAAGCTCAGGAGTTTAAGACCAGCCTGGGCAACATAGTGAAATCTCGTCTCTACTAAAATTTTTTTAATTAGCAGGGCATGGTGCTGCACCCTTGTAGTCCTAGCTACTCAGGAGGCTGCAGTGAGAGGATTGATAGAGCCTAGGAAATTGAAGCTGCGGCGAGCTATGACCACACCAGTGCACTCCAGCCTGGGCAACTGAGTGAGACTCTCCAAAAAAAAAAAGGAAGAAATTTTAATAGGCCTTCTCTGACATATTGCAGCTTGTGGGACAAAGTAATGGTGAATATACAGATTCATATTATCTAATCACTATATGCAGTAGCTAGATAGTTTTTTTTAAAGCTGACATCATGTTTTATGTAGTGTTTCCCTGCAATAGAACTGAAACAGGCTACAGACAGCATCACTTTATGGGAGGCCCAGAATAGAAAGACCTCTAGGGTGTTGAGGAAGAGGTGTTTGCCTCATTCATCAATTACCTTGTATGGTTATAGTGATATCACGAAGATTACATAAAACCTTATACCAGGCAGGCAGAAGAAAGAAAGACAATCTGTTCTGATAGGGTTAGGGGAGACTCACAAAATGTGGAGTAGCAATATGTGCAAAAACGTTCATTAAAACTGGTTAAAACAGCAAAAAGCTGAAAGTAACTTAAATGTCTAGCTAATAAAAGGGAAATGATTAAATCAATTATGGGCCATTGACCTGATGGGTTATTATGCAGCTATGTATTTATATATTTTAAGGTTTTTCTTTTGCAAAAGTTTTATCTGCTGTACTTTGAAAAGAAGAAAATCATCTGTGGTTTGATTACCCTGAGATAATCACTATTAAATTTTGGTTTATTTTCTTTCAATTTATGTTTCTGTTTTCTTTATAATGCAGCAGCCATTATAAGGGATAATTATAAAGATGAGGTAGCAAAATTGTAAAATGCTATAACAAGTAAATGAGCAAGATAAAAAGTTTTTACAACTATGGGAATAAATAGTACATAGGAAAAAGGATGAAAAAGAACTACACTAACATTTTAATGGTGGCGACCTTAGGGTGCGATATTATGGGTGATTTTATTTTCTCTATTTTCTACATTGTGCTTATAGGTCACCAGTGAGACACTCTCAAGAAGCCTTGAGTGTTGAGCTAATAAAATCCATGCTTACTGAGTAGGATCAGACCTATGCAGATGACTCCTCCAAATCCTTGCTACTCGGTGTGATTCTTAAACTAGCAGCATCAGCATCATTGGGTAGTTTATTAGAAATACAGGCTCCAACCCAAACCAACTGAATCAGAACATGATTTTGACAAAATCCCCTGGTGATCCTTCTTCATGTTAAAATTTGAGATGTATTGCTCTAAATGATAGGCTTTCTCATTTCCGGAAAAGCAGAGTTTGATAATGGCCTAATCAATGGTATTACTAGCCTAAAAATAATGTGCTAATAGAAAGGGATTGATGAGAACATTGGCAAATGGAAGTGAAACAGATTTTGAAAATCTGACGCTGTCAAAGGGTGAGAGAGTCAACTTGCAGATCCCAAAGATAGTCAGTAGGGACTTGAGGGTTCCCGTGGATCATGAGGGGTTCACCTGGCTCTCCAGGCTGCGAACGTGTGCCGGTATAACTTCTCCACTGGTCTTTGCTCTAGCTCTTCATCACAAGACTCTCTGGCTATAAACTGATTTTTCTTCTAGCTTTACTTCAGGGAGAAATTGCCCTTATCATGTGTCTGAGAGAGAGCTAGTCTTTTAAAGAGTCCTATGGTTTTTATTAAAATATAATAAATTGCCTTATCTTAATGCATGAGCCATAAACTGTAATATCCATTTTATGGATTTATTTTCAATTTTAAATTATTACATCAGCATCTTTGTGAGTTTGTAGATCTGGCATGCTTTTGGTTTGTAAATATTCATGAAAGAGAGACTGATTAATTTTAAGGAGTTATTGATAAAATTACTGATGAAATTTTAGATAATTAAAACCACCTTAAGGAAGGCCCTCTCAGGATGGCCATGGACCTCCTTGTGGGAAATGTAGGTGGCTTTTGGAAACCACATTAACTTTGTAATTGACTTTTTAAAAACTGAAATGAAAAAGGATACAAATGGGAAGGAAACTATCTTATAGTTTTGTTATTCAAGGAATCCTGACTTTATTTGGCATATTTCAACTCAAAGACACTTCTCAATTACTGAATTTTCTCCCTCTTCAATATCAGTTTTTGAAAGTATTTTAGGGCCATAGAATTTTGGTCTTCTGTGACACCTCAGGAGTTAATGTGCCTCCATCTTTTCCTTTATAGAATGAGATCTTTTTTTCTAACATTTTACATAATATCCTCAGAGAAGATCACGCCCTGGTGACTAGAGCTGTGGCCATGAAGGTGGAAAATTTCAAAACAAGTGAAATACAGGAACTCTTTGACATATTTACTTACAGCAAGGTAAAAGCAGTTAGAAATTTCCTTTGGTTTTGTACTCTGGTAGAAAGTTGCATAAAATGGATTCTAAGGGTCCTATATCATCATACAACTTAAAACATTTTATGAAAATAACCTTATTTTAATTCAATACATAGGTATCAGAAAACATGATTAAATTAATTCTCACCTTGCAAATATCCATCAAGCCAATATTAATGCTTGGGTCCATCAACCATAGACTTTAACAACTTGCTACTTTTAAGGTGAACCCTTTTGCTTGGTGGAAATTTATTCTTGCTATGTAAAGATCTCAATTTTTAAAAATTTTATGTACTCTGTACTCTTTACATGTAGGACATCTGCTTACCTTTTACCTCTGAATTAGTGACAGCCTACTATTTTGTTAGCACATTCCAAAATAATTCAAACATTCAACTAAAATGCAAAATGCAATCAGGAGCACAGCTCAGAATATTGCTTATAAATATGGAATGTGTCAGTATGTGGATATTGAATTTTGTTCAAATAATGGACAGCTTCTTTTGTCCTAGGGAGCGTCTATGGCCCGGATGCTTTCTTGTTTCTTGAATGAGCATTTATTTGTCAGTGCACTCAAGGTGAGTTTGCAAAATAGTCGTTACCTGGATGGCAGTAAACATAAATTCCATTGGCATGCTATTTATTTTAACCTTAACTTTTCTATTTTTACAGTCATATTTGAAGACATTTTCCTACTCAAACGCTGAGCAAGATGATCTATGGAGGCATTTTCAAATGGTAATTGTCCTACTTTCTGACACATTCTTGCTGAGTTGTTTTGTATGATACAGGAAAAGACTGGGAGGCCATGGGTGAATGGCAGTTCCACAGGAAAACAGCTTTGTCTTGTTGTAGAACTCCCTTAGGTCATGGGTAGTGTCTTTAGTCTTCACTATATTCCCAGTGCCCAGAACAGAGCATGGAATATGTTAGATCAATAAATATGTGTTCATATTTATTGAATTAATGAATTAAAGAACCATTCATATATAAACAGAGTTCTAAATTTGCCCCAGAGGATCACCCACTGCAGGACTACTACATAAGTGAGGAAGAGAATAGCTACCGAGTTTCTTTTTGGAGATTGCTACTTCAAAATGTTTCACGGATAACCTTACCTGCCTTTGTGGTGATTTTTTAAAACAGGCCATAGATGACCAGAGTACAGTTATTTTGCCAGCAACAATAAAAAACATAATGGACAGTTGGACACACCAGAGTGGTTTTCCAGTGATCACTTTAAATGTGTCTACTGGCGTCATGAAACAGGAGCCATTTTATCTTGAAAACATTAAAAATCGGACTCTTCTAACCAGCAAGTAGGTAGCTTTGCTCCTCTTTGTCTTCACCTTCCTTGGGGTTGAGCTCTGACCCAATGGAATCCAGCCTGTGGGTGAAGAAGCGTTACCCCCGCTGGGCATACACACTTCTGCAATGTGACTGTGTACTAGGGTGAAGCAGAGCCCTTGTGTCCGGGCAACGCCAGAGACCCGCAGTTAGGGATTCAAGACACAGTGCCCCTACCCTGGGATTTAGGGTTACATCAGCGACCCAAGCTGTGGGCTATTGTGTGTTCCTCTTCATCCCTCAGACAGAGGTAATGAATTACTTGGGATTCTGAGTGAGGGGCAGTAAGACAGAGCCATAGATTGCCATATATTAGTAAAGAGGAAAGGAAGTCTTACTGCAGAGTGGTCTTCTCTTCCTTAGAAATGAAACTGAATGGTAACTATTTCCTTGAGGAATAGTTCTGTGCAGGGGTGTGCACGGATGTGTGTGGATGCGTGCGTTTGTGTATTTGTAGCCATACCCACAACATTAGAATTAAGGCCTTTAGATTCAGTTAGACCTGGGTTCAAATATTGACTTCTCAAAAATTCAAACCTTAGGTATTATTTAAGCTCTGTGAGTTTCAGTTGCCTTATCTATAAAATACATGCAATAGCATGTATCCCAATAGATTGTGTAAAAGTGAAATGAGTATAAAATAGCCTAGCCTTTATCCCTTTCTTCTTCTCTTCCCTTTCTTAATCTATTAGCTGATTTTCAACTGTTTTTGATAGTTTTAATCTTCACATTTCATTGCAGTATCAGCACAAATGAGTAATTAATTTTCAAATACAATCACCAAAATTTTCAGATAGTTCTACTCTTTCTTTAAAGCCTCAGGAAAGAGAAATGGGACGCTCAAAGTTTCCTTCTCCCTGTACTACTCTGTGGTTTTTGAGAAGACCTGTGTGTCTTAGCTATGCAGATAAACACAGACCCACAGTTGACAGTCTTCAAGACACCAGGCTTGTGGGAACTTAACAAGATTGGAAATATTGCCCAAACTCTGAGTAGTGTGTCTCTTGCGATGACGAATGTGCTTCCTGTGATCAGCTACTTCATCCAGGTAGCGTCCAGCAATGTGGGAAGAATGCAGACATTGAATAAATGAATGTCATGGCTGATTCCTGTTGAATAGTTTTCAGATGGGGAGAATGCTTGAGGCTGAAAGTATTTTGAAGTGATTGTCAAGCTTTTCCTTCTAAACTACTTTTCACCTCTCTGGGCATGGACGGATTTAGGTCTGTTTGCAGCATTTGAACTACCCTTGAGTGAAGCCAGGTGTCTATAATTTAACATACACACGCCTTGAAGATTTCAGACACAAGAGTTTAGTAGCTACCTAAGTTATAAAAGGAAGTAAATCCGTAAGACACAACAGGAGAGAGGAGTAAACAATAGCCAAAGTAAAACTGGCTTGTAAAAACAGTGGTGAGTAATCCTAAGAGCAAAGGCCTGCATATCTAGAGAGAATGACCAAAGAAACTGAGTTCTGTGTGCTATTTCATCATCTCTTTAATAGTGGCTCAGAGTGTATGTTTTTATGTGTGAAAAGTAACTAATTTTTTTATTTTCTTCCAATAAGTGACACATGGATTGTCCCTATTCTTTGGATAAAAAATGGAACTACACAACCTTTAGTCTGGCTAGATCAAAGCAGCAGTAAGTAACAAATTTTAAAAACATCTTTATATATATGCATATGTAAAGGCAGGGAATAAAATATTGAAAAGTCTAGCTTTTGAAAAGCCATTTCATTTCAAACTAAAATATCATTCTTGTAGAGCATAGAGTTTTAAAGAAAAGTGTCAAATCAAAAGCCATTATATGTGAAAAATATATAATTACCTGGTAAGAGCAATATATATTTTAGAATTCCTTTAATTTTTTGTTTTGTTGGTTTATTGTTTAGAATCGAGTGTGTAGTATTAATAGGTATTAAGATCTTTTTTAAATGTACCATTTCAAATTATTCCCATATTCCTTTATAGAAGTATTCCCAGAAATGCAAGTTTCAGATTCTGACCATGACTGGGTGATTTTGAATTTGAATATGACTGGATATTATAGAGTTAATTATGATAAATTAGGTTGGAAGAAACTAAATCAACAACTTGAAAAGGATCCTAAGGTAAGGTTACTTTTGATACTTTTAATTAAATATAATTTATAATGCCTTCTCTAGTGTTTTAGAAGTTGAACATTCTGGTGGGAAGAGATTCCACCTTCATTCCCGCCCCTCACCTCCAGGCATGCAAAAGATTTTTTTTTCTTATTCTTAACAAGTGGAGATTTTGATTAAATGTGTTGTCTGTGTGGTTTTTTTTTGTTTTTTTTGTTTTTTTTTTTTGAGACGGAGTCTTGCTCTGTCGCCCAGGCTGGAGTGCAGTGACGCGATCTCGGCTCACTGCAAGCTCCGCCTCCCGGGTTCACGCCATTCTCCTGCCTCAGCCTCCGGAGTAGCTGGGACTACAGGCGCCTGCCACCACGCCCGGCTAATTTTTTGTATTTTTAGTAGAGACGGGGTTTCACCGTGTTAGCCAGGATGATCTCAATCTCCTGACCTGGTGATCCACCTGCCTCGGCCTCTCAAAGTGCTGGGATTACAGGCGTGAGCCACCGCGCCGGCCAAATGTGTTGTGTTTTTGAACATTCATTTTGCTTTTCCAAAACAACCTTTCCAGGTAAGAATCAGGATGCATTTTCCTATTAACCATTAGTTTTGTGAGCTTTGGCAAGTTACTTAAATGTCCTGGTTCCATTTCTTCATTTTAAAACGAGAATATTATTATATTTTATTCATCATGAGGATTAGAGATCATGTAAGTGAAAGTATACTTAAAATTTCTAAACTCATAATAGGTAATCAGTAAATGCTAGAAAATACTAATTTTACTTCTAAAAACATATTTCCACTCTCCTTCAGAAGAGAGAAGTTAATTCACAAAACATCAATAGTCCAATATCACTTTATATTATAAAATAACTATAAGTAACTATGCAGTGTATAAACACTAAAATGTTGGCCAGCTCTAATCAATCAGATTTTAACTGGATTAAACTAAATTTCCATGAGTGGAGCTGGACGCCAGCTTAGGAGTCAGTACAGTTGGCTCTGCTGTGACTTGCTGTGAGCCCGTGGGTGGTTCATTTAGACTCCATTTACAAAACTGGAGTGCTGAACTAAAAGATGTCTCTCTGTTAAGTGTCTCTGTGTTTGAAAGTTCTCTGAGGCACACAGCAATCTCTCTAGCATATTGGTTTAGAGCTTAGGTTCTGGATCAGGAAGACTTGTGTTCCTGTTTTGTTCATTGTTTGCCAGATGTATGGCACATTCGAGCCAAATCTCCCCTTTCTAAGAATATGGGGAAAAAAAACCCCCAAAAAACTCCCTTCAGTATTCCTGGAGGTGAGTGGTGGGAATGGAGGTGGAGTCTCTTCCTAACAGAAAGATCAACCATTAAAAGTCTAGAGAAGGCATCCTGGTTGTACCTCAATTTCTTATTTGTGTAATAATGGGGGTAATATACCAAACTTAAAGGGTTATCGTGAAGATTAAATAAGTTGATATATGTATTATGTTTAACAGAGGCCTGACACAATTCAGGGATTCATAACATGTTCAGTAATTAAAACAAATTAATGGGATTTTGAATAAAACTACAAAGGCCACTTACAATAATATTTTCTTTTCAAATATTTTCAGAGTGTCTAAATTCTTATTACATTTCTAAGGGCATTCTAAGCCATGAAAGCACGAGGTTATGTCATTATAGTAATGATTTATTGAAACCATTGTAGATTTACTTATTGAAAAACAGAGGCAAATTATTTCTACGACATAATTGGTGAGCAAATAAAAGAGAATCTTTATGATTAATATTAATCTAGAAAATGTGTTAGTACTGCCAGAAAAGAAATTAAACTATACCAACTGAAGAATTAAACTTGACTTGCTCGGACCCTTAAAGAAATGCTGTGAAGATAAAGTTTTTGAACCAAACATATCACAGTGCTGAGAGGTGCTGAAGGTATGATGTAGGAGGCCTTGGGCCCCCTTAGGGACTGAGCTGACAGCAGAATCCTGTGGCCTGGCAATGCCAGGGAGTTCAAACAGAAGTCTAAAGAATCACACTGGCAATTGGCCCCTGCCATTCCATGGATGTAAAGGGATCTGTTGGTGGCATTCTGTCACGTTAGTAAAATCTTAAGATAAATACCGTGTGAAAAAATATGGTACCTCAATGTTACCAAAATAGCGCTAAATAATATTTATTTAAGGGCTTCTATGCCAAAAACATCCCTGAAAATAATTTGGATGTTGTAATACAACTTGATGTATACTTGTTTTGGGGAGGCCTTTTAAATTTGGTTGCCTGTTTTATTTTTTAACATGGTATGTTTCAGGAGTATTTTGGCAAAACTTTCTGCCATATTTAAACCTTATGATTGATGTCCAGAGGGTTCATTTATTTCAAAAACATATGTATGATAAATAAATTATGGGGACTGTCCTCAGTAATTGTTGTTTCTCTGCAGATGAGATAAGTCACGTGAAGGTGCTTTATAGGCAGCAGTAATCTTTAAATTGTTGTTATTTTGAAAACTTTGCGGAAAAATGTTCTCATCTTCTTCTGGGCATATTTGGGTCTAATTCTGCAGGCGATTCCTGTTATTCACAGACTGCAGTTGATTGATGATGCCTTTTCCTTGTCTAAGTGAGTATATTTTCTTCTCTCATGGTTTCAGAATATACCTTGAGACCTTTATAAAAATAATAGCTTCATCACTATGAATTTGATTATTTAGTCTATACAGGCCATAACTGATTAAGATTAGGATGAAATTCTGTAGCTGCAATGGAATTTTATAATATAATGAGTTGCTGGAAATAAAAAGACTACCAACTAAGATGTGGCAGTGATTTCTGTTTTCCAAGGGTGATGGCTATAATTTTAATGCAATCTTGCCTGTATTTTAATATATTGCAGAATTATTTATTTTATTTATATTAGATTTACTCAGTGTAAGATATGCTGCTAAGTGTTTAACCAGGTAAATTAATAAATGTTCAGAATTTAAATTTTCAGGCAATAAAATTAAGGAATATATGTAATACATTATCTAGTATTTTTTCTCTTTCTTTAGCCAGCCGTATTGTTTGAATAAATGTCTACTTATTTTATCCTTCTTTCCTCCTTTTTCCCTCTGTGACTTACAGTACATTTCCTTGTCTAATACTTGGCTGAAATTCCTCTCTCTGTCTCTAAGATCACCATGACTTTGCTATTATTGACTACATCCACCTGAAAATGTCATTTTGGCTTCCTGAGACTCTGATATGCAAACCTGGTTCTCCTCATGTATCTGACTCCTCTTCTACTGCTGTGAGCTTCTTAGGACCAATCATGGTTACATTACTTTCTTCTATCTTTTCTTTGATAACTCATTCACTCTAGGGTTTTGGTGACCATTTTATTACGTATCTGTAGAGTGCCAGCAGATGTAAGGTCCTCAGTAAATGTTTGCGGAAGGACATGTTGATGACTTCCAAATCTACATTGCTACTTATCTTTCCCCCTGTCTTAGGTTTATCCTGTGGTCATACAAATACAGTGCCTTAAACACTGAACTTCATTTTTGTCTCCACCTTGCTCTTGCTATCAATTTTTCCCTGCATGTCAAAGTTACTCTTCTTTTCATCACCCAAACTTGAAACCTCAGAGATATCCTTGATTCCTCTCTTTGCTTCATCTTACATGCACAGTCACCAAGTCCTATCTCTTCATTCTTAGAAATGTCTTTTGGAGGCTCACTTTACCACTTTCACTGCTCCCACACTAAGCCAAGCTTTCATCATCTCTTGCCTGGCCTATTAAATTAGCCTCCAGCCTTCGGTCCTTTTGAATTTCATTCTGTCTTCTTTAACACTATTGCAATAAAATTGTTAGACATCAATTTCATTATGCTATTCCAATTGTTTAAATACCCAGAGTACCTTTCCACCTAATCTAAACTCTTCATCCTGACATTCAAGGATCTTCACAGGTTTGAGCCAACTTACCTATTAGGCCCCATTTCTCACTATACAAAAAGGAAATCCCCTGCCTCAGTTAGCTTCATCGGCCCATCACACTAATTCCCACCTTATCTTATTTGTCCTGGACTGCCTTCCTCTTTTTCTACCTATTTTAATCCTATGCATCCTTCACTGCTCTTCTCAAGTTTCTCCTCCATGAAGCCTTCCTTGACTTTTCTATCTTATCCCTGACTTTTATATGTGCATATTTTCCTTCTTTGCTACTTTGTAGTATTCACTGCCTTTGGGACCTTTCATTACTGGTTTCTTATGCATAAGTCTCATCTCTTCATTGAAGCTCCTCAATGGTAGGCAAGTGCAGTGTCATATGTACTACAGGCATACCTCGTTTTATTGTACTTTGCTTTAAGACTTCACAGATATTGCATTTGTTACAAATTGAAGATTTGTGATAACTCTGAGTCAAGCAAGTCTATCAGCATCATTTTCCAGCAGCATGTGCTCATGTTATGTCTCTGGGTCACATTTTGGTAATTCTTACAAAATTTCAAACTTTTTCATGATTGTTATATCTGTTACAGTAATCTGTGAACAGGAATTGATGATGTTATGACTGTAATTGTTTTGGGGTGCAATGAATCATGCCTGTATAAGGCAGCAAACTTAATAATTGTGTGTGTTCTGACTGCTGCACTGGCCAGCCATTCCTCCATCTCTCTCCCTCTTCTTTGGCGTTTCCATTCCCTGAGAATCAGTACTATTGAAATTAGGGCCGGGTGTGGTGGCTCATGCCTGTAATCCCAGCACTTTGGGAGGCCGAGGCGGGTGGATCACGAGATCAGGAGATCAAGACCATCCTGGCTAACACAGTGCAAACCCCATCTCTACTAAAAATACAAAAAAAATCAGCCAGGTGTGGTGGTGGGCACCTGTAATCCCAGCTACTCGGGAGGCTGAGGCAGGAGAATGGCATGAACCCAGGAAGCAGAGCTTGCAGTGAGCAGAGATCATGCCGCTGCACTCCAGCCTGGGTGACAGAGCGAGACTCCGTCTAAAAAAATAATAATAATAAATAAATAAAATTAGGCCAATTAATAACCCTACAATGGCCTTTAGGGGTTCAAGTGAAAGGGGGAGTCCTGAATCTTTCACTTTAAATCAAAAGCTAGAAATGATTAAGTTTAGTGAGGAAGGCATGTTGAAATTGAGATAGGCCGAAACTAGGACTCTTGCTCCACATGGCCAAATTGTAGATGCAAAGGATAAGTTCTTGAAGGAAATTAAAAAGTACTGCTCCAGTGAATACATGAATGATTAAAAAAAAAAAAGTGAAACAGCCTTATTGCTGATATGGAGAAAGTTTCATTGATTAGGATAAAAGATCAAACCAGCCACAATATTCCCTTAAACCAAAGCCTAATCCAGAGCAAGGTCCTAACTCTCTTCAATTCTATTCAGGCTAAGAGAGGTGAGGAAGGTGCAGGAAAAGGTGCTAGTTTAAAGCTAGCAGAGGTTAGTTCATGCAGATTAAGGAAAGAAGCCATCTCCATAACAAAGTACAAGGTGAAACAGCAAATGTTGATGTAGAAGTTATAGTAAGTTATCCAGAAGATCTAGCTAAGATAATTGTTAAAATGGCTGCACCAAACAACAGGTTTTTCCATATGAAACAGTCTTATATTGGAAGAAGATGCCCTCTAGGCCTTTTATAGCTAGAGAGGACAAGTCAATGCCTGGCTTCAAAGTTTCAAAGGACAGGCTGACTCTCTTGTTAGGGGCTAATGCAGCTGGTAGCTTTAAGTTGAAGCCAATGCTCATTTACCATTCTGTAAATCCTAGGGTCCTTAAACATTATGCTAAATCAACTCTGCTTGTGCTCTGTAAGTGGAAAAACAAAGCCTGGATGACAGCACATCTGTTTACAGTATGGTTTGCTGAATATTTTAAGCCCATTGCTTAGATCTACTGCTCAGGAAAAAAAAAGATTCCTTCCAAAATATTACTGCTCATTGATGATGCACTTGGTTACACAAGCACTATGATGGAGATGTACAAGGAGATTAATGTTGTTTTCATGCCCACTAACACAATATCAATTCTTCAGCCCAGGGATCAAGGAGTAATTTCTGCTTTTAACTCTTATTATTTAAGAAATACATTTTGTAAGGCTATAGCTTCCATAGATAATGATCCTTCTGATGAATCTGGCCAAAGTAAATTGAAAATCTTCTGGTAGGGATTCATCATTCCAAATGCCATTACGAACATTTGCAATGCATGAAAGGAGGTAAAAAAAATCAATATAAACAGGAGTTTTGAAGAAGTTTTCAATCCTCATTGGTGACTTTAAGGGGTTAAGATTTCAGTAGAGGAAGTCACTTCAGATACAGTGGAAATAGTGATAGAACTAGAATTAGAAGTGAAGCCTGAAGATGCGACTGAATTGCTGCAATCTCATGATCAAACTAGAATGGATGAGAAGTTGCTTCTTATGGATGAGCAAGGAAAGTGGATTCTTGAGAAAGAATCTAATCCTGGTGAAGAAGCTATGACCATTGCTGAAATGACAACAAAGGATTGAGAATATTACGTATACTTAGTTGTCAAAACAGCAAGCAGGATGTGTGAGGGGATTGACTCCAATTTTGAAAGAAGTTTTGCTGTGGGTAAAATGCTATTAAACAGCATCGCATACTACAGAAAAATCTTTTGTGAAAGGAAATTGAGCAATTTGGCAAACTTTATTGTTGCTTATTTTAAGCAATTGCCATAGCCACCTCAGCTTCAGCAACCACCACCCTGATCAGTTAGCAGCCAAGGTTATGACTTGCTGAAGGCTCAGATTGTTGTTAGCATTCGTTGACAATAAGCTACTTTTAAATTAAGGTGTGCATACTGTTTTTCTTAGACATAATGCCATTGCTACTTAATAGGCTACAGTATAGTGTAAACATAACTTTTATATGCACTGGAAAATCAAAAAAATTGTATGACTTGCTTTATTATGATATTAGCTTTATTGTGGTCTGGAACAGAATCCACAATATCTCTGAGGTATGCCTGTAGTTGGTGTGCACATCAGTAGCTGTCAGAGCATTAGATAGAGAATGACTTCTAATTAATATTTGTTGAATGCAAATTATGCTGTCATAAGAATGCATACAGAATGCATAACTCTTCTATTTCCTAATAATCAGTCCAACATTTGGCCTGAATTTTCTCTAGCCTTCAAGACTTTGGACACTTGAAAGTACCAAATTGAAATGGAAGGACTGTCAACTTTGCTTGGGTTTCATCCTTTCTATAAGATGGGACATTTACCTTCTCGTTTCTTGACTTATTCACATGCCTTATTGAAGTCATGCATTGAAACATGGAACAAATATCGAACGTATGCAAATTACTTAGCAAGTGAAGGTTTTTTGAGTGTGTGTGTTTTTAAATCAAACAGAAACAATTATATTGAGATTGAAACAGCACTTGAGTTAACCAAGTACCTTGCTGAAGAAGATGAAATTATAGTATGGCATACAGTCTTGGTAAACTTGGTAACCAGGGATCTTGTTTCTGAGGTGAACATCTATGATATATACTCATTATTAAAGGTAATTTCATTCTTTCTTATGTAGTTTTTAAATAAATCCTCTCTTCTTCTTTTCATATTTTAGCCAGCATCTGTGAGACAGGTCTTTTCCAAAGTAATAGTCTTAGTTCCATATATATATATATATATATATGGAAGTATATACATTTCCTTAACAAGGGCTGATTGATCTTAGAAGAAAATACCTTAGTCATAGACCTGGTCTAGGAGATGAGTGAGGTTTGGAAGGGTACTTCATTCTTGGTGAAGTGACAGTATGTCCTAAGAAACCAGAAGTGGATGGAAATGGTATGCCTGTTTTTTTTTTTTTAGGGAAAAGGATAGTATTTATTAGCAACTATTTTCCTAAGAGATTGTTAGGCAGCCAGAATGAAATGTAACAACTCTGTGTTTATAATTTCAATATTCTGACTCATAGGAACAGCACTTAAATCCAGAGAGATATATTCCAGAAAATGTAAAAATTTGAAGATGCTTTTGATATTAGGAAAAGAAAGAGAGAAATTAGAATTACTGAACAGAGAAATGACATGCCATAATAAATGAAAAAAAAATTTCCATTTTTAGATCTTAAACAGTAATTATAGGAAAAAATAGCAAAGGTAAAATCAAAGCGAAAGTTAGGTAGCCCTCTTTGGGGAGTTAGGGGTCACACAAACCAAAAAGTATGTTAGGTAATGATTTCAAGTGAATTTCTGGACCATTCAGAGGGTGAGATCACAAATACGTCTAACGGCCCCAGACTTTCTTTTTCCTAGTGGCCGAAGTACCAATGGGAATTAAGCTGAGCTTGGGATGGTGATTAATAAAAGAAGGCACTAAAATTTTGGTGGGATTGAGGAGGCTCGTTGATAACATCTGATGACTTGTTCTGGGTAAAGAAGTAAAACTAATATTTGTTTTCAAAGAATTTCAATGAACAGCAGCTAGTTAATTCTTAGGGATGTATTAGTAAATGTCTAACTTTTATAATTTTATATTTACCAGCTAATAGCTTATATTTATTTCAAAATTAGGGCTTCAGTGTGTCCAGGACATAAACCAGTTCTTTTTTTTTGAGGAATGTATACTTAGCATGGATGTTTTATGGTAGAAAGGCTATTTTATATTTTTACATTTCTTCTCTATTTTGAACATAACTGGAAATGTATGGGATGATGTTAAATGATCATTATAGCCAATATTTTTTGAGTTCTTGCTTTGTGCCAGGCAATGTGCTTGCAATATATTATATTATTTAATCCTCATAATACACTGTAACATTGGTATTATGGTAAACCACATTTTATGAAAAATGGAACTAAACCGAAAGAGGTTAAAAAATAAACCAGTTATATATTTAGTAACAGATAAAGGTAATTTCTGAAGAAATATCTGCCACTTGTCTATCAATGTCTTTTCAGATAAATAAATAGAAACACAGTGAAAATTCAGTGTTTGCAAGCCAGAACTAACAGTGTATTTTCTTTATTGTTTATAGAGGTACCTATTAAAGAGACTTAATTTAATATGGAATATTTATTCAACTATAATTCGTGAAAATGTGTTGGCATTACAAGATGACTACTTAGCTCTGTAAGTATGTTTTCAGAAGTGATAATTGAATAAAATGCATTCATATTAATAGGCTTCCAGAAGTAATAAAATAAAATCTTCATATCTGTTATTCATTGAGAGATTTTATATGCTATTATTATTTGAGAACAATAGCTCAGAGGTTGGTGGGCTACATGTATTCTAACAGAAGTTAATCGTTTGAGATCTTAATTTACCTGCAAAGCACGTGCATGTACACATAGGAGCTTATAGCTCTATATTCTCAAAGCCTAGACTACTGGTTGAAATTATAAATGTGTCCTACTATTGGTGAAGATGTACTAAGCAAAGCTAGCCTATACCAGTGAGTTGAAGGGCGTGGGAAAGCCACAGGGGAAAAGGTCCCATCTGTATTTTATTATTAACAGAAATTCAGTCATTATGCAGGTAAGATGAAGTAGGTTGACAGTGATATAGATCAGTCACTGCTATAGGTCTGTGAGCACAAGTTAGTTTCACAAATGACTTTCATATTACTGGTTTGGTGAGGAGAGTAAGCATATTGTCATGGTGGTCTAGGAAGGAGGCAAGAGGCAAAATGGGGTGGTAGTATTTCTGTCTTCCCTGTGCCCTAAGTTTTGTGTGTAGGATGGTCTCTAGATATAGGGAGGGACTCTGTAGCCAATAACGGTATAGGGATTATACCTACAACTTCTGGTAAACATCAGGTTCAAATCAATTAGACCAAGCAAGAAATACAAAATATACAAAGTATGATTATTCTGTCTCAATAGTACTCTTCTGGGAGGGCAGAAATTTTAGTGCTAAGGGATGTGATTAGAAGGACATAAAATGTAATGCATGAGTAGGTGGACAATGGTAAGGACTAGCTGGGATCAAGAATGGTTAGGCAATCTGTATGAATGAGTGGGAAGGCAAAAGTGTGCTCAATCAGGCAGCACATTTGTTAACCAGACATTTCCTTGGCTCTCCTAAATTGGACTGAAGTAGCCTACTTTTTATAGCATCCCAGGGACAGTTCTCTTCAGAGAAGCTCTAGGGAGTTAGACTGCACTTCCACAGAACTCCAGCTTGTTGCTACCGGCTTGAGATTGGGATGGGTGAGGAGAGGGGGTGAGTAGAGTATGTAAATGAATGCCTAGAACTGTCTCTCAGCGGACCTCCACCCTTGCACATTCCTCTTCAGCTTATCAGAAGGTCAGGCCAGGCTGGGTTGAAACTGGAGGACGGAGTAACAGAGATTTGGCGCTTGCGTTTTCTGGAAACTTATGACCAATTTGGGTTTCTTTACCCTGACCGCAAATCTGGAGTAGGGACCACAAGGCATCACTTACCTGGATTTATTATTGGTCTTCACTGTATTCTTTTGAACTTATTTTGTTTTGAAGTACAGTGTACACCCCTGCTCAGCTGTGAAAACAAATCAAACCAACCAAACACCTTTATTCTTTTCCTGAACATGTATGTAACAGCCAGGAGGAGTAGAAGAAACACACTAAAGCAAAAGAAAACAAATTGTAGAAGGAGAGAAATGAACTATTCCCTTTCCCTTTCTTTTATAGAGAAAGAACTTTATTTTAAAGTCTATTAGATTAGATACTCTGAAATCATTTTTTATCCATAAGGCAATTGCAGTAAAAGACAGGAAAAATAAATTGACAACAGCTGTGGAGAGTGTGTACACCCATGTGTGTTTAAGGGAGATGAAGGATGGCAGTAATTTGTTTCTAACTTTCAAAAAATACTGGCTTTAGGAGCTCTTTTTGGTGCCTAAGAGCCTCTCAGTAAATATTTCTCTGAATCTTAAATACATCTGTCATCCACAAAAACAATTTTTTAAAACAAACCTGATGTCATTGAAAGGATATTTAAAAATACCCATCTTTTTATGAAACACATATTCTTGGAGGCAGAGAAAATGAAGGTGGTAATGCAAAATAAACTGTTTTTCTTTGACTTTTTCTTCAAGAATATCACTGGAAAAACTTTTTGTAACTGCGTGTTGGTTGGGCCTTGAAGACTGCCTTCAGCTGTCAAAAGAACTTTTCGCAAAATGGGTGGATCATCCAGAAAATGAGTAAGAGTAATATCATAATTCCTCTTGTTTTTGTCCTATTTTAGCACCAGCAATTTCCCTTTTTGATGTACTCACTGTGGGAATGAGTGTTTTGCTTTCACTTGGTTAGGCGCTCTCTCCTACTATTCTTTTCAAATACCTTTTTTAAAAAACCAGTGTTTAATGTGGGTCTGTGTATAACGATAGACTAGAATTTATACAATGAATTGTCACCTAGGACCTCTCATTGCCAAAGCACTCTTCCAATAAGCACTTACTTTGAGCTGTCTATGCTTGTTTTGAGTCTTAATAGGTTGTTCTTTATGATTGTTTATGATTGTTATATCTATGAGTGCAGCAGAGCACCTCTCTCTCCATCTCTCTCTTAGTTTGTTGCCTCACTGAGCTCTGAAACTCTCATTTTGGTTTTATTACCTTTGATATAGCACCTCGGATGGACTCTTAGGAAACATGATAATCAGATACAAGACCAACTTGTATTATCAATATACTCTATACTATTCTAATTTACTTCTTTCTTAAAGCCCCTTAGTTTGGAATTTGATGATCTCTTCTCATGGAACTAATGCTAATGACAGTTCTGATAATTGCCTCTCTAGATTCCTACTTTTGACCTTTATATCTGTGACTATAAATATTTTTTCTAGATTCATACTTCTAAAATATGATAACCTGGGTAAACATAACTACTATGAAAAATATCATTTTATGTTATATTTTACAGAATACCTTATCCAATTAAAGATGTGGTTTTATGTTATGGCATTGCCTTGGGAAGTGATAAAGAGTGGGACATCTTGTTAAATACTTACACTAATACAACAAACAAAGAAGAAAAGATTCAACTTGCTTATGCAATGAGCTGCAGCAAAGACCCATGGATACTTAACAGGTGATTATGGTCAACTTACCTTGAAAGTTTCTGTTATAGGAATTAAATTAATAAAGGAAAAAAAATAGAAATGTGCTAATGTAAGTATTAAAACGTTGCGTATTTGTGCTTCACTACCTTAGAACCATGGGATTTTGATTTTGTTTATTTAAATTAACTCTTTATGTTGGATGTTTAAAATGTATTTTTTGAAAATGCACTTTTGCAGATATATGGAGTATGCCATCAGCACATCTCCATTCACTTCTAATGAAACAAATATAATTGAGGTTGTGGCTTCATCTGAAGTTGGCCGGTATGTCGCAAAAGACTTCTTAGTCAACAACTGGCAAGCTGTGAGTAAAAGGTAAGAAGGAAAGTGAGACCTTTCTTTCATTTAGGCCACTGGTTTGGCACTGGAAGCTCAGCTTTAGTCTAGCTTGGAAGCTCAGCTTTAGTCTAGCTAGGCCACAAACGTCCTTTGCATTGACTAGAAAAGTTATCATTTTTCCTTTGTTTAGTCTCACTACAAACTGCCTGTGTTATGGAAGAGCAATACATGAACTTTTAACTATGGCTTGAATATTTTTATCTTTTAGTTGACAACATGCCATACTCATAAAACAGTTGCCTATTCTACTTCTGGTGAATTTGCCTTAGTTCACTTTTCTTGCAATTCTGCTACAAAATGTTTCAGACTCAAATTAATTTGCTTTCTACATCTTATGCATTTATTTTTAGGGCTTAGTTTATATTCAGCAGTTTTGTTCAATTTTGCTAATAGTTTTGTTTGAATAGACTGTTACATTATTTATGGATTGTAAGAAGGAAATAAAAGTTCAACTTAATAACTAAAATTTTATTTATAGTCAAAATGACACAGGAATATTTACTTAGTTCTTTATACATCTGAATATTTAATTATCACTAATTAAACAGACATATTTGACATGATAATATGTATGTCACTAGTCCTCATGTAATGATGAAGGTAGTATAAAATTATAAGTAAAAAATCCTTATGCCAAATTAAATTTTATATTAATGGTGTGGAAAGTATTTATACTGAATTTGCTAAAATGTGACTGATCACTAACAAGTTAGCACTTAGTTTTTCTGACGCACATTCCACTGCATGCTACTTACGAAGATGGGGATGATAAGCCTTCTGGGACAGATGGAGACAATAGCTCAGTCAGTTCTGAAATTGTTTTAACCCTCACTTTTGCAGACTCACAGTGCATTTTAGCCTTATAAAGTCTACAAGAAGCCCTGCAGAAGGAAACCTAGAGTTTTCCATACAGTTTGACTACATAGCGTCTTCTAGGTATAGTTCTTCCAAACTCCAGCTTGGGATATGCTGATGTAAACAAAACGTCATTTTGCCAGTAGACCAGTTGTTCCAGAAGAAAGACTGATGGGAGAAACAAAATTTTCCAACCCTCTCATTTGGTTCTGGAACTGTAAAAAAAAACCCATTAGTTAACATTTAGGCCTTGTTTTCTTCTCTATAGAGTAATAGATGTATTTGATAAATTCTAAGATTCTTTCTAGTAATAAAAAGTTTTAGTCCTTCTACATCAAGGTGCAGTTCAAATTGTTATTGGAGATGTAAAAGGATTAGGACTTGGTATCTGATAAATGCTGTAGAGGAGAGATGGCAAGGGCTTTTGGGGATTTAAGGGGAAGAAAGGGATGTGCATGTGATTTGAACAAGCACAGTTGCAAATCTCCTCCTTCTACCTGGAGGACAGAACACCAGGAAATGCCTGGAGGCAGAGTTGGGAGGCCAACTTGGGACTAGTCACAGTAACTGGCAAGAGCTTAGAGCACTGGAGAGGAGTTAGGAGTGGGAAGGTAAGTTGAGGCTCAGAGAGAAGGACAGGGGTTAACAGGCCTTGAATATCATGTGAAGCAGTTTTATTTTGTGTGCTCTTCATTGGTGATGTCTTGTTTCTAACTGGTGTCGTATGTGAAGCACACACAGGCTGTCCTGATTATGACAATGTGTTAACACTATTGGAGGTCAATTCTAGAATCGGGGCATGGGGATAGACTTAACTAGAGCAGTGTAGCAAAGTGGAGGTTTCTTCCTCTAAGAACTATGGAAAGTGTCTCTTCATTACTGTCCTTTGTCCTTTTATTTATTGTGTTTAGTTTTTCATGTATCCACTAGATATATGGTATGTCAAAGAGTTAAGGCAATAGAATCTAGAATCAGATCAATCTTAGGATGAGGAGAGTGCTAAATATGTAACCTTAAACAAGATTTTTAACCTAAGCTTCAGCTTTCTCATTCATAAAGTGAGGATAATAATGAATAGGCTTTAAGATAATTTAATAATGTGCTATTTAAAGTGATTGGTACATAATAAATGTTTAATGTTCATTATTATTATCTTACTGAGATAATATGATGTATCTGCTTTATTACAAGTCCCTATATCATTCACTTTATTTCTTTTTCTCAATATTGTCAGTTTCTATTTTTATGAAATTTATAACATCCCTCAGCAGTATTAGAGTCTCATGTTTAGAATGAAACACACATTAATGTTGTTCTTTAAAATAACATGTTTAGTCTAGGCATGGTGGCTCGTGCCTGTAATCCCAGCACTTTGGGAGGCCAAGGCAGGACGATCACTTTAGCCCAGGAGTTTGAGACCAGCCTGGGCAATATAGAAAGACTCTATTTCTACCAAAAATTTAAAAATTAAAATAACGTGTTTATATATGCAATAATTACAGTTTTCACAGCCACCCATAAAATAATTGCCAATTAATAACCAAGACTCAGAAGTTAAATTACTTAAAGTCAATACCTAGTAAACAAAAGAACTTGAATTAAACCCGTATCCCCTGGCTCTGATTCCCGGTTCTCTATTTACTTTCTCCTAAGTAAGAAAATGCATACTTCTTAATTATTTATTTTATGAGAGTACTACTGAAAATATTTAATCTTTTAATGTGTTCTTAACTAATGCCTCATCTACATTTCCGGTGGCTCACGCCTGTAATAATCCCAGCACTTTGGGAGGCTGAGGCAGGCAGATCACCTGAGGTCGGGAGTTCGTGACCAGCCTGACCAACGTGGAGAAACCCCGTCACTACTAAAAATACAAAAGTAGCCAGGCATGGTGGCACATGCCTGTAATCCCAGCTACTCAGGAAGCTGAGGCAGGAGAATCGCTTGAACCCGGGAGGTGCAGGTTGCAGTGAGCCGAGATCACACCATTGCCCTCCAGCCTGGGTAGGCAACAAGAACAAAACTCCATCTCCAAAAAAGAAAGATATGCTATATCTTTTAAACATTTTGAGATGCCAAGATTTGTTCAAATATTTTAAATTTGTTTTACTTAGAAAGCTCATCTTATGACGTGATTTATTTATCTCAATTCCAGAAAATGTTTAAATAAATGAAGTGACTTTTCAGTTGATTTTTAAGAAATTAATAAACTTAATTTTTTAGGGTAGTTTTAAGTTCACAGCAAAATTAAGCAGACAGAGTTCCCATATATCCCTCTCCCCACAGAGACACAACCTCCCCCTCTATCAACATCCTGCATCAGAGCCACACATTTACAGTCACGAGTTGATTAACAACAGGAATACATTCTGAGAAATGCATCCTTTGGTGATTTAGTCATTGTGTGAACAGCATAGACTGTACTTACACAAACCTAGATGGTAGAGCCTACTACACACCTGGGCTCTATGGTATAGTCTATTGCTCCTAGGTTACAAACCTGTACAGCATGCTACTGAATACTGGAAGCAGTAGTAACACAGCGACAAGTATTTGTGTATTTAAACATATCTAAACATAGAAAAGATAATGTGCTAAAAGGCATTGTGCTACAATGTTACAATGACTATGACATTGCTAGGGGATAGGAATTTTGTAGCTCCTTTTTAATCTTGTAGGACCTCCCTCATACATATTGTCCATTGTTGACTGAAACATTGTTATGTGGCTCATAGCTGTACTATAATTGATGAATATAAACAGGCACATCATTATCACCCAAAGTCCCCAGTTTACAACAGGGTTCACTCTTGGTGTTGCACATTCTACGGGTGTTGATGTATTAATGTATAATGATGCATATTCACCATTGTAGCATCATACAGAATACTTTCATCCTTCCCTCTGCCCATAGTCAGTTGCTTTTTTATGAAAATGTTTGAATAATCTACTTCTTATTCCAGAAGATTTCATTTTATTTTTGTTTTTGCTTTTTAATGTGTAGAGTTTTTGGTTGCTAGTTTGGTCTTGGCTGTGGGAGCCAGAATCATCATCATGAGTACGAGCAGAGGGGCTTTGCGCCCCTCCCATAAGGTGGTATCTTGCTGGGATCTTGTGCTCCATTTCTACAGGGTGAGAGACAGACTGGCAGAGGCAGCTTGCCTAAATGCAAAAACAAACAAATACCATCTCAGGTCCAGCTTGGCCCTGGGCATGAAGTGACCAGTGCTGTGGTTTTGAGTACATCTCTCCCTTGTCTCAGAGCATTCATGGGCATATGTCTCACAGTGACATGCAGGCAAGCTCACAGACATCGTCTCCACACCAAGGCACATGTTGGAGTTGAGTACATCGCCAATAGCAGTGCAGGAACCGCTGCTCCTTTCAGCCAGGCCCAGAATTCTTCCTAGAAAGCCTAATCTGGAAATACATTTTGGAATATTTGATTAAATAAAACAACTTTTGGCTTGGTCTTGGTCTTGCCCCTCACTCTCATGTACAGGGCATTATACTGGTTGGTGTGGGAAAATTTAGTTAATTATTGGGCCAAAGATGATCTCTTGAATACTCATTCCAATGAGAAAGACTCCATTGGTCATAAAGCTACTTTCAAGTTACAGAAAAGTCAGTAGGTACACATAGCTATGAATAGGTCCTATGAAAGCATGTGAATAGTGATGAAGCAATAGTATTTTTGTGACTTTCCACTGGATGTGGTAGAAGCATTATTTGTTCCGTTATCATCTCTGTTAAATGGGCTTCACAGCATACAGAAAAACCACTTTTATTTGAATATAGAATACAGAGCATGATCAGTTTTAAACTCAACCTGTCCAAAATGAATCTTACCCTCTTCACTAAGCACTTGATTTTTTTTCTCCACATGTTATTATATAGCCTAAAGTCTTAAGCTTAAAAACTTGGAATTGTTTTCACTTCTACTTGGTTGTATTTCATGATGGGGAACACAGCCAAAAAGGCTAAACAGGAGCACAAGCAAAGTGAGAAGTTATCAGAGTGGAGGGTCCAAGCACTGGGGGGCCTGTTCCCATGGCATGGATCAGGCTGGATGCCTTGGTGTTCCCATGCTGGCCTCGTGGGCATCCTTGCCAGAAGGAATCTGACATGGCAGAGGACATGAAGGGAGGGGTAATGTGAGAAGAAGGAGAGGCAGAAAGGTGAGCCAGACTGGAGTACCCAAATCACTGTTCCCACACTAACGTTAGATGTTATCAACTTTTTAGAAAGGATTACTATATTGAGTCGTATTGGCTTTTGACTTCATATTAATTAGAATGTATTTGAACACCGGTGGGGGTAAACTATTCGTAATGCAATTTTGTTGAGTAATATTTGAAAGAGATTGCTCTCTCAACAAGAATGATAAATCATCTCTGTTTCAAAAATAACCCCTGTTGAAGTTGACAAGAGCAGGAAGGGATGAAGTTTGCCAGGTAATCTAATAGGTGCTTCCATATACATTTTCTCATTTATGCACCAGAACAATGCTTCTAAGTATCTGTTATTCTCCATTTTTACAATTTATAAATTGCCCAAGGTAATGTCAAATCCAGCCCTGCCTCCTCGGGTAAACTTTCTCCTGTGTCTGGCAGAAATTCACACATTTAGCACCATAGGTAGGTTTCCTCTGTTTTCCATTTTTATTTTTAAGGTTGGAATTTGGGTTCTTTGGAACTCAAATTTCTTGAGTCATTTTATAGATTTTTGCTGCCTAGCTGGCCAGTTAAAATAGAGAACTAAGAAATGTTTCTTCTTTCTTCATAGAAACAGTTTCGCTTGCCTCAATTATATGCAGAGTTATATTGTCCTTCACGTTGCTCAGGTAGACCCAGTGTAAGTTACAGCTAGAAAGTTAGAAAAACAGCAGCACTATTTTCCCTCACCTTTATTAGTATATTATGCCAGAGTTAACTCTTATCATTTTTAATTTCAAGTACATATTTTTGAAGTAAATCAATTGTATATATTAACTATTCAACTGTCTCTTGGTCAGTCCATTATAATAACCCTATTTTAATTTTTCTTTCCTTTTTAATGCACCCAAAGTCTTTTATTTACTTTTTTAACTACAGCCACACTTTGAGCAGGTAAGTGTCTGCTGTTTTTTCATAGCAATACTTCACAGCTATTTTAAGATTTTTTTTTTTCTAGATATTCAGGGACACTAAACTAGAGGGGAAGTTTCCATGACCACGCCTATTGAAACAAGCACAGGGAGAGCCATGGTGCTCAGCCTTCAGGGTCACCAACATTTAGAGAACATCAGAAGATATTAATCTTCTCTCCAAAAAGCACGCATAAATACAACATTTTTAAATACACGTTCAGGGGGCTTTAGTCAGCAGTTCTGAAATGGATCCTCTATGAACTACTGTTTTTTAAGGGGCATAATTTATATATTTATTTATTCCCTTAGAAATTGTATTGATTTGAGACTTGTGACATGTATTCCAACTACCTCATTTTAAAAGACAATTGTTTTTAAGAAGAGCTTTTTAGATTTAGATAATAGATTTGTGTAACACATATAAGTATTTAACTTCCTTAGTGTTAATAGGATTCTCTATTAAAAGATGAAGCTAAACTAGTTCATACATGTTTTTACTTAGATTTGTGACATAGGAATTAATAGGGGCCATACACTTGACCTTCATCTGCTATATAAAATATAGCTTTATTTTGCAAAATGCTTTCCACCCTTGATTAACATCTTATTGCCTTGTAGGTATGGAACACAATCATTGATTAATCTAATATATACAATAGGGAGAACCGTAACTACAGATTTACAGATTGTGGAGGTAAGTACTTTAAATATTATGAAATACAATGATAATTTGGAAACCACTTTTTATGCAATTTGGACTTGCTAAAATTAAAAATAATATGCTTATCTGAATTATTACATTCTATGCTTCTATTGGTGCTGTATCACTGTGAAAGAAGTGTTTTTAATTGTATCCTCCTCTGAAATAGAGATCACCTGTTCATGGAGGGTGGCACTTCATCCTCTCTCACCTGAATGCAGGGGACTCTGGCCCAGGGTTCCCGTCCCAGACCGGGCTTCCCTCCATCCCACCTTTGCCATCACTGCCAGTCATTGCCCTGTTCCAGAGCTTCAGTAGCTTTTCATAGCTTTTCAAAGCAATTTTGAAATATTGTGATTAGCACATGAGGCCCTTAATGATCTGGCCCCTGCCTTAGTTTGGCTTCATTTTTGCTCACCTCACCACTAAGTGTCAGAGAGCAAGAGAGACGGACAGACACCCCTAAACACATTTCCTCTAGTTATACTGTACCACTTACAAATTTTCTTGAATTATTGCATTGCTTCACATTTTCTGGATTTCAGAAACACTCTACCTTCTGTCTGGAGAACACTCCTCATTCCTGTTCCTGGCTGGATAATTCCTAATCATCCTTTAAGATCCTGCTCCTATTACCTATTCTAGGAACTTTTTAATGAACTGATTTATACCCCCTCCTCGCCTATGCTTTCAGGTCATCCTGTGAATATATTTTTACCACAGTGCTTCCTACATTATAGTGTAATCACTGGTAAATATGTCTACCCCATGAGGCTATAATGAGCTCCCTGAGGACTGAGATAATATCTTAGTTTTGTCTATTCTAGGTTCCTACCATTTCCTGGCTTTTCTTTCCTCTAGGCTGAATTTTTATTAGGCAGTCTTTTTCCTTGTGGAGAGAAGCATAGCTCCCCACTTATATAATCCTCAGCACTCTCAGTTGCAGAAGGAAGGATACTTTCTCACAGCTTCAAGAGTTCCTGCCCCGAAAAAAAGCACTTTGATTGGTCCTACTTGGGTCAGATGTACCAATCACTGTGTCCAGGGAAGATGGAATACTCTAATTGGTCTAACCAGGGTCCTGTGGCCACACTAGGAGACAGCCCCACCCAAGTCACTGGCACTGGGAAGGGGAAGGGGTAGTTCTGGAAGGAAAAAGGGCTGTAACCAGAAAGTAAACAAAGCAGGCAAAAGCAAATGTCTACAAAAAGATACATTCACACAAAGTAAAACAAGAATACAATATAAATACAACCTCTACACACCCAGTAGCATAGGTAAAATTAGAAAGATTTATGGTACCAAATGGTGGCAAAGATAGGGAGCAACTGGAACTCTTTTATCCTACTGGGAGGAATGTAACATGGCACAAGCACATCAGAAAACAGGCAGTTTTTTGAAATGTTAACTGGAAACCATCTAAATGCCCACCCATAGGTAAAAGAATAAGGAAAAGTAATATATCCACATAATGGAATACTATACTGAAATTTTTAAAATTTGTGTAGCAACATGGATGAATATCAAGGTGATTATGTTTAGTAAAAGAAAGCAGTCACATTCTGGGTAATGCAAATGGATCTATAGTGACAAAGGGCAGATCAGTGGTTTCCTGGGACAGAGAGAGATGGACTGCAAGGACCCTTTTTTGGGTAGAAGAAATGTACTTGATCGTGTATATGGTTTCAAAGGGGTACACAGTGGTCAAAATTCATTGACTTTTACAGTTTAAGTAGATCTAGTTTATTGTACATAAATTAAATCCCGATAAAATTGATTAAAATTAAACACCAGGGCCTGAAACTATGTTAATAAGAACAAGAAGAGCCTTTGTAAATAAAGGTAAATCAACTCTCCCTAGGCAAATAAACAAATACATATGTGGGTCATAAAGGCCTGAAATATGATCCTAAGCAAAAAAAAAGGACAAGTAGACAGTGATATCATTGTTATCATGAGAGAAGGAGAACTGCTAATTCCCGAAGAAATTCTCTTTTTTTGAGTTTTGGCCTGCCTAAGGCTGAGCTGTCAGGATCTGATTTATCAGGTATTCCCTGGACAAGGGAAAGAAAAGCACATTACACCCAGAACATGCTGGTACAAAAGCTCCGCGAATCAAGACTCAGTGTGTGTTTCTGTCTTCTAAAATTCGTTAGTTCAATCTTTGCCTCTACTGAATCCAGTGAAGTTTTGTTGTTAATGAATGAATAAATGAGGTTCGTATAAATTTAGCAATCTTTGAAGTTTCAAAACTCTAGTCACTCACAGCTTTTCGAAATTGTAAAAATGGATTTAGCAGTAAATTATTGCAATTTAAAAAAATATATGAATTAGCTAAGATGACTATCCTTGTCAACAACATCTTAAGGTCCAGCGGTCCTGCTATGCTGCATCAGTTCACAGGATAGTATCTAAAATAAATAATAAAAAAGAAAGTGAAAATGAAGTCATTTGTCTCCCTCGTCCCTCTCCAAAGGCACAATTTTCAAACACCTTCTGCATCTCTGGCTCTGGTTTTTATATTCCCCCTCCTAGACATACTCTCAAGCACACGTGAAGCCCACCTACAATCCCAAACACCACCACCACTCCCCTCCCACCACTACAGGAGCCCAATCCTGGGCACACTATCCGTGATGTGGAGTTGTGGGCTGTTGGTTACCACCTCCCGGCAGGTGTGAGAAGGGAAGGAAAGAGTGGGGGAGGATTGTTCCTGGCTCTTTAACTTACTTGTCCCTAAAACATTTCTTTTACATTGTAATTAGGCTTGATAGCACTATTACTGTGCAATTTCGAGTATATTAGGGTTGAAGTGAGCTGTTGTGAGCTGGAATGGGCATTTTCATCTTATGGCTATAAGCGTTCGGAGTTCTAATCCACTGATACAAAAAGAGACTCGGTAAAATGAAAATTGAAAAAACTTATAACTTATTTATATTTTGGAATATAACTTATTATTCACTTGGAGTCTGACTTATACATAATATTGCAACAAATGTTCTGATAACTGAATGCTTGGCCTGACCCAATGAGGTAATTCAGCCAATGTACAAATTCATTATCTAAGTATTCTAAAATAAAGAATGACATTTGTAAAACTGCAAATATTATGTACCAATTTTGAGCTTCGGAAGTTGCAGTTTCTTTTGAGATTTTTAAAAAATTGGGGGGGTTCACTGTATCTCTGTCTGCAAATCTTAGAGAACACTCTATATGCGTTCAGTAAATATTCATTGAGACTCAATATGTGCTTTGGGAATAAGGCATAGTTTCTGCTTCATGCACCTTCCTGTCTACATCTGCTTCTTTGGGGTAGGTGTGGTGTTCATCACATTGTCTCAGTCACAGTCTCCCCAGGGACACACAACCTAGGAGTATACATTTCTACTCATTCCAACCATCATCACCAATTTACAAACTCATGTTGCTACTTAGCATTTAGACATTTACTTTGTCCAAATGGGAAGTTGGATTGCACTGATCATCTGTCTCTCTGTCCTTCCAGCTGCAGCAGTTTTTCAGTAACATGTTGGAGGAACACCAGAGGATCAGAGTTCATGCCAACTTACAGACAATAAAGAATGAAAATCTGAAAAACAAGAAGCTAAGTGCCAGGATAGCTGCGTGGCTAAGGAGAAACACATAGCTTGTGGCTATCTTTCAGCACTCCTCTTGCATATTATAATGTAGTTTGTTCACAGTTTTGTCTTCCAATACTTTGTGAGTCTGGAAAACCACACATTTTATTTGTATTTCAGTCACATTTATTACTCAGAGTGCCATTCTTCTCATATTGTCATGTTTGGCCCTGAGGGTGGGTGATTGCTGACAATTTTGCCAATGCTGCTGTATTTCTGGGAAAGATGTCACTTCATGTTGGGTTATAATCCCACAGAATTTACTTTAAATGTCACGTAAAAACAAATTCACCTAAGATAGTCTTGCTTATTTTGTTGCGAAGGCCAGTGGAATATAAAAATCAATGGCATTAATGAGGAGCACATTCTTTGCTGAGGGAAATAACAGTTTTTCCAGGCCCTAGGGTTTATTTAGTTCAACATTGAAGATTGAAAAGACTAATGAGAAGATAACATGACAATATAAAAAGACAGAAACTCAAAAAGTATATTCACTAGAAGACAGTGGAGCCAAAGAAAAGCAAGTTGAAAAAGAAAGAGGAGACAATTTAACGAGCCCTAAAGGCAAGAAGTGTGTCTTCTCCTGCCCATTTCTCTCTCCCACAGTACATCCTGCATTGAACCACGTGTTGCTGGTTACTAAACTTTATGGTGTCACAAAAAGACAAATGATTGTAGGATCCATGGAAGTGCACTTAGGCTTGCTGTGGTGGAGGCCATAGTGGAGATGAAGGCTCTGCTCTGAAGCTCTTAATTGTGTATTCACCAGTGGGATGGACACCCTTTCAGCCTAAGCGTACGAGTGAAAACAATGATGTCAAAAGACAATAGCAAGTATAGGCTACTATTTAGGGCAAAAGGAATCTTGAAATGAAAGAAACAGAACTAAAAGGCTAACTGGAGCATAATCCTTACAGTTTTGCACTCAGGGGATTAAGTTTGAAACATAGTGTCTTTTGGCCAAATTGAACCTACTTGTAATGTGGACCAACTTACTTTACACATTTTCATCAGTCCCAATGTATGGAATTAGCTTAGTTTTCTCATGCTTGATTAAAACAAGACAACTAAAGCTAATCATTCCTCTTCTAGACTTTGTGTATATGATTTAATCTTTTATTTTTATTTTTGTAGAATGGGGGTAAAACTACAAATCTCCTCCTCAGGGTGATATTTTTAAAGATTAAGGAGTATGACATCAATTAACAGTCTTTAAAGATGTTACATACGCTCAAAGCAATGTGATTAAGACTTTTTGCCTATTTCTTGTATAAGTTAAGGCAGCCATAAATGAAAATACAAAACAAACGTTTGCTTTTGTATTTGATTCACAAGAGGATTCTCCCTGAGTGTCAGGGGAGGCTGTGGGACTTCACCACGTGGACAAACGAAAGCACAGGCTACTCAGACTTGGCCACAGGTCATAGGTCAGAGAATTTTTTCTTCAAATGTAGAAATGTAAATTTTCAGCAATAAAATATCTGCATGCCTACAAAGTGTTGTAGCTGAGATACCTTCCTGTTTTTTTTCTTAAACACTCATTCTATATTTCCCATATTTCCTCTGATAATGAATCTCATCTTTCAATAACTTTGTCTTCACTTGTCCTCTCAACTGCTTTTCTCTTCCTCTTCTTCTTCTGTGTCTTAGTCCATTTTGTGCTGCTGTCATAGAATACCTTAGACTGGGTAATTTATGAAGAACAGAGATGAGTTTCTTACCATTCTGAAGGCTGGAGATTCCAAGGTCGAGGGGCCTGCATCTCACTAGGGCCTTCCTGCTGTATCATCCCATGGTACAAGGCAAGAGGGCAAGAGAAAGAAGAGGGAAGAGGACTGAACTCATCTTTTTTATCAGGAACCCTCTCCCAAGACAACTAGCCAACTCCCATGATAACAGCACTAATCTATTCATGAAGGCAGAACCTTCATGACCTAATCACCTCTTAAAAGTCCCACCTCTCAACATTGCATTGAGGATTAAGTTTCCAACACATGACCTTGGAGGGACACATTCAAGCCATACATAGCTCTCTCCTCTGTTTCCACTCCCGTTCTTTCTCTATCAAGCTGCCTCTTCCCTTCTCCCCTTTTCTCCTTTCTCCTCTTTCCAGTAATCTCTGCCTTACTTCTGCCTGGTTGTTCTTATCCTTGCTCCTTGATCTTCCTACCCAACCATGCTCTCAGTCCACCAAGCGTGCTTTGAGGCTGACACTCAGTGTCAAGAAGGCTCTGATGCCTGGTATTGGGTGATGCCAAGAACTACTGATCTTGCCAAAAGAGCATGTAGGCTGGTCTCTCCAGACTGTTAAAAGTTAAACTGAATCCTATTACATCTTAGCTTCTGTAGTAATTAAATAGTGCTGAAGGCGTTTCTCCAAAATCAAATTCCCAAATATTTAATTAATAGTCTTTCCTCTAAATATGGGGAAAAAATGGATGATATACCATTTTTACTTACTTGGATGAAGCTGGCTACTTAAGCACTGCATTTTATTATGCTTTACCTTATACAAACTATAAAAACAAGTAATTGTTGATTGGTTTCTGTGATAGCAATAATGCAGTAACAAGTCAGGGAGTGGTACCGAGGCTGATTTTCTGTGTGGCATAAATACTTTATTAACCAATAAAAACAGCTTATCTGTTAGCACCCCAACTATAAAATGATTTCCCTGACCCAGTCCATTTATTGTATACCTTTCATCTTGAAAATAATTAACAAAATATACAATATAGTCATGATTTTTTCCAATTTCATAATTCGAAATTAAATTTTTTCTCACAATCTTATGCTTTTTTTTTTTGCCCAACCCCATTCAGTGACTTGCCATTGTTGATTTTAAATGGAAGAACAGATGTCTTAGTGTGATGTTCAGCATTTTTTGTAATTTAGATCCCTGGGACCAATCTGTATAGCAATTTATTCTGGGGAAGGCATGAAGAAGCAAAGTGAGATGAGATTTAAAAGGTAGCTCGTCTTAGTTACTTTTCCTGTTTAATCCATTCTTTGCTCCAATAAAAGCTGTCTTTTTCTCATCCAAACTCTAGCAGGATTACCATGTTCAAAGCAAAGCCTTAGGGGATGCTTACAAGTAAATATAACTGCCTCCCCCACACAAAGAATGATTTAGCACAGTTAGCAGCATTTGAAACCATACATATGTTGCCTTTGGCTCATTCTTCTAATTCAACAAGATTTAGCAAAGGTAATCTGTACAACACATATATTTAGGAGTTATTTGGACTCTTCCTCTTCCCTTCCCTTCATAAATAAGTCAGTCCTAGAGGTGAAATAGAGCAAGGTGGCATCTGAACCAGTGGGAATTGAGGGGGAGCCATGGTGGCCCATGACCTGAAGTGGGCTTAAGAGTTTGAATGGGGTGAAGAAAGAATCCACACAGAGGAGGGGAGATCACAGTGGGATATCAGAACCCAGACAGGGTGAATAAGGTTACCACACGGTGGCGAAGGGAGTTATGACACGGTGACTTAGAGCCCAGATAGGGTGAGAAGAGTATCTAATGGGGGTTGTGTAACCCAGAATGGGTAGTTGAAGTCTTTGTGGGGTAAAGAGGATGCCCATATGTTGGAAGGTGGCCTAGTATGAGGTATCAGAGCCTGGGGAGGGTAAGAAGGGAATCCATATGGGGAAGGACAGAGGCAGATATAGGAGGTGGGTTACCACAGGGTTATGGGTCAAACAAGAAAATATATCCATAATAGGATCCAGGCTTCTCACTGTTGGAGAAGGGAGTTACAGATACTCGAAGGGAACAAGAATGAACTGTTCTGGTATGGAATTGGAAGTATTTGTATGGACTCATGGTTTTCAATATATAGATAGATTTATAAGTATCTGTAAAGTATGTAATAAATAGCTGTAATATGTGTAGATATATTTTGCTCTTTATCTGTATATACATAGATACAGATATATTTTTTTGCCATTACTTTTAGTGGCAAAAACCAGAATTACTTTTGCACCAACCTAATATAGCTATATCTACATCATCTCTATCTCTATTTATATAGAGATAGAGAAAGAGTAAAAGTAATGGCAAAACCTGCAATTACTTTTGCACCAACCTAATGGATTTAGACTCTAGCTTCCCTCCTGAGAGACAGTAGCAGCAGTAACACCTAGTTATGGACTGAATGTATCCCCCAACAATTCATATGTTGAAGCTCTAACCCCCAAGGTAATAGTATTTGGAGGTGAGGACTTTGGGAGGTATTTAGGTTTAGATGAGGTCTTAAGGTTGGAGCCCACATGATGTGATAAGTGCCCTTACAAGAAGAGGAAGAGACACCAGAGCATTCTCTCACCCTCCGTGTGCATGCACCAAAAATGGCATGTGAACACAGAGAGAGGAGGCGGCTGCCTACAAGCCAGGAGGAGTGCTCTCACCAGGAACCGAAGCTGTCGGCACCTTGATACTGGACCTTCCAGCCTCCAGAACTGTGAGAAATAAATGTCTACTGCTTAAACCACCCAGTCTATGGTATATTGTTATGGCAGCTCAAACTAAGACAACCCTAATAATGAGCACAGCTATTGCCCATATCTTGGCTTCTAGATGCCATTCTCCACTAAAGAACCCAAAGTTCCTTGAAGAAATGGCTGATTTCAGGGCCAGGACAGGAAGGGAAAGGGGCAATTAAAAGTGGAACATCTTTTGAAGCAAAAAGCAAGGAAGTACTAAAAAAATAATTGGGACATACCAAATGGGCACAAAAGCCAGCTTGAAGAGAACCCCACTGGCCAAATGTGGGAAAATTTGAGAATCATAATAATAAAGGCAATAAGGGAATAAAATAAGAAATCATGAGCTAAATAACAATTAAAATTTTGATGAGGAAGGGTATTTACATAATTTCAAAGTACTTTCCCACAAAGTACAGTTGAATAATGAAGGCAAAATGAGTAATTTACAGTGGAAAAGCCTGGCAGATGTCACCTTCATCAAGTGATGAATTCCAATGATATTCCATTGCAGTGGAATAAATAGAAATTTTATTCCATTTAATAAGATGAAATGACAAACTACATTGTTACTCTTGTTATACTTCTAACAAAACTGCATAACATGAATCTAATAATGAAGAAAAAACAAACTGAGGGACATGTCACAAAAATAATATCCAAGTCTCAAGGTCATGAAAGTCAAGGAAAGACAGAGGATCTGTTCTAGACTGAAGGAGCTTAGAGACATGACAACTGAATGTAGTGTGTGGTCCTGAACTGGTTCCTTTCGCCATAAAAGACTAACATTACTGGGACAATTGGCAAAACTTGGGTGGAGTCTGAAGATTAGATGCTATCATTGTTAATTTCTCAACTTTGATGGCTTGTTGTATTTATGTAGAAAATATTTTGGTTGTAAGAAATATACATGAAGGAGTGAAGCAGTAACCTATTGATTCAGGAAAAAAAATATTTTTATAGTAACTCCAGCTTTTCTGTAAGTTTCTGAATAAATTAAACTTAAGATAAATAAAGTTTATCATCTATTTGTTACTGGAACTGCAATGCACTTTCATTTCAAGTCACTTTTTTCTTTCAAATTTGGTAATGGCCACAGCCACAATCCTGAAGTTATCTACTAAGCATTTTAATAATTATGCCCAAGTTGGAAATTCAAGTTGTCCGAAAAGACTTAATTTCTTGTTTCAGTCAACGCTTCCCATCTTCAACCAGAGGAACTAAAAACTAAAAATTTTAAAATGTGTTACTCTAAATTAACAAAGCTATATAAATGAAAAATAAATGTAAGTCATTACACTTTTAAATAAAACTTGTTTGAAACTTTTATATAAAAGTCTGTAGTGTTTATACTTCTAAAAATATTAAATCTTACAATTTCACTAAGCCTTTTGGGAAGACTTTTACATATACATGGGTGAATCATGTAACTTGAAATTATTATGCTAACAACTTGACTTAGTCCATGTTACAGTTATAGCTAATAATATTTTACCATTTTGTATAATCAGTACACGTCTAGATGTATAGTAAAGTAGTCTTCCCTTAGCTGCAGTTTCATTTTCCACAGTTTCAGTTACTCGGGGTCAACTATAGTTCAAAAATATTACATCACTACCCTGTGTTTTGGGGCCACTATTAAGTACAATAAGGGTCACTTGAACACAAGCACTGCAATACTGCAACAGTTGCTCTAATCGCCAAGGTGACTACGTGGTGACTCATTGCCATCCAGTGGGCCGAAGCAGGAGGGCAAGAGATTTCATCGCACCACTCAGAACAGTGCACAGTTTGAAACTTAAGAGTTGTTTATTTCTGGAATTTTCCATCTACGTCACAATACCTGTGTTATTGCCCTCACTTCATCCCATCACGTAGCCATTTGACCATTTTACATCATCATAAGAAGCGTGAGTACAGTACAATAAGATATTTTGAAAGAGAAAGATACCATATTTGCATATTTTTAATTACAATGTATTGTTATAATTGTTCTATTTTATTGTTAGTTACTGTTGTTAATTTCTTACTGTGCCTAATTTATAAATTAACTTTATCTTAAGTACATATGTACAGGAAAAACCGTAGTGTATATAGAGTAGGATACTATCCATGGTTTCAGGCATCCACTGGGGACCTTGGAAGGTAGCATATAATTCCTGATACATAGCTGTGTATTCTGAGTTTTTTGTTGTGGTGGTTTTTGTTTTTGTTTTTTTGAAACAGGGTGTCAGTCTGTCAATGCAGGCTGGAGTGCAGTGCTGCCATCTCCGCTCGCCGCAGCCTCGACTTCCTGGGCTCAGGTGATTCTCCCACCTCAGCCTCCTGAGTAGCTGGGACTACAGGTGTGCACCACCATGCCTGGACAATTTTTTGTATTTTTAGTTGAGATGGGGTTTCACCATGTTGCCTGGGCTGGTCTTGAGCTCCTGGGCTCAAGTGATCCACCTGCCTCAGCCTGCCAAAGTGCTGGGATTCCAGGTGTGAGCCCCCACACCCGGCCTATAGCTATGTATTCTTAATTGTTACACTCTAGTAGAAGTGAAATAACAACTCTCTGCTAGGTACATATTACCACCTCCTTTTACTACAGGAAATCCCCGACTTACCGTGGTTTGAGTTACTATTTTCATACTTTCCAGTGGTGCAAAAGTGATACAAATTCAATAGTAACCATACTTTGAGTACCTACAGAGCTATTCTATTTTTTTCACTTTTAGTGTAGTATTCCATTAATTACATGAGATTTTCAACATTTTATTATAAAATAGGCTTTGTGTTAGATGATGTTGCCCAACTGGAGGCTAATGTAAGTGTTCTCAGAACATTTGAGGTAGACTATGCTAAGCTATGATGTTTGGTGCATTAAATGCATTTTCAACTTACTATAGGCTTATGGGGACATAACTTCATCATAAATTAAGATCACCTGTAATTTTTTCACTGAAGAAAATCTAACTAGATGAATAAAATTATCTTGATTTGGGTGGTACAACATGACTTCAAAATTCTAAATGGAATTTAGAGGCACAGAATGAAAAAATGAAAAATACAGGTAGATATTATCTACTCTATTTTAAAAATGTAGATCCTTGGATCAAGATTTTCAAAATAATAAGTTGCAGGCTTTTTAGTACAAACTCTTTCTACCCAAGCTATATTCTTAAAAGTATATTATAACTTATTTTGTTTGCTAAAAAGTTTGTTTCGTGAAAAAAAGGCTGTGTGTGTATTTAAAATAGAGTATATGTTTGTGGGAATAGTGTGTATGTGAACACTTGCCTGTCCTCAGCTGAACTGCGCTTTAATTATTTTGATTGCCATGGAAAAGAAATAGCACGATATAAAGGCTTCCTCACTTTCTTTGCTTTCTCTCACAAACAATGCCAAGCAATGAGATGAGGCTGTCACCTTCTCTGCTCTCAGGTTTCTACTGAAAGTGGACTATTTTGATGACGTGATGAGTCCTAGACTCTCAGGATTCACAGATACACATCAGAGGATTAAAGGGGCTCTAAGCATGGGGTTTGTGAGAGTTTTGGGTTTTCTATCCTCTGTGAAATGATCACCTTGTCTTTGAAAATAGTTCTTTAGTGTTAGCATGTCTTACTTGAGATCAACAAAGGCGGTTAGTCCCATCATTTCCTTTGGGTAGGGACAATCCTTAGTGATGCCAGGGCTCTCAGGGTTCATTTAGGAGATTGTCCTGAGAATGCCCCGTAACAGAGAATACCTATGGTTTCTTCCAGAAAGTGTTCCTTTGACTTGTCAATAGTGAGCAGGAGGCCTTTCTGATCACTTAGCACTAGAGGGTGGCCTCAGTATTTATGAACTCCTGTGAGAGGGCGGCAGGATGAAAGTACTAGTAGTAGCACTAGAAATGAAGTATTATTTATTTCTTCACAAGGTTGATGTTTTCCTTCACTTCCCCCAACACATACCCCCATTTTTAGAGAAATGTTACCTCCTTTTATAAATAAGTTCAGAGAGAAGTTTTGACCTGCTCAACTAGAAGTAGTACAACGAAGTAGGGAAGAGATGTGATCAGCAGGAAAATTCTTCTACCTGCTGAGTGTCTTCTGTGGGTGATATACCATTTGAGCTATGTGCTATATATGCCTTGTCTCAGCCTCAAAATACCCCTATGAGGCAGTGTGTCCAGTAGGCTTCAGTTAGAAAAACAGAAACCAGACTAATTTTGTTTGTTTGTTTTAGCAAAGAGATTTCAATGTTAAGGATTTGTTAAACAAGTATTAGAGAAGTGAAAAAACAAAAGAAGAACCCCAAGTTATAGCTCAGGAACTAGTTCTCAGTCTCAAAACGGGGGAATAATGGGCAAAGGTTAAAGTTACTAGAATGTAGAAGTTTGGATGAAGGAGTATAAGATTTTCATTTTGTTTGATTTCACCCAGATGTCCTTATTCCAAATCTCAGGATCTCTCTCCTTCCCAATCAATGTTCTAATGCTTGCACTTGAGCCTTGGCAAGGCTCTGAATTCAACTTGCATTGTAATGATATATCCCGCAGAGCAGCTAGAAAACTTAAGAGACTCTTTTACAGCTGCCTTAGAAGTTTTCTGGTTCTCTGACCATGTCTCAAGCTGGTCATTTTCATCTCCTAAGCACTCCAGTGCACACAAAATAGCTATCTCACCATATTATCCTCACAATGGTTAAACAAAGCAGCCACTTGGTCCGCGAGGACACTTGCTTCAGTAGGTACTTCATTTGTCATCAACCACAGTGATTGCTCATTAATCGTGGGGGTACTGGGAGTCAGCACTGTATTCAAGGCCAAAGCCATGATCAAGCCTAAGCTCAGAATCTTATCTTGAGAATCTATTTCCTAGAATTCTCTATAGTTGGTCAGGAAATCAGAAACCAAATCGGCTTTTTTGACTGCGAACTGATTACAAGGAATGGGTATTGGAGAACCAAAATGACAAAAGAGTAAGGCTGAGAAAACATCGAGGCAGGAACTACAAGAAACAGCTAGCACTTCTAGGGTAGGGGTAACAAGGGAGGAGGTGGATTTATTAGAACCTAGAAGCTGGTGTGGCTGCTTCAGAATCTCAGAGATAGGGCTCAGCCCAGCCAGGATCCAGACCTCAAGGAGAGGGTCAACTTGACTGGGGCTGCTGCCTCAAAAACTCAGAGGAAAGCCCCTTGGAGCTGGACTCAGACCTCTGAGGAGGAGGCTCTGGCCAGCTGCCGCTGGTATCTCTGTGGGGAACATACTAAGCTGGTCTGGGAGACTGAGGGAAGAATCCTGAGAACTGGAATTCAACAGCCACTGCCGGAAGGAAAAACCATTGCTGGGGTGATACCGACGGAAACTGGAAGCAAACAGGAAGGAGCAAGCAAGCACCTTCTTTCTCTTCCAACCTTCCACGTCCCTCAACACCCCTGTTGGCAGAGCTGGCAAAGCCAAAATGTGGTTTACATAGTCCGAGTCCTAACATCACAAAGCAGAGCATTAAAAGGTGGTTTTGGAATTGAGAGACAATGGCTTACTCACCAACTCAGGTCAGTATAATTGTTCTAACCTCAACACGTGGGGAAATAGGGGCTTAAGGTGCTAGCAGAAGCAGAAGCTAGAATTTGAGACCCATGCTCTCTACTGCTAAACCCCATTCACCTTTGGGTTTTCCTTTTATTTATTAATTTAGGACATGGTTAAGATACCATTACACTCTGAGAAGCCTCTCTGAAAGCTTCTAAAACACATACATCTTCCGTAGACCAGAAATAATACAGTGTCAAGTGGGAAGCTCCTGGAAATAACAGGCAGTGCTTCGTATAGAAATGGATGTCCAAACAAGGAAAATTTCCAAGATAATTATAAGAATAGTTAAATTTGGACTCGTTCTGACAAGAAACTTTAGGTAAATGCATTTAAATAGATTGTTGCATCTACTTTGCAAACATTATTTAGACATGTTTTTAGGGGCTTATAGAAGCTCTAAAATGACTAGCTTCATGCGGTCAAGTCACTGTTTGGGTTTCTACTTGCATTGAAAAATTATAGAATGTGCAGGAATTACAACCTAAGGATATTTTATTGATATAAATAAACTTCATTTGCAAAAATATAACCTAGAAATATGCTTACATGTCTCCTGAAACCTCACATTAGCTGAAATGCTGTTTCCTGTAGTTTCCATAAACCATTGTAACTATAAAACAGATTTAAGTGAATCCAATGTTTAAAATACCAGAAATTTAATATATCATAAATTCCAGTTTCAGATGTCAAATTTGTGAAAACATCAGTACTAAATTTATTGATGCATTTTGAATATTCTTTTTGATGTTTTCCTTTAAAGGCAATTAAAGATTTTTTTTTTTGCTTTTTATATGTTTTTCCATTTTTAATTTGCAACTCTCCTCCTCTGAGCAGCCCTTTTCTCAGCAGTAAAATGAAACCACTGCATTAGGGGTTTTCTCTAGGGACCTCTTGGAAGTATTTTATGGTTTCCATAATTGTTGATTAAGTATAGCCAGTTCTTGACTATGTCAGGTACAAGGGGTGGAGCTACTCTGGGACAAAGAGAAGGCCCAGCATGGCTCTTGCCTCCCATCCCATCCCCTGCTTTAAATAGGAGAGATTCACTTTTTTGGTTTCATACATTGAAGTTTATTTAGAAAAAAATGGTAATAACAATGTTTGAAACACATGGACTATATGGTCTCCAAAGCCCTCTCCAGATGTGACACCGCATTGACACACAGCTTGTCCACTTTTCGAGAATGTTCTGCATAGTCCATCTTGCCCTGAAGCCTCTGCAGGTCCCACACATCCTGCATATCACAGAGGCCCCTTCCTTACCTCTGAAATGACTCACCTTTGACTATAACAGAGATAAACAAATCATACCTAGTGGAGACGAAGATTCTGGAAGCAGTGTCCATTTTGGCTCATTCCTGGTCACTAAGATACATGCCCTTCACATGGCATTCTTCAAGTAACAAGAGTTTTTTTGTTTGTTTGTTTGTTTTTAACTGTTTTAATTCTGGATTAGGGGTTTTGTGCCATCTGCTGGACATAGTTATTTCACACATACAAGAGAGTTCTACATTATTCTTAGAAGTATTTTTAAAATATTAATAACTTTAAAAATTGTGAAATACATGCTTATTACAGGAAATGGGTAAATATAGGAAATGATAAAGTATAAAAAATCCAGAGATACCTATGATTACTATCTAACTGTTTTCTTACCTGCACACAAGAATGTACTTTGTTTGGTTTTAGTTGGTGGTTTTTATTTTAACACCAATTTGAGATAAACACTGCATTGATGTAGGTTATACAATAGCAGGAAGAGGGGATGCATTGCAAATGTAAGGTTCATGGAGAGAAAATGCTCTCAGTCACTGCTGTGTTTGTGAACCTTAAGGTTTGCATTGCCTATCATGCACAGCAGGAATATTATGCTCCAATTTAACAGGGCAAGGTAGGAGGAGAGGTAGGGATGGCGGAGTGGGTTAGAACCTGAAAAAAAAAGTGCCTTATATTGCTCAGACTCCTGGGAAACAGATCACTAAGTTACTATTCACAGTGAAAAATGTGCCATTGATCCTTTCTATTAGTGGGTATGCATGAGTACCAATGTCCTAGTTGCTGTGGCAGATGATGCCATAGAAATGAAGAGTCATATAGATCCTGCCTTGAAGTGGGAGAGGGCTGATACGGGAGACAAGTGTGTAAATAACTATGAACAAGCTTGCAAACATAGAAACAGAGGTGCTTATTCTAACTGGGCAATGGGGATGATTACACAATGGTGATTTTAGACATACACTGGGGAAAGCGTAAGTGGGTCCTGGAAGTGGGAACATTCTTGCACTCTAGCTAGAATTTAGTGTCAGGCTAATGGAAGGATGCGGTGACAACGAGGCTGGGAAGGTAGAATTAGGTCATGTCATGCAAGGCCTAAAATATCATGCTGAGGACCACAAAGGACCACAAAGGTTTTGGAGGAGGAAAGTGACACAATGCAGACAAGAATTTTAAGGAGAATAACTTCAGTAGCGAAGTGTGGAGATTAAAAAGACTCAAGGCAGGGAAACCAGGTTAGGTTAGAAGTTGGCCTGGGAAACATGGGGTGGGGAGGGCGGGTGTGAAAAAGATGAAAATTCAATGCACTGAGGAAATAGAGCACATTCTGAAAAGCACGTTCTATGACTAACTACTTCTAAAAAACAAAATTTGGACCCAGTTGTAAAAGAAATCTGAGAGCAAATACATGTTTCTGTGGATCTTTAATGGGAGGCAGAACCTTCCAAAATTAAGTGGCTCACCATGAGAGGCCAAACCTGTAACACTTTGTAATTACAAGCCCCAGACAGCCTTTCAGGGAGTCCCTGGGGCCCAGGGGTGGCGGAGGAAATGAAGCAGAATGAGGAAATGCACAGACAAACCGCCCTTGCTGTCTGGTAGCAGGGTGGGGGAAGAAGGTGGGTGGCAGTCAGCTCTGCAGTTACTGGTCTTGATCCACAAGAGGACAGGAAACATTTTAGACTCAGTTGTACCCCAGGAGGGAGTGTAAGCCTGGGGCAGAAGGTCAGGTCCCGAACAGGGTTTGGTGGGAAGGCTCCCAAGTCAACACACCTAACCACTTGCTCTCTTAAATTCATCCACTCCTGACCCCAGGCCCTCCTCCTATCATCCTTCAACAAATAGGTGCTTGGAAAGGATGGCCTTCAAGCAAAGATCACAGATTAAACAGAAAGAACCAGAATGGGATCTCTACAAAGGTATCAGGAAAATCAAATAGCTGGTAAGGGACACATAGAAGAACAAATATACTACAAAGCAGAATAAAAGACCAAAAAAACTTCTCCATGAAACAAAAACATTAAGAAAACACTTCTTCTTTGAAACAAGTGATCAAATCAAAGATAGAGATATGATAAAAGGAGAGATGATACAAAGCTGGGCAGGCAGGGAAGAACCTAATGAGATTTATATCCCGAAATGCTCACATTAAGGGGAAAAAAAGAATGAAAACTAATGAGCTAAACATACCTCTTAGAACAACAGAACATGAAAATATACCCAAAGTTCTTAGAAGAATATGACATAGAAAAAAAAACAAGAAAGCTAAAACTTAGTTCTTTGAGAAGATGAGAAATCTCTGAGAGAAAAGGTACAAATAAACAGTATTATGAATACATTAGATAATTACAGATGCTGCAGACATCAATGATAACATGATGATATAATGAACAAATTTATGCCAATAAGGTTGAAAACTTAGAAGAAATGATTACATTCCTAGAAAAATATGATTTACTAAACTGTCTGACAAATTTTAAAACTCTCTACATTCTCAGATCTGCTTTTGTAATAATAATGTGTATTGATCTTCCTTCTTAACAAATATGTTTCCACAACATTATTTTAATGACTACTTCATATCACATTATTTTGTTTTGACTATTAAGTTGCTGCCAAACTTTTTACTCTCCCAACTTAGCAACTCGAAACCTAGGAATTAATACAAGATTTACTCTTGTAGCTAAATTTTTGCGAAGATCTTTGTCTTTCCTTAGAATAAATTTCCCAAAGAGGAATTGCTGGGTCAAAGATAATGTCTATTTTAAAGCTTTTGACATATACCAAATGGCTATATATAATTTCTATTATAGGCATTTGGTTTAATCACTTCTTTAATGCCTTCCCTTCACTCCTGTTATATACCAAATGGCTATAATAGAAATTATAGAATTTATATACAATAATAGAAATTATAGCCATTTGGCTATAATCGAAATTAATAGAAATTATAGCCGTTTGGTATATAACAGGAGTGAAGGGAAGGCATTAAAGGAGTGATTAAAGAGTGACGGGAAGGCATTTCTGGAAAAGAGAATAAAGGCACAGTTAGATACAGCAAGAACAAAATGTGTCCTAGGACTGGGACGTAGTGGACGATATTAGTAAGTCAAAGTAGTAACACAATATTAGCATATAGTTGTGTTAAAAGTAATAGTAAATATAATAGTAATAATAGTAAAATAAGGAAAATAATTTAATTCTTTTAATATAAAACAATTAAACTGAATATTATTTCACTTATACCACTCTCTGTTTCAAATTAGAAATTGTGTAAAGAGTTTTTATGCTGTTTGGGAGGCCAAGGTGGGCGGATCACGAGGTCATATCGAGACCATCCTGGCTAACACGGTGAAACCCCGTCTCTACTAAAAATACAAAAAAAAAAAAAAAAATTAGTCGGGCGTGGTGGCGGGCGCCTGTAGTCCCAGCTACTCGGGAGGCTGAGGCAGGAGAATCGCATGAACCCAGAGGTGGAGCTTGCAGTGAGCTGAAATAGCGCCACTGCACTCCAGCCTGGGAGACAGAACGAGATTCCCTCTCAAAAAAAAAAAAAAGTTTTTATGCTGTGCATCAAAAAACACAATAGAATATTTTTTAGAGAGGTTTTAGTTTTATAGTAAAATTGAACAAAAAGCACAGGGAGTTCTCATGTATTCTCTTGTTATCCCCCAACAGTTTCCCTGATTATTAACATCATGCAGTAGTATGGTACTTTTGTTATAATTCATGAGCCAATATTGACAAAGTTCACAATTTATTTTAGGGTTAGTTCTTTGTCTATTACATTCTATTCTATGGCTTTTGGCAAACGTATAATGGCATATATCCACTGCTGAAGTATCATATAGAATACTTTCACTGCTTTATTATTATTTTTCAATATGTAAAAATATATGTATTTATTTACTGGCATATAAGGCATGCCAGTTCTACAAGGAAGTTTTGGGGGAAAACACTGAAGTAGTTTTATCCTATTTTTTTGTTTTGTTTCTGTTTCTTTGTTTTTTAAATTGCTTTAATGATTTTCCAAAATGGAGCTGCTGGAGGTCCTGAAATTGCATAACTCTGCTTACTCTCCTCTCTGTTGACTTTATTTCACTTACCTGCTAGTCACTCCATTTTTGTCACTGGGAATGATGCTCATTAGAGTCTATATACACACACAGAAGCTACTGGAGTGCACTTTGCAGTTTAGCCATGTCAGAGCCTAGACAACCCCTGACACCCCCACTAGAGCCCTCTGAAATCTGTAGACTTCTCCTACCTTCAACTCTTGCTCACAGCAGCTCCATTCACTTAGAATGTCCTTCTCCCTCCCTCTTTACCTGAGTTTTTCCCCGTGCATTTTTCAGGATTCACTAATTGGCACCTTTTCTAGTCAGTCTTTTTTAAAACAAATTTTTTTTTGAGACAGGGTTTCACTCTGTCATGCAAGCTGGAATGCACTGACTCAATCACGGCTCACTGCAGCCTCAACTTCCCAGGCTCAAGCAATCCTCCTGCCTTGGCCTCCTGAGTAGCTGGGATTACAGGCATGAGCCACTATGCTCGGCTAATTTTTTTATTTTTTGTAAAGACAGGGGGTCTCACCATGTTGTCTAGGCTGGTCTCGAATGTCTGGGTGCAGGCAATCCTCCCACCTTGGCCTCCCAATGTGCTGTGATTACAGGTGTGAGCCACAATGTCTGACCAGGAGTCTTTCTTGACATCTTGATTCCCAGGGACAGCACACTAGTCCCTCCGCCCGCTCTGCCCCTCTCAGCTGCACAGTGCCTTGAGTACTTGTGATGCACATCTTGTGCTTATTTGATTACATATCTTCTTCTTTTAGACCTTTGAGCACTTTGAAGAAAGGAACTGTGTCTTATTTGCCCTTTTATCATTGGCACATTGTCTGGCTCATTAAGAAGTATTTATCTGAAGGGCAGTGTGGATAGATACCCTTGAGTACATCCAGTGAAGGAGCTACTGGTCCTGGCTCAGGTCTGTAGTATTCTATATCAGTGCCATCCACTTCTGGACCCCCATGATGACTCCCACTAGAAAGTGTACCTTTTCAAAAATACAACTCATAACACCTTCACAGTAGAACAGCAGCTTGTTAAAACAGTAACCACAGCAAACCAGAAGTAGTAGTACCCAGACAATAAGGGCTATTCTTCTTGGAGCCTTTCAATTGGAGGATTGGAGCAGCCCAGTGAGAGCTTGTTCAGTAAGTGCTAAGAAAGATGCTAACAGCTTCAGGAAGATAAAGCTAGAGAGTTTCCTACTGTAGCCCCTCCCTGGATACTTATAACTTCCAAAGCCAGCAACTTTTTAATTATTTCATAAACCAGACCCTATATCATATAGAACTTCTTAAAATTACTTGGCTGCAGTAAGAATTTTCTTATAATCCTTCTTCCTTACATGAAGGATAGTATCCTATAAATACTCTTTGTATTCTGCTTTTTAAATTTAACAATATATTTTGGAAATTGTCTTATATAACTCTATAGAGATCTCCCTTACTGTTTTCTATTTTTTTACAGCTGCGTAGTACTACATGTACTATGTACTACGGTACTTGGGGATGTACTATAGTTTTTTCAACCACTCTCCTGTGTATGGGCATTTGAATATTTCACAGCTATAAACAGTGCTGCAATGGATAAGCTTATGAATTGTGTCACTTCTAAGTACAGAGTATACTCCAAATTAATATACAGATAGCTAAAAACTGGTAAAATAAATTTAGTTTGGTGCAAAAGTAATTGCGATTTTGCCATTGAAAGTAATGGCAAAAACTGCAATTACTTTTGCACCAACCTGATAATACCACTCATAACTCATAAGCATGAAGGTTTTACTTTCTGAGAACTAAAGGGTAAACTAAGGAGTGCTTTAGTATGTGAATCCTTCATTTGAAAAAGCAACCAATTTTACATTACATTCAACTTATTCTCTAAGAAACCTGAGAATATCTGAAGATGAAAAAATATAATTTTATAGCAAAAATCATGTCAAAAGGTCAATAATTTCTGGACTTGCAAATTTAATGAGGTATTATTACCTTTGAAAAATACTCTTCAGTCTTTTAAAAGGAAATTATCTTTTAAAAAGTGATATAAAGTTCTCCTGAAGTTTTATTAGTTAAACCATTATTTCAAAAACTATATTAAGTGTTGCTTCAGAAACTTGTAAATAATACAGGATAATTATTTTGTATGACTTAGTTTCTTACTTGAATTAGAAAAATAAAAGGAAGTAAGGTTCAGTGCCGTGGTGCACTGTTATTTCTTGGCACTTTAATTTTAAAAAAACCTCTCAGTTGGGACTTTTCTTGGTTGGTTACAAACCTTATCTTTTGGAAAATTTTCCTCTGTCTAGTTTTAAGAGCATTACTACCTTTGCCTTCGGCCCTTGATGTTTTTGTTGTATTTCAGTGTTGCTGTAGTACATTAGCAAAACTCCCTTCTCCAGCTAATTGTCTAAAAGCAAGGTCAAACATTGGCCAAAGAATTTACTGTGTAGGAAGTGATTGACTGTGGAAAAGTCTGGTAGGATTTTTACAAGCTTTGCATTTTATCAATCTGGAACTGGCAAGATGGAACACATTTTTAATTATGCAAAATTTGCTGTGTAATCTCAAAAATATAGCAGTGGCTTAATACATAAACATTCAGGTCAAATATATTTATTCTGGGACCACCTTAGGATTTTTGCATCATTGCCAGATGGGTTGCAAGCTCTTATAATTGAAGATTTTGTTTCCTTTCCTTGTTCTTTGCGGTAAAAGTAATTAGTAATGAAATAGCAGTGTTTACCCTATAATTCACGAGTGAACAGAGCAAGTATTAACCTGCCAGTGAAGTGGGTTTTAATAACTCACAACATAATATCCAAACCCTGGTGGCAGAGGACAATGTTTAGAGGGTGGTAATTTAGAGATTAGTATACGTCTTAGACACTGTTTATAAACATGCTTTAGTTTTCTCTTGGGAAAACAGCTTTTACTTAAATGGTTTTAACACTGAAGAAAAACATTATATATATATACGTGCGTGTGTATATATGTGTGTGTATATATATATGTATATATATGTAGTGCTATTAGTGCTATTTACACTGAAGTACAAAATAGCAAAGGGGACAATTTGGTATTAGTATTAGTTAAACTTTTGAAGTTGACATATAACAATAGAGTAAAAGCTTAACTCTAGATTAACTGATTATTGTGAATGGAAGATGAGAGAGAAGGAGAACTCTCATAATCCGATTTCATATGATTTTAGAATAGAGTCATGGTGGAAGAGTGAGTTAACATTTACATCCATCCCTTCCTTCATTTTCTACCTCCCCTCGTCCCAGCCATTATTATACAGCATTAAACTGTAGAAGCACCTTTGAGGCCTTCTCATTTTCCCTTGAGGGTTCTATGGTTTCTCAGCAAAACAAAGGAAAGAAGGCAGTACAGTTTTCCTTTCTTTCCAGTATTCTTTCCTTCTTTTTCATCCAACTTAAAGGTATGTGTTCTTTCTCTTTACCACCCTACTAGTTCGTCTTCATGAGGCAACTCACATGAAGAAGCAGGGAGTAATAGAACTGTGAAACTTCATCATTTGAAAGGCGCACCTTTACAAATGATGCATCCTAAACCCGATGCCCTCTGAGGCTAGTAGAGAACGAAGAGGAAAAACAAGCCACATCATGTAGATTCTGAATATATATTGCTATATTCGTGTGTTATGCTTAAGAGTGAAAGATAATTGGAGTTCCTTTAATTCAGTGTAAATGAAAATAAAAATAAAAACTAAGAAATGAGCATAATAGGGCCATTGGGATTTGGAAGAAAGAATCTCCACACTTAAATATTTGAGGTGAGTGCTTTTGAAGGATGTTTATCAGGAAAATGCTGAATATATTTACCAGGTTAATGCTGAAAATGGCACAGTATTCTGGTCTCATAAAAGTTTTCATCCTTTTCCACTCTCCATTGGTGGAGGGGGGTAAACAGAAGGGGTTGGTTTTTCACAAACCTTAAAATTGCAAGAAATAATTTGAATGTATAATCCAACAGATCCATAGTACAAATAAGGTGTAGTAGAGAGGCCCTTTTAGATGCTGATCTGTCAGTGACCCAGACAGGCCGTTTAAGGGAGTTGGTTTTAAAGTGATGCCAGATGGTAGCATTCGTGGCATTAGCAATAGCAACTATGTGGTGGCATTGTGTTCCACAGATGATGAAATTCTCTGCTGAGTGCACTTTCAAATTATTTTAAATATACTGTATGTATTTTCACATTGTTTCATATAGACCCACAGAAGTGTGTGTGTGTGTGTGTGTGTGTGTGTGTGTGTGTATGTGTACGAAAATACAACTACAAAAGTATGGCTAGGAATCTGTGGATACTGTAGATAAAGTTGCTTCTAGAGCATTAACATTGATTATCTAACAACACTCTCAAAGGCTTAAATCAAAGTACTTTTAATTCTAAAGGACAAATGGCAGTGGAGATTTTTTAGAGGTTATTGTCTTGTGGTTTTGAAAACAGCTGAAACAGCTTGGAGAGGGCAGCAAGGGAATGACTTAATTGACCACCTGCACAGGCGTCCTTTCTCTCTACCAGATATGCCCCTGGTGGGATTGACTCACCTGTCAATTATCTCAGCGACCTATAAATTTAGCAAGTATAGGAACTCAGACTAGAGACAGAATGAGATTCAAATAGCTTGACTCTCTTGTCTTGTATATATGTGTGTGTATCTTTCACTTCTAAATATATTCCAAGAGATATCTTACAGATAGTGTCCCTGAATAAGTGGCATTATCTGCTGTGAGTAAGAACAGAGACCAACTTTTAGGCTAGAATTTAAATGGAACGTTTCTTGCTTTGATAATTTGCTAGTGTCCATAGGGGTAATGATGGAAAAATACTCACTCTACCCCATGCAAGACACAATCAACTGATGAAAATTCAACTCTACCTGCCACAGCATCCTAAACATAAATGGAAGTGATAAACGTATGAGTCATTTTGCCTGGAGTGTCGCTCAATGACCTGTGCCTCAGAGTGAGTGTGAAGATAGAGGTATGGACCTGGTGCCATTCCCTCAAGGGATGTGGTTCCTGAGGCCTCCACACCTTGCCAGGGTGTGGTATTCTGAGGCTTAAAAGTAAACATCATGTATCCATCATAGATAATTCAGCCATCATGGCTCCTATGTATAAGCCAGCTGCTTCATCTGATGCTGACCCTAAGGAATGATAATCTGTTCCAGCGCTGAAGAAATGCCTGGCTATGTTGGGTTATTTCATTGTAGCATTTTCTGAAGGGATTTTTAAGGGTAATTTCATCTGTATATGACTGCTATTGACTTAACTGTGTCCTCTCCAAATTCATAATTGAAGTCTGAATTCCAGCATGACTATATTTAGAGATAGGGTCTTTGGGAGGTAATTAAGTTTAAATGAGGTCCTAGGGTGTGGGCCTAATCTGATAGAATTGCTGGTCTTGTAAGAGGAAAACAGCCTGTCTTTCTCTGTGTGCATACCAAGAAAAGGCCCTGTGAGGACTTACTAAGAAGCAGGCAGCCTGCAAGCCAGAAAGAGCCTGACCAAAAGCTGACTCAATTGGCACCTTGATCTTGGACATCCCAGCCTCTAGAGATACGAGAAATAAATGTCTGTTGTTTAAGCCACTCAGTCTGTGATATTTTGTTATAGCAGCCTGAGAAGACTAATATAGTGACTTTCTTCAGAATCCAATCCTGAAGTCAGATGTGGCTCATGTGCCCTAAACGGGAGGCTTTTCTTTCCTAGTATACCCTTTGAGTGTTGCGTTTCTGAAGAAGAGCTGAAGGAGGAAAACTTGAGATTATTTAAAGTGCATGCTTTCCTATTCCTTCCCCAGGCTTCTGTGTAGAGATGGTAATCACCAATAAAATAAATCTTGGAGCAGTGTTGTATCCTTAAAAGGACATAGTACTGGGGGTCACCTAAATCTGACATCCAAACCCATGCATCCTATTAGTATCTTTGTGACTCAAATGACTCTTTCTGAGCCTTGGTTTCCTCAGCTGTAAAATACAGAAAATTGTACTGCTTAGGTTCAACAAGGTATAGACAGCTGTGTAGAACTATGATTGGCCAGAGAATGTATGATCTAATGCTAAAAGGCCGAGTGGGGAAACCCAGCAAGTCCCTTGTCTCTACATTCTCCCTGGACTCTCTGAGCATGTGTTCCTTCCTTCTGGGTATAAGGCAGGACCCTCTCTGGAATGGGTCTTATGACCTACAGTTAAACAAGGTAGGTCAGATATTGATGATTTCTTTATGGTCAGTTTCTACACAGATAGGGTGGAGGAAAAGTTAGAGTAATATTTTAAGGTTTTATGGCTGGCCTTGGAGAAAAGGGGTGCTGGTTTCTGTAACCCACCTTGGGGAAGAGGAATTCTAGTTTCTATGGCCAGCCTCAGAAGAGAATGGGGCTGAGAGATAAGAGGGCAGAAGACAGAGAGAAAGTTTTGCTTCTGAGGCTATTTCCGAAGCCTTCATTTTGAGATATTGCTTTTAAAACCCCAACACTACCCAACGTGCTTAATGAAGCGGTTGATTTCTATTCTGACCCAAGCCTGTTTTCTTTCCCCATACGGGTACTAAACAGTTGCTCCATCTTCAGATCACACTTTGACTAGCTCTGCTCTAGGAGTCTGATGCTTGGGGGAGCCTCTTCTCTTTGTGTTAGAACACTTTATGGGTCTTTCATAGGCAATCTGACACAATGTCAGGACAAATCAGTTTATTAACCTGATTTCACACTTTTTGTATCCCCATCAAATGCAATAGCTTAGCATACATATGGCTTCTAGCCTGCTTGAAGATGAGCATCTTGTATAGTTTAAATGATCCTGAGCTGGGAACTGTTGTTTCTCATCACCATCATCAGTGGAGATGGTGGCAGTAGGTTCTCCCTGCCTTTTGGCAGTTCTTAATCTTATTTTTGTGTCACGGATCCCTTTGGCAGACAGTGATATCTATGGACCATTTCTCAGAATGTTATTTTTAATTTTATAAAATAAAACCTGTAAGCTGAGAAAGGAAACCAATTATACTGAAATACGCTTATCATAATATTGTGACAGTAATACATGTGCCCAACTGTTAACACATCAAGCAAGATCTAGTAGCATGTCTAAGAGCTACTGTTATCTTGAAGAAGTGATGAACATAAGTAAAACTTTGACATCTACGGCAACTCGAGTGGGATCCCTCGACCAAAGTTACTGGGATCAGGTAACTTTGGTCCAAGTGTGGGTATGACAGAAGATGAGCCTATAAAGGTTAGAGATGGCTATGATGAACCTTCACTGATATACCAGAGGGATGGGATATTATTGGCAGAGAGGAGTCATTGAAGTATTTTAATAGGAATGAGATAAAGAGATTCCTGATTTCAGAATATTAACAGGGCTGGAATGTATTAAATGAATTATGATGTCTGGGAGGGGGAGATAATACAATGTTTCTCATTTATGATCAGGTTATGTACTGATAAACCCAAAATATTTTAAAGTAGAAAGTGCATTTTTGGCATATGATATTTTCAATTTACAATGGGTTTGTTTGGACGTAGCCCATGGCAAATCAAGGAGCATGCTTTCACACCATCATAAAGTCAAAAAGTTCTAAGTCAAACCATCTTCAGTCAGGGACCATCTATATGGGCAATAGTTTTACCATCAGATGGAAAGACTACATGGAGAAAATTATACCTACTTTTCCTACCCTAGTATTTCCTTTAATAGCCTAATGATAAGGTTCATCAGAGAGCTTATTAATTATGCAGAATACCAGATTCTTTCCTGCAAATTACAACCTCAGTAGGTCTGAGATTCAGAAGAAAATTAGTGATTTTTGAAACAGCTCCATATGATTTTTATCTTCTACAAGTTGAAAAACTCTTCATAGGAATGTTTGGCTGATCAGGTCTGACATTGCATGTGAGAGTATCAAAGCAAAAACTGATGGAGACAAAGTGTAATTAATTAAATTAAATTAATTATTTTTTCTTTCCAACTTTTATTTTAGAATCAGGAAGTACCTGTGCAGGTTTGTTACAGAAGCATATTGCATGATACTGAGGTTTGGATTATGATGGAACTCATTAGCTTGGTAAAGAGCTAAGTACCCAATGGGCAGTTTTTCAGCCCTTGCCCTCCTTGCCCTTGTGATCTTTTAAATGTGTCCTTTCTTTCATTCATAATATGCTAAGCCAACAAATAGTTTGAAGGACCATAAAAGAGAGATAAGTTGGCTATGAGAGGGCAGTAAGAAACTCCAGCAGTGCTATAAAACACCACATATAAGTCTTTATGGCAGTGTCACTGTATTTTCCAATTAGAAATAACAGTTATTATAAATTACATTTTTTCACAGCCCCAAGTATTTACTTAACGCACCCAAAAAAATAAATTAAAATTCTCCAAAATAATGGCAGTAGAAATTATGGCAGCAAATGCAAAGACTGAAAAGTTAAGATAAACAAAATTAAATTCACCACTGAGCCTTTAATGTGTTTATTTTGTATACATATGTATCTGCTTATGAATTCTATTTATGAATATATGCATTTTAAAATAGCTGTTATTTACTTTTCCTGAGAACCATTGTTTGAATTTTATAAGGAGAAATAACAAGGTGATTTTTAAAAGAATGTGAATATTTTATTTCTTTCAAGTTTTATTTTAGACACATATGCAGGTTTGTTACAGGGGGATAATGCACTTAGGTAATGAGCATCATACCCAATAGGTAGTTTTTCAACCCATTTACCCTCACCCAGTAGCTCCCAGTGTCTATTGTTGCCATCTTTCTGTCCATGTGTAGCCAGCGTTTAGCTCCCACCTAAGTAAGAACATGCAGTATTTGGTTTTCGTTTTCTGTATTTGTTCACTTCAGATAATGGCTTCCAGCTGCATCCATGTTGCTGCAAAAGAGATGATCTAGTTCTTTTTATGGCTGCGTGGTATTCCTTGGTGCATACTTACACACTATTGGTGAGAATGTAAATTAGTCCAGCCACTGTCGAGAGCAGTTTGGAGATTTCCCACTGATAGAATTGGAATTTCCAATTGGTCAGCAGAGAGGTGATGCTAAATGAGTCAAGCCAACATGATAACGCCTAACTCTTAAGTTACTTCAGTAGAAATGGCACCCTGTAGTCAGCAATGGTAGTTGATGAGAATCAGGGAAAACAGCAGGGCCTGTGGAAGCCTCCTCTGGAGAGTGGTGTTTTCTGATAGAACATTGCAGACCAGCCCTGGACTGTCACTCATGATTACCATATTGTATGGGCTCCATCTCTCTCTCTCTCTCTCTCTCTCTCTCTCTCTCTTACACACACACATGCACACACACACACACACACACACACACAGACGCACGCACCCTGTATATATACTACTGAAGTAATTTAGAAGAAGTAAGTTACAGGCATTTTAGCAGTGGGGTTTTATGAAAACCTGATTACCATTTAGCACAAGCTGCATTAGAAATTTATCAGAAAAGTTGAGTGAGGAGATCAAGGCTTTGGGGAGTCACTGTGGGAATGATACATGAAGAGGTGTCAGCTGAAACCATGAGAGTGGATGAGCTTTTCACAACATTACTGTGTACATATGGCATTAACGTATCATACTTTTTCTTTCAAGAGTGTGTGTAAAGAAGGAAGAATGGAGTTCTAAAAACTCAGAGTCTTCTTAATCCTGCTTAAGAGAGGTTTATGATGCTAAGGACTGTCAAAGGTACTATTGATTTTCTCCTGGAACCCCCGGCAGAGGAGAGCCTCAGTAGGGTGGTCTGGGGGAGTCAGAGGCAAGGTTTAACAGTGAGTGGGAGAAAAGGTTCTGGGAGTACAGATACAGTCTGGTTTTGAATAAAGTGAGACGTGTAGGGAGAGTAGAAAAGAATCACCAGATATAGTTACTGGAGATAGATGATATTAATATGTTTTACTTTTTCCAATTACTTTTTAAGTGATCAGAGATGAATGAACAATCAGAGAAAAACAATTCCATTCAAGAGAGACACACAGATCATAGTTTTCCTGAGAAGAACTGTCAAATTGGACAGAAACAACTGGTATGGCACACAGATTCTATGATTCCATGCTACTGGGGAGTGCCCCCTCGAGGATCTCTGAGATGCCCATGGATGTGGGTGGGAAGGTGGGCCCAGGCAGGACCTCACAGGGAGGAGCTCTGCCGCCCAGGCTGATAGAGCTTTCCCTCCTCCCCACTGCTCACTGCGGGCTGCTCTCGCCTCACACATCTCCTCTCCACCTCCTGTGTACCCTGATTTTTAGCCCAGTGTTCTGTACAATAAAATTCTGCTTTTTGTGGAGAATATATACAAACGTTTTTATTTTTATTTTTATTTTTTGATTTAATAAAGTTTTATTTTTCCAAATGTACAGCTGGTTGGACCTATTCATGCATCTTCACCAGCAGCTGGAGCATCTCCACCCTTGGTATTTCTGGTGTAAATTACTTGAGCTCTGTGCTTTGAAACCAGTTTGATAAGTCCTTTACTAAGGAGCTCCTGAAGGGCTGCCCTGGCCAGGGAGCCTCGAATCTTCAGTCTCTCAGAGACCACAGCTGGGGTTATAAGTTTATAGTTGGGAACTTCCTTACAGAGTTTGTCATAGGTAGCTTTGTCAAACAAGACTAAGTTATTGAGCTTGTCCCGAACTTTGCCTTTGGACCACTTCTTCTTTTTGGCCTTGCCCCCGGATTTGTTCACTGGGTCTTTGTTTTTCTTGGCTGACTTTCCAGCGTCCTTCTTCTCGTCGTCCTTGGGCGGCATTGCGAAGCTCGGAGAGTAGCAGCAGACACCGCAGCCTTGCAAAGATGTCGGACAAAAAAGCTACAAATGTTTTTATTTAATGAACCTTTATTTTGTTATTATTATGTCACGTTATGGCTCTAAAACTGTATGTATTAACTCATCTAATCCTTATCACACCATACTATTGTTAACTCCATTTTACAAAGAGAGAAACTGGGGCCTAGAGATGTAGCAATTTGCTCAAGGCCCACCACTAGTACGTGGCAGAGCCAAGGCTTGAGCACAGGCAGGTGACCCTGGGTCTCTGTTCTTAACCTCTTGCTGTGCTACTTAGAATAGTAATCGCTTCGTACTAAGTTGTATGTATATGTCATAACCATATCTAATGCAGAACAGTTTAAGGTTAAGTTTATGAAACAACCATATACACCAAGATGAAATTTAAAAGAAACATTATATTATTTTAGACTTACTAGACTCTTATTAAACTAAATAAACTGCAGAAAAGTCCATGACATTCTGTTACTAATTTGTTACATTGAAATTCCTACATTGAAAGCTTCCCTTTTGTTTCCAGGTGGGGTATTTCATGTATATGTCAGCCTATATGTTTTTGTGCTTCTGAGATTATTTTCTTCTACAATCCTTCAAAAGAGCATTTTCTTCCCTCATGACATGTGCTACATGTTCACAATAAGTTATCAGTACAATATTCGATTGAAGCATTTTGTTGTTTGTCTTCCAGCTCAGGCCCCATTTAATTTCTAATTGTCTTTCAGCTCAGGCCCCATCTAATTTCTAATTACAGTGGCTCACACCTGTAATCCCAGAACTTTGGGAGCCCAAGGCAGATGGTGGATCCTTGGAGCCCAGGAATTCAAGGCCAGCCTGGGCAACATGGTGAAACCCCATCTCTACTGCATATGTACACAAAAATTAGCCAAGCATGGTGGTGCGTGCCTGCAGTCCCACCTACATGGGAGGCTGAGGTGGGAGGATCACTTGAGCCCCGGGGATTGAGGCTGCAGTAAGCCATGATCATGCCATAGCACTGCAGCCTGGGTGACAGAGCGAGACCCTATCTCAAAAAAAAAAAGAAAAGAAAGGAAAAAAAAAAAACCTCCAGAGACTTTTGAAAATGTCCCCGTATGCCCTAGAAAGTCATCCTAGCAATATTTCTCTTGTTCCAATCTGGCTTTGACTGAAAGTCGATCCTTCAGGTGGCTGAGTTCTGAATTGGAGACCCCCCGCGTGGAGGCCAGTCCCGGGTAGGGAGTAGCTCCGAAATGCATCCCAGGGCACTGAAGGGGAGTGCCGGATCTACTTTGGGTTCTCACTGTGGTTTGAGACACTACATGGGCTTCTTTAGCTAACAGCCGAGGAAGGGCCTCTACTCCTTCATCCTTACCCACATCAAATGCTAATTCTGATGTGCATCCCCATCAGATTTGGAAAGCTGAGTGGCGTTTTGCGGTTTTAAAAAGAATTCTTCTATTCCCCTTGATTGTTTTTTACATTTTTATTTTATGAGTGTTATACTATTTCTTTATTCAGAAAGAATGGCCCAACTTGAGAAAATGTACACCATCTTTTGAAACTTAATTAGATTAAATCGTTTATGTCTTTGTGTAAAACATATATACTTTCATGCCTTTATGGTGAAAGTTACAGAAAGTTCATTTTGGGGAAATGTAAAACAGATAAAACTATCTGGTTCTTACTATTAATACATTTATTTGTTTAATAGCAACAAATAGAGCGGCAGTTAAAATGCTTGGCATTTCGAAACCCTGGACCACAGGTAGCAGACTTTAATCCTGAAACAAGGCAGCAGAAAAAGAAAGCCCGGATGTCAAAGATGAATGAATATTTTTCTACCAAATACAAGTAAGATTCTGACTTATTGTATTTGATCTGTGGGATTATGAAATGCATGAATTCTCCTTGACAAAGCAATGAAAGATTCCCTCTTTTTATTATTTATTATTTAAAAATATCTCCTCTGAAATATAATAGTACCCATGTGTCTGGACGTTAGCAACCTTAAGAAACAGAAAAATAGACTATAATCCCGAATTAGGAATCGATTTTTTAAAAAGGCTTCAATAGCCGTGTAATAGAGTAATGGCTTTAGTAGGAAAGATGATTTAAAAGTAACAAAAATGTATCATTAGAAGGATAAATAATATAACCATGGGAATGAACTCAGGATATTAAATGGGCACAGGACTATCATCAAGTACAATGATTGTTAGTGCATCGTAAGTATAAACTAAGTAAACTGGCTGGGCACGGTGGCTCACACCTGTAATTCCAACACTTTGGGAGGCCAAAGTGGGTGGATCACTAGGTCAGGAGATCTAGACCATCCTGGCTAACACGGTGAAACCCCGTCTCTACTAAAAATACAAAAAATTAGCTGGGCGTGGTGGCACGCGCCTGTAGTCCCAGCTACTTGGGAGGCTGAGGCAGGTGAATCGCTTGAACCCAGGAGGCGGAGGTTGCAGTGAGCCGAAACCATGCCACTGCACTCCAGCCTGGATGACAGAGCAAGACTCCATCTCAAAAAATAAATAAATAAATAAATAAAATAAAAAATAATAAACTAAGAAAACTATAAAGGAAAATGATAAATTTAACTACATTAAAATTAATATGCCCATTAAAAACTCCATAAAAACAGTGAAAGACACACCATAAAGTAGGAGAAGTTATTAATAACATAAAAAATCAGTATCCAAAATATATGAAGAATCTTACAAGTCAATAAGAAAAGTGTAAATATCCTAATAGACAAATTAATAAAATGATAAACAGACATTTCATAGAGGAAACAACAAATAAACATTCAGGATACCGAACCTGATCAGCACATACATAGAAGTGCCATACTCCCCAGGGAGTCAGAATTTAGTCTGTTGACATCAAAGCTGATGAAGCTATGAGATATGAATTAAGTGTAAAAAGGTACAACCACTATTTAAAAACAGCTCAGTGTTACCTATGTGCCTTATGACCTAACATCTTCACTCCTGAGTATAAATTAATATCTTGGAAAAAGTCTAATACATGTATAGGGAGATATGTTTAAGAAGTTTCATGGCATCACTGAAATAGCAAAGAAAATAAACTGTTAATAATCCAAATGTCCATCAACAATGGAAAAGATAAATAACTTGTGGTATATTTATACAGTGGAATACATATAGAAGTGAAAATATTTGAACAGCTACATGTACCATCATGGAAGAATCTCAACTCATGATCAGACTAACAAAGCAAATTACAAAAGGAAAATCACAATATGTTTAGGGATACCTACATATGTGTCATAACTAAGACCAAAACAAGGAAGTGACTTTATATATATACATATATATATATAATTTTTTTTATTATACTTTAAGTTCTAGGGTACATGTGCACAATGTGCAGGTTTGTTACACATGTATACATGTGCCATGTTGGTGTACTGCACCCATTAACTCCTCATTTACATTAGGTATGTCTCCTAATGCTATCCCTCCCCACTCCCCCAACCCCACAACAGGCCCCAGTGTGTGATGTTCCCCTTCCTCTGTCCAAGTGTTCTCATTGTTCAATTCTCATCTGTGAGTGAGAACATGCGGTGTTTGGTTTTTAGTCCTTGCGATAGTTTGCTAAGAATGATAGTTTCCAACTTCATCCATGTCCCTACAAAGGACATGAACTCATCCTTTTTTATGGTTGCATAGTATTCCATGGTGTATATGTGCCACATTGTCTTAATCCAGTCTATCATTGTTGGACATTTCGGTTGGTTCCAAGTCTTTGCTATTGTGAGTAGTGCCGCAATAAACATACATGTGCATGTGTCTTTATAGCAGCATGATTTATAGTCCTTTGGGTATATATGCAGTAATGGGATGGCTGGGTCAAATGGTATTTCTAGTTCTAGATCCCTGAGGAATCGCCACACTGACTTCCACAAGGGTTGAAGTAGTTTACTGTCCCACCAACAGTGTAAAAGTGTTCCTGTTTCTCCACATCCTCTCCAGCACCTGTTGTTTCCTGACTTTTTAATGATCGTCATTCTAACTGGTGTGAGATGGTATCTCATTGTGGTTTTGATTTGCATTTCTCTGATGGCCAGTGATAATGAGCATTTTTCATGTGTCTATTGGCTGCATCAATGTCTTCTTTTGAGAAGTGTCTCTTCATATCCTTCGCCCACTTGTTGATGGGGTTGTTTGTTTTTTTCTTGTAAATTTGTTTGTGTTCTTTGTAGATTCTGGATATTAGCCCTTTGTCAGATGAGTAGATTGCAAAAATTTTCTCCCATTCTGTAGGTTGCCTGTTCACTCTGATGGTAGTTTCTTTTGCTGTGCAGAAGCTCTTTAGTTTAATTAGATCCCATTTGTCAATTTTGTCTTTTGTTGCCATTGCTTTTGATGTTTTAGACATGAAGTTCTTGCCCATGCCTATATCCTGAATGGTATTGCCTAGGTTTTCTTCTAGGGTTTTTATGGTTTTAGGTCTAACATTTAAGTCTTTAATCCATCTTGAATTAATTTTTGTATAAGGTGTAAGGAAGGGATCCAATTTCAGCTTTCTACATATGGCTAGCCAGTTTTCCCAGCACCATTTGTTAAATAGGGAATCCTCCCTGACTCATTTTATGAGGCCAGCATCATCCTGATACCAAAGCCTGGCAGAGACACAACAAAAAGAGAGAATTTTAGACGAATATCCCTGATGAACATCAATGCAAATATCCTCAATAAAATACTGGCAAACCAAATCCAGCAGCATATCAAAAAGTTTATCCACCATGATCAAGTGGGCTTCATCCCTGGGATGCAAGGCTGGTTCAACACATGCAAATCAATAAACGTAATCCAGCATATAAACAGAACCAAAGACAAAAACCACATGATTATCTCCGTAGATGCAGAAAAGGCCTTCGGAAGTGACTTTTATAACATCAAGGTACAGTTCCTTTTTGAGGGGAGGGTAGAGGGATGCAATGGGTGGGGATTGAAGAGGACTTCACTGCTGTAACACTCTTTTGTTAAGCTGGACAGTGGGCACACAGAAGTTTGTTTTATTCTTCTTTATCTGTGCATGTAGTGTATATATTTTGCATGATTTGATGTGTATAATTCAGGATTTTACCAAAAAAAAAAGCATCAAATGGGCCGGAAACCATAAAACCTTACCAACACAGGAGAATATTTGAGTTAAGGCAAAGGGAGGACAGAATCTGACCTGTGGTATAGGTTGATTTCAGGACCATCTACTCCATCACTCTTATAATAGATTTAAAATATCCTCTTCCGCTAAATTTCCTGGGGTTGCTTAGGAAGAGTTTCATTCCACAAATAAAGTACTTCAAAAGTGAATCTTCATTAGAAGGCATTCTTGCTAAAGCGTGATCATCAGGCAGCAAGTACACATAATGACTAATCCTTTCCCTTCCCTGCATTCTTAGGAAAAGGAACAGGATGGAACGATATTACTTAGCGAACAGAAGGAGAGGAGGCATTGTGCCTGCTTAGGGACAAAGGGTGCAGGAGTATTATACATAATTTTGCCATACTAGCTTAGGACAACCAGCCTTTTGGACTTCAGTGGTAATAACGGCTATCAGTTATACAGAGGTATTTTTGTTGTTCTCAGGTTTTGAAGCAACTCAGTTTTGAAGGATTTATTTCAAAATGGTTGGGTTTGAGAAGGTAGTAGGATTCCTGTGAAAGTCCTTTGTCCCTGGCCATGTTGTAGAGGCTGACAGAGACAGTCTGGACTCTGGGCTCTCCTCTGGGACAGAGCATCCCACCTTCAGTCAGAGCTTACGATGTATGATCCTCCAGTCTTGGTCACCTCCTTTCTCCCTCCTCACTGGGTAAAAAGCAGAATCAGAAAGGAACAGAAGAAATGGCACTTGGAGACTGTTAGCAAAGGTGCTTTTCTTTCTTCAAATGATTATGGTGTAATAACTGACAGTTCTAATTTTAGGTAACAAAAATGTGGTAGTTGCATTCAGCATAGTGCTTTTAAGAAAAAAATAATCTGTTAGGGAAAAATCTATCAAGAATGGTAATATTTTAAAGAAAACTTTGGGGGCATTTGTAGGAGGAAGCTTTAGTTAGCTATTCCTCATAATTTTCTTAGGTAGATTGCTGCATTTCCCAGCAATGCTGGAAAAATGAAGTGTTACTCTAGATGACAAGCCTGGCTGCACTGGAAGTTGTTTGATCTCATATTGACTGAATTTCCCGTGACGTCACTGCCGTACAATATTCTGGAGTGTTTCTGGTAATCCCTGGAGTTCTGGTCCAGAGTACCAATGTTTCTGGTAATCTCTGGAGTTCTGGGTCAGGGTAAAATGGTCATGTGTATGATGTTGATTGTACATTAATTTATTCTCAATGTTGAGGATGATTGCACTGTCATCTTAATGTCATGCTTTTCCTTTGTAGAATAATGAGGAAGTATGACAAAAGTGGCAGGCTCATCTGTAATGACGCTGATCTGTGTGATTGTCTAGAGAAGAACTGCCTGGGCTGCTTCTACCCATGCCCGAAGTGTAACTCCAACAAGTGTGGGCCCGAGTGCCGCTGCAACCGACGGTGGGTTTACGATGCCATCGTCACTGAGTCAGGAGAGGTCATCAGCACGCTGCCGTTTAATGTTCCTGACTAGGTGCTCTTGTATATGGACTGATTTGTTTCTTCTTCTTACACATTTAAGTTGACCTCTTTCTTTTGGGTGAATTTTAGGGCTTGGGGGAAATATCGAAAAAACATACTGAAGACTCATGTTCTGTCAAGCCCCAGAACAATGTAGAATGGGCAATAATTCTGTAACCTTCTTAACTGTGTCAACAATTTTCAAGTCCCTTAACTTGCAACCAAAGAATGTAACAATGGAGGGATCAGCATTTCTCATCAGCACCCTCATCTCTACTCTGCCTTCAAATTAAAACTCTCTTCCCTCTTTGCTGATATCTGAGAAAATGTAGCTTTAAGATTTTCAAAACTCTGTAGTTGAGAGCTTTTCTTACATAGAACATAGAATCTTAAATTTATAATATCTAGTTGTCCTTAGAATCTTATACATCACTAGCTGTAAATCAGAATTGCCATTTGGATTTTGAAGAAAAACTGTGACTTTGCACTGTATACCCATAGCCTCATTTTTTTATTGTTCATGTTTTAATAACATTAAAATGAAATTTAGTAATACTTGGTAGTATTTTTAATCATTAAAATTTGTATTGTACTTGTAAAATTGAAAAGTTAGGAATTTATTATCCTAAAAGCCAGGAGTTTACATATTTTTGATTTCAGAAGCAGTATTTCAGGATTTGTTTTTCATAGAGAGAAAACAAGTTATACAAAAATGATTTTCTGTATGTTTGCTAATTGAGTGTGTTGATAAGCAATTGACTAGATAAATGATGTAGTCTTTTCAACTTTGATACATCATCAGAGCTATAAAATATTGAATTCAGCTTTCTTTGAATTCATTTTTTTATGACAGTCTTTTTTTTAACCCTAAGTCAATGGTTCTCATTCATGAGAATTGCCTAGAGAACTTGTCAAAACATAGATTTTTGCAGCCCCACATTCAGAATCTGGGACAGGGCTCAACCATCTGTTCCACGTTCCCAGGTGATGTTGATGCTGCTGATGTGGGGACCACACTTTGAGAACCACTTCTCTAAATTATTTTAGATACATAATGTAAGGAAGTATTTAAACCTCATTGACTATGATACTGCCACTGCACAAAGCTGGAAGTATTTAAATAAAGTAACGTAATAAAAATTTAAAAGTAAATAAAAGCATTTAAGTTTTAAAATAAATTTGAAATAGTATAAATAGAGGGTTTTTTGTTGTTGTTGTTTCTTTTTCTTTTTTTTTTAGACGGAGTTTCCCTCTGTCACCCAGGCTGCAGTGCAGTAGCGCGATCTCCGTTCACTGCAACCCCCGCCTCTGGGCTCAAGCCATTCTCGTGCCTCAGCCTCTCAAGTGGCTGGGATTACAGGCTTGCACCACCACTCCCGGTTAATTTTTGTATTTTTATTAGAGACGGAGTTTCACCATGTTGGCCAGGCTGGTCTCAAACTCCTGACCTCAAGTGATCAGCCCGCCTCACCTCCCAAAGTGCTGGGATTAGAGGTGTGAGCAACCGTGACCGGCCTTTTATAAATAGAGTTTTCAGGATTTATTTTTCCTTCATAATCAGTTTAACACTCACTTCTGCACAATCTACTTGTGCCAGGGAACGTTTCTGACAGTTCTGGATTTGTTGCTTGACGTATGTTTTAGGACTAAAATAAGAAAAGTCCTAAAAGTAATGGTGTGACTACAGTACACCTGTCCACGGAGCAAGAGAACTTACATTCTTCTGCATCATTCTCCATAGAATTTACTGGGTTTTCCAGATTTCACTTACTTTTACTGAGCATACACTGTGAACTAAACATTGTGTTAACACGGTAATGAATTGCATTTCCTTTAACCATCACAGCCCAGTAAGGAAGACGTAAAATCAAATTACCCAAATCACATTCTTTGAAATGCTCACCAGGAATGTGCAGCCGGGAAACCAGTAAAAACAAGCAGGGCCTTTTTCAGTTTATATCTTGTTTTATTTTTGAGAATAATTATTATTTTGTAATTGGCAGACCAAATGCATTTATTACTTCTTCATTTTAGAATCATATAATCTTAGAGCCAAAAAGAGCCTTGCAGCTCATCCATATAGTGAATTAGTCGACAAATACTAACAGAGAGGCTGCTCTGTGACAGGCAGCAGGCTAGGTGCAGGGGACCAGGCAGTGAACAAAATCTGCAGGGCTCCTGTCTTCATGGGGCTTATGGACTAAGGCCAAACTCTTTTTTGTTGTTGTTGTTTTTGTACCTTTGCAACTGAGGAGATTTAGACCCAGTGAGATTAAGTGACTCAGGTAAGGACACACAGAAGAATTGGCAGCCCTGGTGTTTTGAACACTAAGACTAGGTCAGAGCTCTTTCAATGATGCCACGTATTTCCTACACTACGGTCATTAAGTGCTTTTAATATAATAAACATTCCTAAGACCCATCCCCAACCTCAGGAATCAGAACCTGTAGGAATGAGACCTGGGATTCCATAATTTTAAACAAGCATTGCAGTTAAGTCTTATGATCTGATACATCTGAGAAACACTGCCCTATATCATCAGTTGTCCAATTTTCATGCTAAAAAATAATCCTAGGCAAATTAGCATTAAAGCCTCCTTCCTTTCTGTCTCCTCTTGTCACTCAGTCTTAAGGATTAGATAAAGGAATCTGGTTTAAAATGATCTGGCTTAAAAAGTGTGTTGAAAAATTATACTGGTAAATTTTCCAAGTAAGGCAAAAAATAAAGTAAAAAACTGCATAATTAACTAAGCAGACACCTAATACTGCTATCATGGAAGCCTAGTAAAGCATTTGATGAAGTACACTTTTAGAAATCAGGTTATTTCATCTTGATCTAATGCCATTTCAGTGTATTTCTAAAACTTCTCTTGCAATAAATAATTATTACAAAAATAAATTTATGTGAATTGTCTAAAACTTATTTTGCAAGTGTCTAATTTTTATTACAAAGTGAATAAAGCTCTTTAGCTATTTGAACTAAATTCAGATTAACAAGGAATGCAGCTGTACTATCTGATTACATTACCCAAGGAAATCGTCTTGTCAGTGTGACAGGACTTTTTTCTGCTTGGCTATCTTTCAATGCTGATAGCATGTCTTCATGAATATGTGTAAAATGGAAGGAAACCTATTTTACAAAAGGTTATTTAAATTAAACCAGTACATACTGAAGGATTTAGACAAATTATCCCGTGCCCATTTATGCAAGGATTTTGGACTAGAATGCCATATCACGTCAATTTTTGTGACAACTTTTGAGTGTAATTTGTAAGAGTTAAAGAATATCTGTACACTGTCTTAGATAATCCTTCTGTACCTCCCCTTCCAGCTACCCCCACCCAAGACACAACATCTTGGATCCATTGCAGGTATAGACGTTGGGATGCTAACTCACAGAAAAATCATTTAACCTCTATTTTTATAAAAGTGAACAATGCCATTTTGTATAGTCTGTGGATGTCGTAGATGGTAGTTATGTAATGAATGCTTTGGACATTTTTAAACATTTACACATGCAAGGCTTCAATGTTTGGCCATGCAGGGACATTTATTACTTAAGTCCAGAAGGTGACTTTTACATGGACAGCTGTACAATGCCAATTATGCCCCCTAGAGTTGTACAGCAAAATGGTCCTGCAGAAAGGTGCCATTTGATGTGCGGATTTCTTGTTTGTCCAGCATTTATTGACATTTACTATGTGTTAGACATTGTGTGCTTTAGGTTGGTTCATATTATTGTATAAAATACTTTTTAAAAATCCCTATGTGTCCTCTCTCTTCTATCTATTTTTTCTTTTTTCCTTCATTCTCTGTGATGTCTGTAACAGCAGAAGATAGTTTGAGGTTACTTAGGACGATAGTCCATATATATGATTTAACATACACAGTTTTTGTACTACTTTTTCCTTTTCAGAACCTATATTTTAATCCTGGACTTCGAATATTCTTTTTAACATTCACAGATTCCTAAAATTCTGTATTTTTCGTCACTCTGTGGAAGGGAAATGACTCTCATTACTATTCATGTCTAATAAACAATGTATTACTTAAGACGCATATGCAATTTGAAAAATGTTTCTTTTGTGTTTATAATCTGTAGTTTTAACAGTTTATTTTTTCCTCACTATTGTATGGTTGTTTGTATATTCTTTTTAAGTTGGCCAAAGCTTAGGTCAGATACAATAAATTCAGCGAGATCAGTGACTGAGTTTAACTGTTTTTCCTTCAGTAGTGCATTCAATAACATAGTGCACTTAATAGATACACTACTTAGTGACCCATTATTCATTTATTCATTCATTTACCAAGCACCTCTTATATGCCAGACACTTTACTAGGTGCTAAGGATACAATGGGTAAGGGAAAAAACACTCAAACGTGGTCTCTACTCTTACGGACTTTACAGAATAGTCATGGGGGGAGAGAGAGATAGAATAATAATATCATGACACAAATGAGTGTGAAAAGAGTAATGGGTGAGAGGAGTTATTAAGGACATCTTTACATAGTCTGGGTGGTCACAGAAGTCTTACCTAAAGGAGCGATCACAGTTCTGGGGCTTGAAAAGTGAGAAAAAAAATAGCAGAGAAGAAGATGGGCGTGGGGGAGAATGTTTTTGGCAGAGTAAAGAGCATGCTGAAGGGTCTGTGGCAGGAAAGGGTACAGCATGTTCCAGACACTAGAAGAAGCCTGGATGGGTGGAGGGGAAAGCATGAGAAGCCTCTGCAGAGCAGAGAGTACTCATATCATGGGAGGCCTTTTAGGTACCTTGAGGAAGTTGAAGCCAAGCGCGGTGGCTCACACCTGTAATCCCAGCACTTTGGGAGGCCAAGGTGGGAGGATCACTTGAGCCCAGAATTTTGAGACCATTCTGGGCAACATAGCAAGACCTTGTCTCTACTAAAAATAAAACTAAAAAAATTACTGGGCCTGGTGGTACCTGCCTGCAGTCCCAGGTACTCAGGGGGCTGAGTTGGGAAGATCGCTTGAGCCCAGGAGGTCCAAGGCTGCAGTGAGCCATGTTTGTGCCACTGCACTCCAGCCTGGGCAACAGAGCGACACCCTGTATTAAAAAAAAAAAAAAAAAAAATTTGTTACATGTCCAAAACACAACAGGAAACCATTGAAGTGCTTGAAGCCAGTGGGGTGGCAGTGGATGACACAATCATACTTGCATTTTTAAAAGACCACACTGGCTGCAGTGAGGAAAACAAACAAAAGGACTTTGTGATAGAAGAGATATGTGGGGTGAGGAAGACAGAAGCCACAGGAGTCTCCCACTTTCTTGGTTTCCATCGTCAAACAGATGGTATGGCCAATCACTGAACACTGGAACAGGGAATACTGGAAAAGGACCAGGGCTGAGGAATGCTCATGTGTGCGATTGCTGGTTCATATGTTGTAAGTTTAGTTTTGTAGGAAACTGCCAAAATGTTTTCCAGAGTGGCTGTACCCTTTTGCATTCCCACCAGCAATGTATGAGGGATCCACTTTGTCTAATCCTCACCAGCAATTAGTAGTGTTACTATTTTTTATTTTAACCATTTGGATAGGTAAGTCGTGATATCTCATTGTGGTCTTAATTTGCATTTCCCTAATGGCTGATATTTTCATGTGTTTATTTGCTATCTGTATGTAATCCTAATGAAATGTTTCTTCATATCTTTTGCCCATTTTCTAACCAGATTATTTTATTTTTTAATACTGTGTTCTGAGAATTTTTTATATATTCTAGCTACAAGTTCTTTGTCAGATACGTGTTTGCAAATATTTTTCTCTCTACAGCTTGTTTTCATCCTTCTAATAAGGCCTTTCACAGAGCAATAGTTTTAATTCTAATGAATTTTGATTTATAAATTTTTGTCTTTTACAGATTGTGCTTTTGGTGTTATGTCTAAGAACTCTTATCCAAGCACTTTTTACCAAAGACTTTCTCCTATATTATCTTCTAAAGGTTTTATATGATCCATTTTAGGTTAAATTTTTTTTTTTTTTTTTTGACAGAGCCTCGCTTTGTCGCCCAGGCTGGAGTGCAGTGGCGTGATCTCGGCTCACTGCAAGCTCCGCCTCCTGGGTTCACGCCATTCTCCTGCCTCAGCCTCCCGAGTAGCTGGGACTACAGGCGCCTGCCACCACGCCCGGCTAATTTTTTGTATTTTTAGTAGAGATGGGGTTTCACGGTGTTAGCCAGGATGGTCTCGATCTTCTGACCTTGTAATCCGCTCGCCTCGGCCTCCCAAAGTGCTGGGATTACAGGCGTGAGCCACCGCGCCTGGCCTTGAGTTAATTTTTGTATGACATGTGAGATGTGAGGTTTAGGTCGAGGTTCCTTTTTGCCTATGGATATCCAACTGTTTTTCAGCACCATTTGTTGAAAAGACTATCCTTCCTCCACTGAATTGCTTTTGCACTGTTGTAAAAAGTCAGGTGGCCATACTTGTGCTGGGCTATTTCTGGGTTCTCTAGGCTGTTACATTGATCTATGCATCTATTCATCTGACAATACCACATAGTCTTTGTGATGGCAGATATATAATACAGTTGGCCGTTGAACAGTGCACAGGTTAGGGGTACCAATGCATATTTTGTATGTTATATATTTACAGAGTGTATTCTTACAATAAAGTAAGCTAAAGAAAAGAAAATGTTAAGAAAATCTTCATGAAGGGGAAATATATTTACTATTCATTAAGTGGAAGTGGATCATCATAAAGATCTTCATCCTTGTCATCTTCACATTGAGTAGGCTGAGAAGGAGGATGGAGAGAAGGGGTTGGTTTTGCTGTCTCAGGGACGGCTGAAGCAGAAGAAAATCTGTGTATATGTGGACCCAGACAGTTCAAATCTGTTGTTCAATGGCCAACTGCAAATTTTAAAATTAGGTAAAATAATTCTCCCCATTTTGTTTTTCTTTTAAACATCGTTTTAACTACTACAGTTCATTTACTTTTCCACATACATTTTAGATTAATCTTGTCTATATCCATAAAAAAATCTTGCTAGCATTTTAATAGGAATGTGTTAAATCTGTGTATCAATTTGAGAAGAACTGACATTTCTATTACCTTAGAGTCTCCCTTCCAGTTCATGAACACGGCATGTCTTTTTGTATATTTATTCCATTATCATTCCATCCATATTCCATTATAGGTTTTTTCCATTATCATTTCATAGTTTTTGGCTTACAAGTCTTATATGTATTTTGTTAGATTTACAATCACGTGTCTCATTTTTCCGGACAATTCTAAATGGTATCATATTTTAAATTTCAGTGTTTATTGATAGCATGTAGAAATAAAATATATTTTTGTATGTTGATCTTGTATCCTACAACTTTGTTGAAGTCCCTTATTAGTTTTAGAAGGCTGTTCGTAGATTTAAAAAAAAATCTTTGTAATTTTTTTTGGAATTTTCTATGTAGATGGAATTTGTCATCTGCAAATAGGGACAGTTTTATTTCTTCCTTTCTAATGTATACGCATTTTCTGTCCATTTCTTTCATTATTACTCTGGCAAGACCTCCCATTACTCTCATAGCAGTGGTGAGAACAAGCAGCCTTACCTTGTTCTTGATCTTGGGGATCTCATTTAAAACATTTTTTGCTACTTTCTTCTAGCTTCCAATGTTTCTGAAGAGAAACCTGTCCTTTGAATTTTTTTTTTCCCAGAAGTAATGCTTTAAAAAATTTGCTTTTCAGCTTTCAGAGGTTGAGTTATGATGTGTGTTGGTGAGTATGTGTTCCGTTGTTGGGGTACCTCATTACAGCCTGGCCAGGGTGGAAGTCCAGGTTCCCTATTCAGCCTTTGCTGGTGGGAGTGAGGGCACAGTTTTCTTCTGTGATTGTTGGTGGAGTAGACGGGTTATTGTTTAAAACCCTTCTGTCTTGCTGGGCTGCCTATTTCTTGGTTCTTTGGCTACAGAGACCAAGGTTTTGGGAGCTTTTTCCATCTGTGCCCATTGGCATTTCTGGATTGCTGACATCTCCGTTACCCAGTCTTCATACACCCAAAGATGTATGAAGTAAAAGAAAGTAAAAAGAAACCCAGGGTACTTACTGCTCTGTCCTTCCTCATGTCCCAGGTCCCTAACCAGTCTGCCTCCTTCTCTCTGCCTTTCAGAGTCATCTTATATTTGTTTTATTCGTAAAGTCCAGAGTTTGTAACTGTATGTAGTGAGAAGAATAGCAAAAAAGCATCCCTACTCCATTTTTCTGCAAATGGAAGTCCTTGTTGGGCTTTAATGTCAAGGTGATGCTCGCCACATAAAAGGAGATGGTGACCACTTTCTTTTCTCTACAAGCCTTTGTTTCAAGTGAAACTATTCATCCTCACATGTTTATTGGAACTTGCCAGTGAGGCCAGTTGGACCTGAAGGGATTTTTTTTTGTTGTTTTCTTTCTCTCTCTCTCTTTTTTTTAATAGGAAGGTTTTCAATAACACATTTGTTTTTAAAACAGTTATATTCTGTTTTCTTCTATTTTTCTTATGTATTACATATTACATATATATCTTTCTATAAGTTATCTATTTTATATAAATTTTCAAATTTGTGAACATAGTTATATAAAATATATACATTGTCATTTTTAAATATCAACCATTTTCCTCAAATTTTATTTATAAATTATTTAAAGGACATTACTAACCAGCATTCTTTCAGTAAATTATTTTCCCCCTTAGTTAGCCAGAGTTGGTCAGAGTTGGATTCTCTTACTCATAAACAAAACACCCTAACTAATACACTTATTGTCCAGAAAATGGAGAGACATGTATAGTGTAGTTGCGGCAAATTGCTTTTCAATAAATTTCCACAAAAAATCTATTCCTTCTGTTTTCTGAGAGATACCTAGAGCCTGATTTAAGAGGTGTGAGCTAAGGCCCTCCCGTTTCTTTTCGACACACTGCTAACAATTGTGTTCTCAGCAATAGGAACTGAAAAGTGTCCATACAACTCATAAATTGTTCCCACTTCAATAGAACAGAAATTACTTTGCTTTTCAGGAGTTACTACAAAAAGTCCTAGAGAAAGAAAAAAGAAAAAAACAAAAACAGAATCCCAAAAAAGTCCTAGAGAGTGAGAGGAAGGAATGCTTTTTCAGTTGCTTCACATTTAGAATCCCATTCTAGCTTTGAATTTTCCAAACAGTACTTGGCATAGAGTAGCACTAAATATATGATTTCTATGATTTTTGCATATATTCTTGAATGATGAGGGTTATTTGCATTTTGTAATTTTTAATCATACATTTTCCTAAAAACGATATACAGAGGAAATACATGAATGGTTTTGGCTCCCTCTGCTGGCCATTTATATGCACTTTAGGTTTTACACAGAACAAAATCAAGACCACTTTTTCAAATGGATTTGGAATTTTTTCAAAAAGATTATTTAAGGCTGGGTACCATGAGATTTTTATCTTTTCTTTGGAATAAAAGATGATTTTCTCAAGATTTTGTTTCTTTTTTTAAAAGTCAGGGTCTCACTTTGTTGCCCAGGCTGGAGTGCACAATCATAGCTCACTGTAACCTCAAATTCCTGGGCTCAGATGATCCTCCTGCTTTAGCCTCCTGAGTAGCTGGGACTACAGGTGAGAGCCACCACGCCCGGTTAACTTTTAATTGTATTTAACTTTTTAAGATCAGGGCTCGAGTGCTATGTTGCCCAGGCTGGTCTCTAATGCCTGGCCTCAAATGATCCTCCTGCCTCAGTCCTCCAAAGCCCTGGGATTACAGGTGTGAGCCACCATGCCTGGCACTATTTAAACTTTTCAATTTAATTTTTCAAATTTATACTTCAAAAAACTTTAACATTATAACTGTTATAACATTATAACTTTAAAAAAGGATACATTTAGCACAATAAATGAAGTTTAGAAAATGTTTTAGATAAAAGGCCTGACTCCTGCTATGTCTCTTTCTCAAGCTGTCTGTGGTGAAGGTACCCAGTTATAGAGACTGATGCCATTCCATATTGCCATAACAATGCCTCCCTCAGTCCAGTCAATTCCTCGGCCATTCTCCAAAGCAGCTATTTAAACGTTTGGCCTTTTTAACTCCCGACTTCTTTATCCTCTTCTCAATATTGCTGTTTTCTTGGAAATGATAGAGACCATCCGATACATAACTTTGACATTCTGATTTTTTCTCCTGCCCCCAATCCTACTAAGAGTCTCTATCCATACCTCTTTTTTGCCTCCACTCTTGTAGTTTCAGTGAAACAACTTTCTCTCCTGTTAAAGGACAGTCAATTGGGATGGATCCCTTTTCCCTGGGTTCTTTAGGAACAGCACTGTATGAAACATTATCATCTCTCTCTTTTCTATATCTTTGTTGGCTTTTAATGATCATGTGATCATACACTTATTGTTTACGTCAGCTGGGATCTTTCAACTGCAAACAGCTCTGGCTAATTTAAGCAAAAAAAAAGGGGGGTGGGGGGCACTAGATCTAAGAAAATGCAGAAAAGGTTGGCCTCAGGAAGAAAAGGCACCAGGCCAGTTTTATGAGCTGGGTAGCCACACATCATGAAGCAGGGACCAACCATCAGAAACTTTGCTGAGCTGGGGGAGAGAGCTGAACTGCCAGGTGTCAGACTAGTTAAAACAACAAGACAAATGTGAAAGAGGTAAGGGTGTAATCACTTACTGTGATGGTATATGCAAGAATCTAAAAGGAGATTGCTGTGAGATTTAATGAGATAATGCTTGTAAAGCATCAGAAACAATCCTGGGTACACAGCAAACATAACTTGATAAATGATGGCTATCGTTACGTATTCAGAGCATCCACAGTGCCCTGTATTCAGATGAATCATGACACTTTTTCACTTCACTGTTGTTTTGTGGCCTCATACTGATGTGTAAGTTCCTTAGAAGCTTAGGAGAAGGGATTGTGTTTTTTAAGCGCAAGATCCCTAGCACAGAGCTTGGCACAAGGTAGATATTCAATAAATGCATGCTGGATAATGGTAAGAGACAACCTGGATTACATGTTAAGCGCATATGAAAGTAAAGTAAAATAGGTGTGGTTACAAAAGGTCCTCTAGGTTTCCTAAATAGTAGCATAAATTATTTACATTAAAATATTTGATTATTAACAGGCATGGAGGTGCATGCCTGTAATCCCAGCTACTGGGGAGGCTTAGGCAGGCAGACTCCCTGAGCTTAGGAGTTTGAGATCAGCCTGGGCAACATAGTCAGGCCCCATCTCAACCATATCATCTTGGTTATCATTTTTACTTTTTCAAATACTGACTCCTTGTATAAATAGAATTTGAGAGTCTGTCAGACAAAATCTTTTCCTTTCCTTTGTTGTCCTATGACCACCACCACCAGCATCCTCATCGCCAACATAATTGTCTTCAAGTGCTTTAAGCAATCATTGAATAATAATCTTCTTGGTTAGTTTGTCCAGCAAGAAATCCCTGTTGCACGTTAGATTCCTCAGGAAGCAGAATCTGAGATGAGATTCACAAGCAGGAAGTTGAGTGCTGTTGAGTTGAATGCTTAGAAGGGATAGAAGGGAAACAGGGTTGGGTAGAGGGAGAGATTGGGCTGCAATGCAGTCACAATAAGCCCTCAGCTGGCCCCCCAGGAGCTGCGAATTGGAAATGGCTCTTCAGTGTTGTTCCAAGTTGATATCAAAAGGACACAGTGGTGTGCTAGAACTGACTCATTCCAGCTTGGGAGGTGATTGTGTGCATCTCTTCCCCAATGGCCATTCATTGATCACACTTTGGTACTTGATATGGGCTATAGTAGAAATATCAACACTATAGAAACTGGTTAAATGCTACAAATTAGGGCATTTTTCTCTCTTCAGAGATCTGGTTGTTAAATATTACCAGTCAGATACAGACTGCACTGAGAAGTGGACGTGGCCTTGGGCTAAGTGGTACTCTTTAGGTGAGGCAATTCCTGAAGAGGACTGACAGCTCAGCAGTGTCAGTCAGCACCCTTCACTGCAGCTGTGAGAATACATCCTTCCCTCAAAGGGAGGCTTTGGGTGGCACCGCATAGCATTCACAATGGTGCCTGTGACGGATTTGTGCTGCTATGGAAAGTGTAACGGTGATAATATTTCTAAGTTTTGTAAGTGTCATTTTGACAGTAGTACTCCTTTCATAATTCAAAAAGTTGAAAATAGTTAATAGGTTTAAAATAAATAAACTTTATCTTCTACAACTGTTTTAGAAACAGAAAAATTGTGAAGACTGTAAAAGTGGCCATATACTCCACACCCAATTTCCCGTATTACTGACAAATGAGTACGGCATATTTGTTAAAATGAAGGAACCAATAATAAGAAATTATTGTTAACCAAAGTCCATGCTTTATCCATATTTCTTACTTATTGCCCAGTGTCCTTTTTGTGTTCCAGGATCCCACTGAAAATACCACATTACATTTAGTCATCGTGTCTCTTTAGGCTCTTCTGGACTGTGATAGTTTCTTGGGCTTTTCTTGTTTTTGATGACCTTGACAGTTTTGAGGAGTCCTAGTCAAGTATTTTGTAGAATGTCCCCTTGGAATTTGTCTGACATTTTTCTCATAATGAAACCAGAGTTATGGGTTTCTGGAAGAAGACACAAAGACCAATTGCCATTTTCATGACACCATACCAAGAGTACTTACTAGCAACATGATTCATCACTGATAATGTTGGCCTTGATCATCTGGTTGAGGTGGTGTTTGTCAGGATTCTTCACTGTAAAGTGACTCTACCCCTACCACCCTTACAAACTGCACTCTTTGGAAAGAAGTCACTATGTGTAGCCTATAATTAAGGAGTAGAGAGTTATGCTTCCCTCTCTTCAGGGATGGGTATTTATATAAATTATTTGTAATTTTACGCAGGAAATTTTGTCTTCTCTCCCTTCTATTTACTCAATAATTATTCAATTATTTAAATAATGGAATAATTTATTAAATTATTTGTTTAGATCAGTATGGACTTGTGGATATTCATTTTATCATTTGGTTTTAAGCTATTAGGAGTTTTTTTCAGTTGCGTTCTATGGTCCTTTAACATATCTGAATCATTGTGAGTTTTAAAATTTTATTTTAAATTTTTAGCACTTCCTTACTCCCTGCACTACAAGGTGTCCCAGGCTCATTTTGTACTTACTGCCCCAGTCCTAGAATCAGCCATTTCTCCAACAAGTCCAGGTTCTTTTTATTGGAGAATATTAGAAACCAAGATTAGGGCACTAGGTGTGATTGAGTTAATAGGCTTTCACACTAAAGTTAAACCTCAAATCAAATGTTCCACAATTATATATTTACCAAGTTGACCTTGATGAACAAATTCTGCCATACAAAAATAAGGAAAAGTCATGAAGGAATCAAAAAAAATTTTATACACACATTTGAAACACAGTATTTTACCATTAGTTTGTCGAAACATGAAAGTATTGTGAAGCGTCTTGAATTCTGGAAAGACAGCTATGAAAATACAGTATTTCAACTCATTTTTCAAGATCTCAATAAAACTTACTAACTTCAAAGTAGAATAAATCAAGGAATCAAATAAAGTTATGTGTTTAGGGAAACACTATTTCTCTTTGAATGTAGTGTTCACAGATTTCTGCATCCTTAGACATACCATTTAACTAAATTGGCTGTCCAACCAAGAGCTTAAATCTTCACTGTAAAAGGGTTTGAAATAGTTTTATTTTATCTATCCCAGGCACCCATATGATACTGGGTATGATGAGGTCTCTAAAGAAGTCTAAGGATGGATCTATGCCTTTACAACAGTTGGCTAATGAAGAAAGGCAATCATATAGAATTCCTTGCTAAAATGTTTGCTTCATATAAGAAACCCTCTCAAAGTCCAGAGAAGAAGGTGAGTAGGTGGTGTACATTTTAGAAAGTGTGAACTGAGTTGGATCTTGAAGTCTTGAAGGTTTGGTTTCTCCACACAGATGCTATTGGCACCTTGGGTGGATAATTCATCATTGTGTGAGACTGTGATTCCTGCTATGTATCAGTAACATTTGTAAGGCATTGGAACAACTCAAATACCTCTACATATTCCCTTCTGGAGATGTAGGAACTGTGGGGAGAGTATATTACAAAGAAGAGACTACAAAACTAGACACAACTGAGAATGGGCATGGCATGCTGGAACAATGAGGAGACTGGGTAGAGTCATTCAAATAATCTGTATTTACCTATGGCTCTAAGGGGCAGATTGGAACCTCTCGAGCTCTTTGGCTTGTTAGAAGCACCACTTTGTCTTTAGCAATGCCACGCCGACTCTGATCCTGAAGGAAAGTAACTGTACCCATCTTGTTAATTTACTAATCTAAGCAAACTGTAAAGAAAAAACTTTTTAAAATCTTGTGTAAATAAAAAATAGGCAGTTACTCTGAAGAGATATATTTGCCTTTTTCCCAAATGCAATAATATTAATAATTTACTTTAGACCTTTCATTTAACACACAAAAATCTTAAGTATATTTTGATAATAATAAATTAATATTATTTACAAATTACCATAAGAATGATGTTAATGTTAGGTCCCACAAAGAATTTTTCTTGGCATGTAAAATATGTTAGTACCTAATATAAAATATCCTGGGCACATAACTAATTATCTTGGTCTTCATGATCTTTTGAATAGTAACTGATGGTAAAAATAATTAATTCTCATCATTGGAAGTTCAAGTAATACAGAGAAGGTAAAAACTTACAGAAAATCTCACCAGCCTGAAATAATTGTGGACATTAACCAAACCTAATTTTAGTAATCACTGTATGCATATTTATATCTAGATCTCAATCTATATGCTATATATCTAATATATGTGATACAGATATATAGAAATGATTTTATTAAAGTGGAAAAGAGAAGAAAAAAAACTATAGAAATTGCTGTATATTAAAGAGTTGTTTCCTTAACAAAGAGATGTTTGTCCCTAAAATATTCCTCTAAGATGGGGGTCACAAACTTAAATGCCTTTAGGCATAGGGACTTTATGACTCATGCAGCAAACTATAAAAATTAAGTTGCTTCTATTGTTTTCAAAATAAGAATCTCTCTGGTTACATTGTCTATGTCATCACTGAGTAGGTTAAACAAAATAAGCAAGCACAGTATTTCTATAGCCCATGAGCCATATTCAGACTAGAGTTCTCTAGAGTGCCACCTCTGCAAAGTTTTAAAGAGATTATGGAAACATTTGGGGCCTGGCATGGTGGCTCATGCCTGTAATCCCAGCACTTTGGGAGGCTGAGGCGGGCAGATCAAGAGGTCAGGAGATTGAGACCATCCTGGATAACATAGTGAAACCACATCTCTACTAAAAATACAAAAAATTAGCCAGGCGTGGTGGCAGGCACCTGTAGTCCCAGCTACTCAGGAGGCTGAGGCAGGAGAATGGCATGAACCCAGGAGGCGGAGCTTGCAGTGGGTGACAGAGTGAGACTCCAACTCAAAAAAAAAAAAAAAGATTATGGAAACATTTTAAGATGTTATAATCAATTTATTTTTTAAATAATGTATTTCATTTTAATTTTTTAAATTTTGTTGGGACATAGTAGGTATAGATATTTATGGGGCACTGTTGTATTTCTTTAAGAGAATGTTTGATTCATAGCATTTGCTTTGAAAGATAAAGAAATAAGTACTCTTAAAACTTTATTCCACCCAATTTTGTCCATTTAAAAATCAGTTGTCTAAGCTATATGATGATTCTATATTATCAAACATTATAACATTTCTACTTAATTTCATAAATTAACTAAATTTTAGTTTTATATGGATTTAATGTTCACTACATGCCACCGCATCTCTGCTACTGAGTTCTGTATTTTCATTAATCTCTTGGTTGGCTTGTTCTCAACTATTAGTTTTAACAAAAAGAGCCCATGAAAACTATGAATGCAGCCACGCTTAGTAAGATCTGACTTTTGCTTTAATATTGAATAGCATGTTCGCTTTTCTCGACCCTTTGTAGACATTGCTATGAAGAAGTCTGAAAGTTGTTGATTATTTTACTCTTGTAAGTGACATGCTTTTTTCACCATGTCGCTTGAATAAATTTTTCTTTATCCTTGGAATTTGATAATTTTACCAGAATCTGTCCCATAATCATCATATTCTATCAGTTTTTCCAAAAAATAATTTGCTCTTTCATTAGACTGTATATTCAGTTTTTCTGACATTACAGAGAAATGGTCTTCTATTAAATATTTGTTTTGATCATCCTACAGAGGCAAAATGGACTTTGTACACCAAGTTTGGTTAGGTGTTGATATGGTTTGGCTGTGTCCCCACCCACGTCTCACCTTGAATTGTAGCTCCCATAATTCCCTCATGTTGTGGGAGGGACTCACTGGGAGATAATTAAATCATGGGGGCGGTTCCCCCACACTGTTCTTGTGGTGGTGAATAAGCCTCATGAGATCTGCTGGTTTTATAAGGGGAAACCACTTTCACTTGGCTCATTCTTGTCTGCTGCCATATGAGACATGACTTTTGCCTTCTGCCATGATTGTGAGGCCTCCCCAGCCACGTGGAACTATGAGTCCATTAAACCTCCTTCTTTTGTAAATTGCCCAGTCTTGGGTATGTCTTTATCAGCAGTGTGAAAACAGACTGACACAGGTGTCTAGACTGATGATGCCATTCATGCAGCAGGGAGGTATGTAACAAGATTTATTACTTACATAATGAGGTTTTCTGGGGAGAGCAGAGCAGACTCTCAAGCAAAACCAAAAATGGCTTACGACAGCAGGGAAGGCCAATTGGCCTGGGGCTTTATGGTGGTTGGGGGTCGGGCCAGGATGAGGTTTCCCTGTTGCAGTCAGGGGCTTACGTGGCTTGAATTTCTCATCAGTGCCAGAGAAGGAAACAGCTGGGCTTAACACTTTGCCCAGATGTGGGGCAGAAGGGGAAGAGGGAGTAGTGGGGCTTGAAATCTGTCAGCCAACATCAAAAATGGAGTCAGACTCCTTATTATCATATTTGAAAGTATTTTTGTGTCTATTTGTTGGGTTCTTTGCCTTGGAGACAGTAATCTTTAGGTTGGTTTTTGTTATTAGTATCTACTTTGTGTTTGTCTCATTCTTTGCATTCACTCTGAATAGCCCCTCTGCCCTGTCCATAATTCAATTTAAAATTGTGTGCAGTCTTTTCCTTGCAGTTTCTAATTTACATCATAAGAAATGGTGTTTTTAATCCTTTCTTTGATTTCCGTGTTTTACATCTAATTTTGATATTTTGTCAAGTTGTCTTTTAGCTCGTTTCACTGAATTAATTTCCTTCTTAAGTTCTATCTCAAGAAGGATTCAAGTGGAATTTTTGTTTTTTGCATACTCTATACCTTTTATGTATTTTCCTGTAAAATTATTACACAACTGTCATGGCATTTCTTCCTATCCTACTTGTGTTTAGCATGAACAGCTCTGCCCAGACCTCTATTTTCTCTGGTATGTCTTCTTGGTTCTTTTTAATGTGAGATTGATTTGTCTTTCCATCTATGCTAGCTTGATGACTCAATATTCCATTCTACTTTTTAATAAAAGCTTAGGGTTGAGGGTAGCATTTATTAGTGGCTTTAGTTTTTACTTTCTTAGTTCTGAGATTTTGTCAACTGTCTTGTATCAAGATTCACTTGACTGGTATGGGCATGTCCAGTAGCTGAGGGGGTATCCCCCAGGCTTCAGATCAGTCCTCCTTTAATGGTAGAGTCCCGGAACCTCTGATTCTTCCTGAGTCAGCCCTGGTTTTTACTTCCCCATTTCATTCTTTCATTTCCACTTAGTATAGAGAAAGAATCAGAGTGCCTGTGGGTTTCAGCCAGTGTTAACATTAAGGCAGGCAGGGTGAGGGAAGGCTATTTTCACTGTAGCTTCAATGTAATCATCTTTTCCACTGGCTTTTTGTGTGGGTGTCTTATTTTTTATTTTCTCTTTTATCTTCAACTTTCATAGCTTCCTATTCATCATTTGAGATAATTAGATGTATTTTGTTTTTCTGCCTTTTTGCTCTACTTTTTCCCTCACTCAGATACATCAAAAGAGTGACCTCCGGAGCTTCCTCTGGACTCCGCTAGTCCTGCATCAGCCTCAGGCATTTATATTCTCCAGGTATTTTTCATGATTTCTTCTTGGCTGACTATATACCTCCAATTCTGCTCCTCTCCAAGTTTGGGGATATAAAGAGAACGCTCATGGTTTTGTGGAAACCTTCTTTTCCTAGCACAGTTTCAGCAAGTTGGGGACCACCTTTAGGATCCAGCTTAGCTAAGGCAGAAGTTCGGTTTCTTTTCTCGTCAGATCATTTTTCAAGTGTAGTATTAACTTATGCTTGTTTGTTTGTTTGCTGTTAATAAGTTGATTTCTTTTTCCTGTTGTCTATTTATGATGTTTACTTTTTTTAGTTTTTTTTACTAGCTGTGGCGTAAAAGGGAGTCTGTAATCTTGCCTCACTCTGACATGTCCACCGATTCTTTTCAAATGGTGTTCACAGGTGAAAATTACTGAAGAAAGCACTCTGTCTTTCACACATCCTATGTGTAAATATCGGTCCTGTTAATGGCACAGACCTCTGGGAGGCAGGACGGGAAAAACTAGGTGCAAATGAAAATGGACGAGTGATAATTTGAGATGGTCTTCAACTTTTAAGTTTGAGAATACATTAGGAGGGGATCTGTTCATATATTATAAAGTGTATTTTTGCTACATTTTAATAAATATTTCCCTCTCATCCTCTTCCCCACCCTCCATTTGTTTAAGGGTGGGTGAACATAAATATTGTTTTTTATGGGAAAATGTGGCCTACACCCTGGATACTATTCTCTGTTTCTTGCTTCTGTTTTTTTTTTTTTTTTTGAGACACAGTCTCACTCTGGCACCAGGCTGGAGTGCAGTGGCACGATCTCGGCTCACTGCAACCTCCACCTCCCGGATTCAAGTGATTCTCCTGTCTCAGCCTCCTGAGTAGCTGGGACTACAGGTGCGCACCACCATACCCAGCTAATTTTTGTATTTTTAGTAGAGACAGGGTTTCACCATGTTGGCCAGGATGGTCTCAATCTCTTGACCTCGTGATCTGCCCTCCTCGGTCTCCCAAAGTGCTGAGATTACAGGCGTGAGCCACTGCGCCCGGCCATTTCTTGCTTCTTTCTACAGTACAGCCTGTTGTGCAAATATTCAGAGAATAGATTGTGTTCAAGCATTCTTTATTCCCTATGTGTATCACATTAAACAGGAATATTCACATAAGTAACTCATAAATAAAAATATGTAATTTTAAAACTTTATCCCCCTAGGACTCTGGGGAGGCAATGTGAAATGAACAATTACATGTTTACTATCTAGAAGGCTGTTCTTCAGTTCCACTTCAATTGATTCTCTCACACCTATGAGGCAAGTGCTGACTGCAGAGCTAAAAACAGGGCTAGAAACTGCATGTGTGTGATGGTAAGGAGAGGGAGAAGAGCGTGTGCAGTGCGGGGTGGGAAAGAGGAAAACTGGGGCAACAGCGTCTGCAGGTGAACGTGACAAAGCTGTTCAATATGAAGTTTGTGTTTTATAGTCAGTCTGGCAGTCAGACATGGGTAGCAGATAGTTTGAGTCTCCTGCCTTTATACGTCTCTTTGCTAGATGCATTTGATGAACTCAGGATAAGTTGTAGGACTTCAGACTTTCAAAATGTTAAGGAACTGGGTCACATAGTTGGGCAACCCTTTGCCAGAACAATCTGAGGTACATAATAAAATGCCTGCATCCCCCTATTTGAGAATATATATCAAAAAATTACTTAAAAGATCATTTCAGCTGGACTAGGTTTCTGGGGACACTATTCTGGTGGGTGAGTAGGTGTTACTCTTCCTCCAAAGATAATCATTTGCATTTGGGACTGGAATGTCGAAGGATAGATTTGGGTGAGGATCCCTGGTGTCTTCAGAGTTCCTTTAGGGTTGGGGGAAGACTTCTGGGAGAAAAACACCCCAGATCTTGGCTTTACATCACTGGGTGTCAAAAATATAAATCACGCCTGATGGGGGGAGGGCGAGTGTACAGTGGCGCTGTAGGTAGAGGCCACTAAGGAGCCCTTCCAAACAGGACAAAGCTCACACTCAGAGGGAAGTTTTAGCTTCCAGGATACAGGGAGGGCTGACACCAGAACTTACTCCAAGTTGTGCCATGATGTACTCTGGGCAAACTAGGTGAATGTGAATTGAAAAAGCTGCACAGTAAAGACTGAAGCAGTTAGGGCCTAAGCACCTCTTGTTTTGAGACTCCACTAAAGGCTAGAACTGTCTCCAAGTTATGCCCCTCCCCAGGTAAGTTCAGCCCCACTTGTTTCCAAGGCTTCAGCATGTTGCTCTACTTTCCTGACAAAATGGCCCCTGGAAACTCTGACAGTTGCCATGGTTTAAAGCTCCTGTCACTCACTGCCACCCTTGGCAGGGCAGAGGGAGGGGGATAAGGAAGGGGCTATGGGCAGGGACTGAACCATGGGTTCCTCTTCTGCTATAGCTTCAGGACTCAGTTCCTATTCTATTGGAACCAGGGAAGCTCTGAATTTTCCAGTGGGGCTGCCTAGAGGCACCAGGTGACATATCCTAGAAATGCAGGAGCATGAGTTATAGGACAAATTTTGATGAAGAAAGAAAAAATTGGAAAGAGTTCACAGACAATTTCTTTCTTCCACTCCCACGCCATGTTGTTCCAAGACACAGTGATTCTGAATAGCCTCTCTGGAAATATCCCAGAGTACTGAGAAATAAGCTAGGTTTTGAAGCTGTAACCAGTTCGATAACATGCCACCCTGTATTTGCTTTCTCCTTACCTTTCCTTAGTTTCCCTTTTGCCTGCATTCCTACTCCCTTGCAATTATAGTTCCTGATGAAGGATGTATAATAACTAGGCTTGTTTTCTAGAAAAGTCAGGCTAATACAGAATGTAATAAAAAGTGGACTTCATAAAAGTTTGCAATGGATATTTTACTTGGCTGGCAAGATGGCCGAATAAGAACAGCTCCAGCATGCAGCTCCCAGCCAGACCAACGCAGAAAGCGGGTGGTTTCTGCACTTCCAACTGAGGTACCCGGTTCATCTCATTGGGACTGGATAGACAGTGGGTGCAGCCCACAGAAGGTGAGCAGAAGCAGGGTGGGACATTGTCTCACCCGGGAAGTGCAAGGGGTCAGGGAACTCCCTTCCCTAGCCAAGTGAAGCCTTGAGGGAAGGTGCCATCCGGCCCAGATACTACGCTTTTCCCAGGGTCTTCACAACCCGCAGACTAGGAGATTCCCTCAGGTGCCTACACCACCAGGGCCCTGGGTTTCAAGCACAAAACTGGGAGGCCGTTTGGACCGTGCTAGCTGCAGGAGTTTTGTTTGACTCCAGTGGTGCCTGGAATGCCAGCGAGACAGAACTGTTTACTCCCGTGGAAAGGGGGCTGAAGCCATGGAGCCAAGTGGTCTAGCTCAGTGGATCCCACCCCCATGGAGCCCAGCAAGCTAAGATGCACTGGCTTGAAATTCTCACTACCAGCATAGCAGTCTGAAGTCAACCTGGGACGCTTGAGCTTGGTGGGCGGAGGGGCGTCTGCCATTACTGAGGCTTGAGCAGGCGGTTTTCCCCTCATTGTAAACAAAGCCGCTGGGAAGTTCCAACTGGGTGCAAACCCACTGCAGCTCGGCAAAGCCACTGTAGCCAGACAGCCTCTCTAGATTCCTCCTTCCTGGGCAGGGCATCTCCAAAAGAAAGGCAGCAGCCCCAGTCAGGGGCTTATAGATAAAACCCCCATCTACCTGGGACAGAGCACCTGGGGGAGGGGTGGCTGTGGGTGCAGTTTCAGCTGACTTAAACATTCCTGCCTGCTGGCTCTGAAGAGAGAAGCGGATCTCCCAGCACAGCACTTGAGCTCTGCTAAGGGACAGACTGCCTCCTCAAGTGGGTCCCTGACCCCCATGCCTCCTGACTGGGAGACACCTCCCAGCAGCGGTGGACAGACACCTCATACAGGAGAGCTCCAGCTGGCATCTGGTGGGTACCCTCTGGGACAAAGCTTCCAGAGGAAGGGGCAGGCAGCAATCTTTGCTGTTATGCAGCCTCTGCTGGTGATACCCAGGCAAACAGCATCTGGAGTGGACCTACAGAAAACTCCAGCAGACCTGCAGAAGAGGGGCCTGACTGTTAGAAGGAAAACTAACAAACAAAAAACAATAGCATCAACATCAACAAAAAGGACACCCACATAAAAATCCCATCAGAAGGTCACCAACATCAAAGACCAAAGGTAGATAAATCCACGAAGATAAGAAAAAACCAGCGCAAAAAGGCTGAAAGTTCCAAAAACCAGAATGCGTCTTCTCATCCGAAGGATCACAACTCCTCACCAGCAAGGGAACAAAACTGGATGGAGAATGAGTTTGATGAATTGACAGAAGTAGGCTTCAGAAGGTGGGTAATAACAAACTCCTCTGAGCTAAAGGAGCATGTTCTACCCAATGCAAGGAAGCTAAGAACCTTGATAAAAGGTTACAGGAACTGCCAACTAGAATAACCAGTTTATAGAAGAACATAAATGACCTGATGGAGCTGAAAAACACAGCATGAGAACTTTGTGAAGCATACACAAGTATCAATAGCTGAATCAATCAAGCAGGAGAAAGGATATCAGAGATTGGAGATCAACTTAATGAAATAAAGCATGAAGACAAGATTAGAGAAAAAAGAATGAAAAGGAACGAAAAAAGCCTCCAAGAAATGTAGGACTATGTGAAAAGACCAAACGTATGCTTGATTGGTGTACCTGAAAGTGATGGGGAGAATGTAACCAAGCTGGAAAACACTCTTCAGGATATTATCCAGGAGAACTTCCCCAACCTAGCAAGGCAGGCCAACATTCAAATTCAGGAAATACAGAGAACACCTCAAAGATACTCCTCGAGAAGAACAACCCCAAGACACATAATCGTCAGATTCACCAACGTGGAAATGAAGGAAAAAATGTTAAGGGCAGCCAGAGAGAAAGGTCAGGTTACCCACAAAGGGAAGCCCATCAGACTAACAGCGGATCTCTCTGCAGAAACCCTACAAACCAGAAGAGAGTGGGGGCCAATATTCAACATTCTTAAAGAAACGAATTTTCAACCCAGAATTTCTTATCTAGCCACACTAAGCTTCATAAGCGAAGGAGAAATAAAATCCTTTACAGACAAACAAATGCTGAGGGATTTTGTCACCACCAGCCTGCCTTACAAGAGCTCCTGAAGGAAGCACTAAATATGGAAAGGAAAAATCAGTACCAGCCATTGCAAAAACAGACCAAAATGTAAAGACCATTGACACTATGAAGAAACTACATCAACTAATGGGCAAAATAGCCAGCTAGTATCATATGACAGGATCAAATTCACACATAATATTAACCTTAAACGTAAATGGGCTAAATGCGCCAATTAAAATACACAGACTGGCAAATTGGATAAAGAATCAAGACCCATTGGTGTGCTGTATTCAGGAGACCCATCTTGTGTGCAAAGAAACACATAGGCTCAAAATAAAGGGATGGAGAAATATTTACCAAGCAAATGGGAAGCAAAAAGAAGCCGGGGTTGCAATCCTAGTTTCTAGCAAAACAGACTTTAAACCAACAAAGATCAAAAAAGACAAAGAAGGGCATTACATAATGGTAAAGGGATCAATGCAACAAGAAGAGCTAACTATCCTAAATATATATGCACCCAATATAGGAGCACCCAGATTCTAAAGCAAGTTCTTAGAGACCTACGAAGAGACTTAAGACTCCCACACAATAATAGCAGACAACTAAAAGGACTTTTCATGGACATAGATGTCTATATTCCAGAGAATGCAGAAATATCTTGGGTGAGGTTCTCATTTGAGGTGTGAAACTATTCACAGCATCACGCCTTTATAGAAACATGGTAATAAGAAGTAATCAGCCCATCATTGAAAATGAAGAGCATTAGAGTGAGTCGCCTCTGTGTCCACTGGAGACTTGCTTTTGTGAACACCTAAGAGGTCTGGGTTTTGTTTTCTAAGGAGGGTAGAATGTTTCTTTTACATACGTACCACATTATTTAAATCTCATTAAGATCCAAGGGAGCAGACATTATTCTCATCCCCATTACAGATTGGGAATGAGAAACTTGTTGAGGTTAAGTACTTTGTCCAAGGTTACATGGATTTGGGATTTGAGCCATCTTGATGCTCTTTTGCTCAAAATTCTGGCTATATATTTTTAAGGCAATCAGAGGGTGAACTTCATTAGGGATTTGAAACAGTTTTAGTTGGTTAGTGGTTCTACTTCAGGTAAGGAATCAAGACAAAAGGGAAATGATTCAAAGAATGAGGGAACTGGGACCCTTTTAAGTTGCAGATGAGGTCATCTGTGTTTGGATCAGAGACCTATAATTTATGTAGATTCACATACATCTTTTTCAGATATGCATACATTGGGGACTGTAGAGTGTTGTGGAACTAAATGTATTTGTATGTGTTCAACACACTGTATAATTGACTCAATTATCCATGTGGAGATTATTCAGATTTAATGTGCAATCTGGTTTCTCCTTTCAGTTAGGTTGTTCTTGGGCTGCTCCAGGAACTCCAACTAATTTAAATAATAATTTAAGTAAAACATAATTAGGAAGGAAAATTAAATTCAATTTTTTGGCAGCTCTTGAATATTCTACTGCTGAAACGTAACTAATCCATCCACTATCTTTTAATTCACCAATGCCTTTTTAGTACCACAGGATTTTACTGCTTTCTATAGATTATTGCAGTAGTTTCCAGGTAGCTCTCCTGCTTACCTCTTTCCATTTCAATCATCATTCTGCTGACAGCAACCTTCAAAAATCCAACTCCCACTGCAAAATTTCTTTGGTTCAAAACATTTAATGGATAGAAAAAACATTTAATGCTTACCCATTTCTCACCAGATTAAGTGCACATGCCACAACCAGTCATTAAAGGCTTTTTCTAGTCTAAATTCCTGTTCTTCAAACGTCAAACCGCCCTTCTACTCTACTGACCTGAAACACACAGCCTCACCCTCCACATCTCTGCAGACCCACCGCATTTGCCACCTGCCCTAGGGAGCTTTTCCTGATCTTACCTCGGATGCCTTTCACTGCTCCCACATCTGAATTCCTTTAACTCACTCCATGTTTTTCTCAAAGGCAGACCAAGGTATTTATGCAAACATGGTGTCTCCCTAGTCTTGGGTGAGGTCTTTGACATCACTCACTGCAGCGATTCATCTCCCCTACTCTGCACTGTCAGACTCTAAAGAAGGGTGCAACAAATACTTGTCCATTTAGACTGCCGGCAAACCCTGAGGGCAGGAATTTTGGCCTTTTGTATCTCCAGTGCCTAGAACAGTGCTTGGTACACAGTAGGCACTCATTCATTGAACGTTGCTGAAGGAATTGAACGTACATACTACAAGCCCTGCAGATGCAGATACAGGAGGGGTTGACGGCACAGTGCTTAGGGTGGAACTGGAGGCACCACCTCTCCTGAGGGGTGATGCGCCGCTTCCTGGGCAGGCTCGGGGGAGCTCGCTCAAATGCCTGCCTCTCTGTAGCCCAAACGCTGGAAAAAAAAATACTCACAAATCACCTATCCAAGTATGTACACACAGGCTCACTTAAACCCGCCCTATTAAAAAAATATACACACGCACACACCATTTATCCAAGTATGTATACACGGGCTTGCTTAAACCTGCCCTATTAAAAATAATAATGTATATATTTATGCACGAACATACACACATATATCTATACAGGTCTGTACATAGACTTGCTTAAACCTGCCCTATTAAATACAGACACACACCCCTATCCAGGTATGTACATACATATATAATATATAAATATAAAGACATATATATGCACAGACTTAACTCCAACACGATTGGAGTGTCGGGAGGGCAACTGGGCTGCCCTCTCCGCCCTCCAGGACTGCGGGACAAGTCTCCCGGCGCCCGGGTCGCAGGAGACCCGGAGCCCTAAAACGGCCCCTGCGCGGCTTGGGCCTTCCGGCTTTCCGTCCGCCGCGGCCGCCATTGGCTGGGTTCGGCGCAGCTAACAGACGGCGGCAGTGCGAGAAAGCCGAAGATGGCGGTCCCCGCGGCGCTGATCCTACGGGAGAGCCCCAGGTAGCTGATCCGTTAAGCTCTTGCGGTAGCCGCGCCCAGGAAGGCCCAGATCGGGCTCGCACAAGGCTGTCCTTGCTGCCTGCCGCCTGGGCGCCGCGGCGGGCCCGGTTGAGTGGGGTGGGGTGGGGTGGGCTGCCGAGGTTGCGACGCTGCGTCTGCGGAGTGCGTGGGGCCGTGTAGCGCCTCTACAGTCACGGTGGTCCACCTGTGGGGCTCACAGTGCGCCTGGCAGCTGAGGTCTGTACGGAAGCGTGTGGTCTGCAAGCGTGGGGTCTGCGTCACTGTTCGCGGAGTTTGGTATCAGAAGTTCCCGGGTGCTGCCTTCAGTGCTGCCGAATCACGTGGAACGGTATTCCGTTTCCGATTTCAGTTCCGGTTCAGACACTCTGGTGGGAAAGGCTCACGCTGCTGCTGGAGGGTCTTTAATAGCCAACATGTGTTAATACCCCTTTTAAATCAGTATCGAATAGGGGACCGAATTTTTGGTTGGTAGAAGAATCTAGCCTGGCTTTGGTAGCATTTGCTTTTATTTGCATTTTAAACAGATTTTTAGTTAATTTCTACTTATGGTAGATAAAGTTGGTTGTCCATGGTAGTGATATAAAGCTCCCCTTTAACATTATTTAAGTAAAAAAAGACTCAATTTGTGAAAAAATAAGCAATAGTGCAGGTAGCGTGTGGATACAGAAAAAGTACTGAAGTATATAGGCAAAATAGTGTTCGGAAGTAATTTCTTTGTGCTTGGATTGGGTAGAAATCTTTCAGAAGAAAAGAGTTATTTTAAAGTTTTTCCTTCTTTCTGGATTCCTTTTGTTACCAGTGGAGGGTGTCCAGGTTCTTGGCGTCTTGAACAAAGAACTGGAGAAGACGCACAAAGAAAGCGAGGAAAGAATGAAGAAGACATTTATTGAAAATGAAACTACCCTCCACAGTGTGGGAGCTGCTTGAGCATAGGGGCTGAAGGGCCCCTACAGAATTTTTGGGAATTTAAATACCCTCTAGAGGATTCCATTGGTTACTTGGTGTACTCCCTATGTAAATGAAGAGGATGAAGTAAAGTTACAAAGTCATTTTCTCCGCCTATGCCATATGGAGAGGACATTTCTTGTCATAGCTGAAGTGGGAATCAGCTTTATGTTCCCAGCCTCCTGACCCTATTTTCCTGCCTCACTTTGGTTCTGATCGCCAGTTTCTTTCCTCATACCAGTGTCTTGGGGAACACCGCTACATCAGTAAACTGTATCCAATATGGTGCAGTATAGAATTGTTCTCATCACATCATTTAAAGTTGATTATTACAGGAAAGGTGCTGTGGCTCATGCCTGTAATTCCAGCACTTTGGGAGGCTGAGGCGGGCTAATCTCTCTCTCTTTTTTTTCCCTGAGAGGGCGTTTCCCTCTTGTTGCGCAGGCTGGAGTGCAATGGCGCCATCTCGGCTCACTGCAGCCTCCGCCTCCTGTGTTCAAGCGATTCTCCTCCCTGAGCCTCCTGAGTAGCTGGGATTACAGGCACCCGCCACCACGCCCAGCTAATTTTTTGTATTTTTAGTAAAGATGGGGTTTCACCATGTTGGCTAGGCTGGTCTGGAACTCCTGGCTTCGGGTGATCTGTCCTCCCTGGCCTTGCAAAGTGCTGGGATTATAGGGGTGAGCCACTGCAGGACTGATTGAGCTCAGGAGTTCAAGACCAGCCTGGGCAACAGGGCAAAACTCTGTCTCTACAAAAAATACAAAAATTAGCCAGCGCTGTGGCCCGCGCATGTAGTTCTAGCTACTTGGGAGGCTGAGGCACAAGGATTCTTAGAACCCAGGAGGCAGAGGCTGTAGTGAGCTGAGATCGTGCCACTGCACTCCAGCCTGGGTGACAGAGTAAGACCCTATCTCAAAATTGATTACTGTTGTAATAATAAATTTGATTTTACAGTTGAAACAGGGTTTTAAAATAACTGTGTGCTTAGTGACCCCAGATGATTTTGTACATAGTATTTGAAAAGTTATTTGCCTTGCAGTATTCTTTTATGTTTTTGGTGTAATTGCCATAATTGCTATTCCTCTCCTCCCACCCCTTTCAGAGTTCCATTTTTGGGTTAAGTGTTTATATAAACGCTCTACTAAATTAAGGCTCTTCCCTGCGCAGTACAAGGTTTCCCTAGTAGTTTGGTTTGCCCAAAAGAAAGAGAAAATTTGCCAAATGGACCTTTTCAGCAGAAGTAATTTTGGGGGCATCTTTTTGGAAATGTACCCGTTGCCCTGCCTTTTTTGCTGGCTGTCATCTGTTTTTATTTCACTCAGATTTACCATATAGCATTCAGAGTTGTTGGAATGAAAACTTATAGACAACTATAGAAAGTGCAGTTCAACTTGGAAAACTCATTTCAAAACTCTGTTTTATAATTTTGTTTAGCATGAAGAAAGCAGTGTCACTGATAAATGCAATAGATACAGGAAGATTTCCACGGTTGCTCACTCGGATTCTTCAAAAACTTCACCTGAAGGTTTGTATTTGTGTGTTTCCATGCCTTGTAATCTTCCTTCTGATTTAATTGAAAGTCTGATTATTTGGAGAACTTTTTGCAAAGCATAGTGTTCTCCAATATGTTCTTAGAGACACTGGTTCTGTGGAAGATTTGGTAATGTTTCATGGTCAGAAGTTTGAGAAACTCTGTCTTCAATAAAGTTAAATGTTTTAAATTATGGAACTTTTCAGAGTATTTTATATGCTAGTGTTTGTGGTATGTATTCGAGGGTGATTATGGCAGGTAACATTTTCCAAATGTGTTTGACCTTGGATCTGTTTTATTATGGTATATATTTTGGGACTAAAGTTCTAAAAATATACTTTAGGGAAAAATTCTGATGTCTTGGTTTTATTTTTCCGCTTAAAAATAATTCTGTGGTATTTTCTATCAACTGGTATTTAATCTTTCACTTAATTTTGTTTCTCTTTCACTTTTATTTTAAGGATATGGTTGTTTTGGACATGTGGATGCTTTGTAATTCTCTACCTGGCCCAATCCAAGTTAATTTAGTTAATTTCTTTATCAGGTTATAAAAATTTGATTCCATCTCATATTTATGGAGCACCCACTAACTGCTCTGTGCAGTGCCATGTATCACCATCCATTGAGAACCAAGACTCTTACTCTGTCATCTTGTTTTTCTTGGCCAAGAGCCAGCCTCAAAACTGTGCCTTTCCCCTTTGAAGTGTCTTTCAAATCCAAGTTCTCACAATTCTAGGTCAAATCTTTAGTACCTCTTTTTTAGATGACAATAGTTACCTTCAAGCTGGTTTCCCTGCCTATAGTCTTCTTGCTTTCTACTGCTTCATAATACTATGTAAATTACTTTCTAAATTTTTTTTCCTGAAACAAAGATGTATTATATTTTTTACAGTGTTCAAAGCCATCAGTGACTGTCCATTGCCCTATGGAGAAAAGTTAGAAATCCTTAACATTGCGTACAAGTCCCATTGTAGTATGGCTGCAGTCTACATTCTCCTCATTTTGTAAGTGCTGCAGTTACACTGGATGGTACCCATTTACTACAACTTGCCATGAACTTTTTCAGCAATGTGTCTATGCATATACTCTTTCCCTTGCCTATAAATGTCCTTCTTCCCCTTTACTGAGTAACTTGTTCATCCTTCAAGGATTTCACAATCTCAGTCTCAGCAGTTTGTTCTTTCTTCTGTGCTCCTAGTTCATTCTCACCTGATTTTAGTACTGCATCATAAGTATTTGTTTCATGATTAGCAGGCAACCAAATCCCCAAACCTATTAATGTGTCTTCCTCTGGTTTTAAATATCTTGAGGATTATGTCTTACTCATCTTTATGTTTCCCATTCCTAATACATTGCTACTAGTATAGTTGGCACTCAGTAAATGTTCTTGAAGTTAATTATTTTCCTTGCTGTGGAAAACACAAAACAAACCTAAGTCTTCTATAATATATTCCTTTTTCTAAGGAATTTGTGAGGTGGATGGAGAGAAAGGAGAAACTGCAATGATAGCGGCAACATTCTGTGGTATTTGCTGTTCATAAAGTTACATTGGCTTGTTTTTGACTGTTGTGGTGCTAATGGCTTTGTGTTACTAACTCATCTAATCCGTATGGCAACTTGAAAACATAGGTACTGTGGTCATCTCTGGTCATCTTCATTTTATCTATGAGGTAACCAAGATAGAGATAGAGATCAGTTAAGTAACTTTCCCAAGGTAACACAGCTAGCTAGTTGGGCAACTTGGCTCCGTAACTCTCTCCCTTATTACACGAAACCTCAGGAAAGAGTATGGAACATTTCATAAATTGGCCCAAAAGTGAATGATGTGGGTAATACAGATATTCTGCTTTATTTCTTCAGCTGGTGGGTGCTTGCTTATGTATAAAAATATGGGACAAGAAACTCTTATACATGTCTTTTGTTCTTCACACTGAGGGAGTGGAGAACTTGCACAGAAAATTGTGATGTTTAGTTTGTCTTTGACACTCTCAGTCATGTATGGAGTTGAGAATAGTTAGTATCTATCTTAGAGTTAACTGAGTGGCTAAAGCATTCCATGGAGGAGCTTGAATGCTTTGCCATCAGAGGTAGGGGAGTGGAGAGGAGAAGAGGTGCTTGTTGAAAAGTGAAGTTACCCGTCCTGCTGGCATTTAATGTCCAGGGACTTTTAAATAAAGAAACATATGTATGTGAATACTTGCCTGCTAAGAAGACGTCAGGAAAGGTCTAATTGTTTTTTTCCTGTACAGTTTCAGGGGATCTTCTTTTAGAGGGGCTCCTATTTTGATAAGGGCTTTTCAGTCAAGTTTGCAGTGCATTTCAGGATCTGCCTACTTTCATTTATGTATCCCGACTCCATCGAGTTGGCCTTTACCTTGAGACAGAATTCTTAGAATAGTGAAACTGAGGCAGGCAGATTGGTGAAGAGGTTTAGGGATTTTGTTGCCCCTCTACTGGTACTTTTATTTTATTAAGTTTGACCTGTTTATGGGCAGAAGAGATGTATTTGTCCAGACTGGTTCCTTGGAATCCCAAGGGGGAATCAATATGAGGGACTAAGACAACTTAGGTATAGAATGTGGGCATGCCAGATTATGGATCTGGGAGTCCTCTTTGGCCATCTTCTTGGCTCATCCTGGCATATACAAATACATGGAGATTTTGTTTCTTTGTTTGTTACAATGTGTGGAGGGTGCTTCTGGTATTTAACGTCCAGGGACTTTAAAAATATTTTACAGTGTTTAGGGCAGTCCTGCACAAAGACTTGTCTCATCCAGCGTGCCAGCGGTTTGCATTGGGAAATGCTGATGGAAGTCAGGTGAACTTGCATAGCTGGGAACTTAGAAATAAACATTTGTGGCCTTTGCACTTCAAAAATAACTGTCACAACTCATGCAATAAAAAAACTCATGTACTTGGCTCCATAGGAGAGATTTTGAGGCCCTCACACAAAGCCTGTTGAGATAACAGTGCTGTATATCTAGTTTTGAGAGGTCAGCTCTCTGGGTTCCTGACCATGGCAGACTAAAAATAGCAAACTGGGGGTTGAAGGTACTGTCATGGGGCATGTAGGCAGCTTCAAGAAATGACTGCTGATCATGAAATGAAATGGGAGAATTATGAAAATCACACCCAAGAAACATAAAAGGACAGAAGTCTGAGATTTCTGTTTGCTCTGGTTAAAAATTATCCATGTATCTCAGCAGTTCTTTAGGATAGATGAGCCCCTTAGCACAGGGCTCTGATGCTTGTAATTATGACCTGCGTCACCACAAGATATTTGTTTAATCTAATTTATTTTGTTTACAAAGGTCTAGAAATGAGCATCATATGTTTTATAAATTTACATGCACATCAGTTTCTTTTCACCATGTATTTTTCTTTAAAGTTCTCATCTCATATACGAATAAATGAATCTTCTGTCAAGTATGAATTTTGAATGCCTGAATATGTGCTAATATAATAGATTGCTATTTGTATTATAGGCTGAGAGCAGTTTCAGTGAAGAAGAGGAAGAAAAACTTCAAGCGGCATTTTCTCTAGAGAAACAAGATCTTCACCTAGTTCTTGAAACAATATCATTTATTTTAGAACAGGTATTTTTATTGCATCAAATTTTCTAGCCATGATTTGTTTACTACATATTTGTATTGTTATGATATCTATGACATTCTGTTTTTTTTAATTAAAAAGTATGCAAGATGGAAGCTGTGAATGTATTTTAGTTAAGAATTTCAGTGTAAAAATATTTGAATATTGTAAAGTATTTAAATATGAATTGAGACTTCATTGATTTGAGACAGTTATACAAGATTTTAATTCATTGGTACTTGGTATAATGGAAAAATGGACATATTTTACTTAAGATATTAAATGATTTGGGGGATATATTGACTAGGATGGTAAGTAAGACATTTAGAAAAGAAGTATTGTCATATTATGTGCCACTAAGCTGCCTTCTGCATCCCTTTTTCTCATCTAAATTCACTTCCTGATTTAAGCTCCTATTCAAGGCTCATCTCCTTTACTTGAGCTGTGACCCCTTATACTTCCTTTATTTGGATTTTTAAAAATCCTTGGCTCATCACAGTAGAGCACATTGTTAGTCTTTCAGCAGTTCATATGCGTTAGTTATACCTCCTTCACCAGATTCTAATTTGTGGGGAGCAGGATCATATTTTTTGTGTATCTTATATAAGCCTACCACATTGGTGTGCTTAAAATAGATCCTCATAAATTCCTGTTGATTAAAAATAATACTTGTGAAATAAAAGTTTAAATAGTTTTGTAACTTCATGAGCATTTTAATGAACATATTAGGAGGACAAGCTACCAGTTATCTACTACAGCCTTACATACATTATAGATCACAAAGATAAATGTGGTTCTAATTTTTGGTGGGTGTTCAGTAGAAGAAAAGGATCATTGAGTAGGACAGCATAGCATGGTGTTCCAGAATAATGTAAGAAACAGAACAGGTATCAGTGTTAAAATTTTTTACAACTTTTAATCATATATTATGTAGGAAATTGGTAGATAAGGTAATTTTGAGAAAGTGCTTCTGGGAAAAAATTTGTTAGTTGGGAAACAAAACTATTGTATACTTATTTGAAATTATTAAGTGAAATAAATGAAATTTTAATTAGGGTACCATTTACATAGCCAAAGCAAAGAAGAAGTTTTTTGGTTTTTAAGTGGATTTAGGATTACTTAAAGCATAGGTAAGAGTGAGAAAAAAATTCATCTTGAATAATTTAGGCCATTTAATCCTGAATCTTCCAGCCCTTGGTCGTGTATTTTATTATGTGTAAAATAACCAAAAATGTTGGTAATAGGACTATGAAGTTTTCTTTTGACTTAAGTCATTTAAAAATAGTTTTGTATTTAGTATAGTTTAAAGTTTCAGTATGAAGATGAGGGACATATGTAATTTTTTGTTTCTTTTTAATAGGCAGTGTATCACAATGTGAAGCCAGCAGCTTTGCAGCAGCAATTAGAGAACATTCATCTTAGACAAGACAAAGCTGAAGCATTTGTCAATACGTGGTCTTCTATGGGTCAAGAAACAGTTGAAAAGTTCCGGCAGAGAATTCTGGCTCCCTGTAAGGTATAGAACATACTGTCTTAAATATGTTTTTCAATAACATATGGCATAAATTATTATACCTGAAGAGTTTTTAAAGTGATAATATTTTGTTGAGAGGTAGAGTCAGGCAAAAGAAACACAGATGCTCCTCAACTTACAATGGCCTTACATCCTGATAGACCTGTCACAAATTGAAAATATCGTTAAGTCAAAAACAGAGTACACTCTAGAGAATCAGTTGTTTACCCTTGTGATCACATGGCTGACTGGAAACTATCGCTCGCTGCCATTGCCCAGCATCATGAGAGAATATCATACATATTGCTAGCCCAGGAAAATACAGAATTCAAAATATGAAGTATAGTTTTTGCTGAATACATATTGGTTTCATGCCATTATAAAGTAAAAAAATTGTCTGGTATGGGCCCTGACTTAAGTTTAGATTTTACAGTAGTGCAAAACTATCGCAATTTCGATATACTTTTACTTTTGATCTCTTCTTCGGCTAGTGGTGTGGTACATAAGATATTCCTGTTTTTGGAGGCTTTTCAAGATGGCTGACTAGAGGCACAGGACACTTCTCCACAAAGAAGAACCAAAATAGTGAGTAGGTAATCACACTGTAAATAAAACATCTAAAAGAGAATGCTAGAGTTCAGTAGAGAAGTGACCGGAAACACCTGAGGAGAGGGAGGAGAGGTGGACAGCCTTGCTGGGATCAACCAGAAGCCTGGAGAGGCTCCTCAGTGTGGAGTTGGGGTAAGTGAGAGATCCCTAGCTGTCCACATTCTTGCTGCAGACTCCTGTAATCCTAACTGTGGGAGAGTTCTTGAACCCCATGGGCCCCGAGACTGGCATAGGGAGCTCCCTGAAGTTCATGCAATGGTATTGCTCTAGAAAGGGTGCTCTTGCTGGGTTCCATGCTCCCCCTGAGTCTTAGGTAGCTGGAGCACGGCTCCATTTTAAGAGTCTAATCCCTGTTAGAAACAGAATAATCTTAAAATTTGTATGAAACCAAAAGAGAACCCAAATAGCCAAAGCAATCCTAAGCAAAAAGAACAAAGCTGGAGGCATCATATTCCCTGATTTCAACTTGTATTACAAGGCTATAGTAACCAAAACAGCATGGTGTTGGTAGAAAAGCAGACATATATACCAATGGAACAGCATAAAATACCCAGAAGTAAACCCATGTATTTATAGCCAACTGATTTATTACAAAGTTGCCAAGAGCATACAACTGGGGAAAGGGCACCCTCTTTAATAAATGGTGCTAGGAAAACTGGATAACTATGCAGAAGAATGTAATGGCCCTTCTCTCTCACCATGTAAAAAATCAACTCAAAATTGATTAAAGACTTAAACATAAGACCCACAACTGTTAAAATACTAGAAGAAAACAGGAGAAATACTCCAGGACATTTGTCTAGGCAAAAATTTTATGGCTGACCTTCCTAAAACATGGACAAAAAACCCCAAAATAGACAAATGGAACTATATTAAACTAAAAATCTTCTGTACATTAGAGGAAACAATCAACAAAATGAAGACACAACCTGACAAATGGGATAAAATATTTACAAACTATTGACTTAGCAAATGATTAATATCCAGAATATACAAGGAACTCAAACATCTCAACTGCAAAGTAACTAATCCCATTTAATGTGGACAAAGGATCTAAACAAATGCTTCTTGAAAGACGATATATAAATGGCTAACAGGTATATGAAAAAATGCTTAAAATCACTAATTATCAGAGAAATGCAAGTCAAAACCAAACATGCCATATCATCTTACCCCAGTTAGAATGGCTATTATTAAAAAGAGAAAAAAATAATGGATGCAGGTGAGGATGTGGAGAAAAGGGAACTCTCATATGCTTTTGGTGGCAATGTATATTAGTACAGCCATTAGGGAAAAGCAGTGTGGAGATTTCTCAAAAAACTAAAATTAGAACTACCACACAGTCCAGTAATTCCACTACTTGGTATATATTCAAAGGAAAGGAAATCGGTATATTAAAGAAATATTTGTACCCCTGTGTTTGTTGCAACACTGTTCACAATAGCAAAGATAAGAAATCAACCTAAGTGTCCATTAGTGGATGGATGAATAAAGGGAATTTGGTATAATTACACACTGGAATAATATTCAACCATAAAAGAGAGTGAAATGTTGTTTGCAGCAACATGGATAGAACTAGAGGTCTTTATGTTACGTGAAATAAGCTAGACACAGACAAATATAACAGGCACTCACTCCTATGTGGGAGCTAAACAAGTTGATGTCATGGAGGTAGAGAGTAGAATGGTAGTCACCAGAGGCTGAGAAGAATGCATGGGATGTGGGGTCGGAGGGTGGATGAGTAGAAGTTGGTTAATGGGTACAAACATATAATCAGAAGTAATAAGTTTAATGTTTGATAGTTTAGTATGGTGCTTATAGTTGACATCAATATATTGGTCATTTCAAAATAGCTAGAATTAAGGAAGTGAACTGTTCTGAACACACACAAATGATAAATGCTCAGGGTGGTGAATATCTTAAATACCCTGACATGATCATTACACAGTCTATGCATATAAGAAAATATAACACATATCTCATAAATATGCAAAAATATTATGTATTGATTAACAAATAGGCTTTGTGTTAGATGATTTTGCTCAACCACAGGCTAATGTAAGTATACTGAACATGTCTAAGGTTAGCTAAGCTAAGCTGTGATGTTTGGTAGATTAAGTGTATTAAATACATTTGTGAATTATTGTATTTTAACTTAACGATAGATTAATTGAGGCATAAGCCCATTGTAAGTCAAGGAGCATCTGTATATTCTCTAGAAGTCCTCTGTGAGATATATGATTTGCACGTATTTTCTCCTAATCTGTAGCTTTCCTTTTCATTCTCTTAACAGTATCTTTCCCAGAACAGAACCATTAACTTTGATGAAATCTGTTGTATTTTTTTTTTCTCTTTTCATGAACCTACTTCTGGTTTTCTAGGAATTTGCAGCCTAATCATGACATAAATATTTACTGTTTTCTTCTAAATGTTTTACATATTTATATTTTATGTTTAGATCTAAAATCCATTTACTGTTAATTTTGTATGATACATAAAGTGCAGGTCAAAGTTCATTTTTTCTATGTATGGATGTTCATTTGCTCCAATGTGATTTGTTGTTAAAATTATCATTTTGTCATTGAATTACCATGTGTTTGTCTAAAATCATTTGATATTTTTGTGAGTCTTTTTCTGGAATCTCTCTTTGATTTCATTGACTTATTTGTCTATGCCAATATCACACTGCCTTAATTATTATAGCTTAATAGTAAGTGTTAAAATCAGGTATTGTGAACCCACTGACTTTTTTCTTCTTTTTTATAATTGTTTTGGCAATCCTAGTTTCTTTGCCTTTTCATATGTTTGAAAATCAGCTTTTGTATTTCTGTAAAAAATCCTGCTTGGGGTATTGATTGGGGTTGTGTTTAATTTGTAAATAACTTTATTGAGAAATGACTCCTTAATAAGTATTGAGTATATCTATTTATTTAGGTCTTCTTTGATTTCTTTTATCAGTGTCTTTTGTTTTCAGCTTATCAATCCTGCCCTTATTTTGTTAGGTTTGTACCTTAAGTACTTTTTCTTTCTTTTTTTTTTTGTTGTTGAACTATTGGTAGTATTTTTCAAATTTTGTTTTCCAATGGCTTATTGATAGTATATGGAAATACAGTAGACTTTTCTATACTGATCTCTATCCTGTAACTTGGTAAATTCACTAATTAGTTTTAGCAGCTTTCTTATAGGTTTTTTGTGATTTCCTTTGAAGGCAGTCACGTTGTCTGTGAATAAAGACAGTTTTATTTCTTCCTTTTCAATCTGTAGAGCTTTTATTTTTCTTGCTTTATTTTACTGACAAGGACTTCCAACGTGATGCTGAATAGGAGTGGTAAGTCTGAATATCCTTGCCTTGTTCCCAATTTTAGGGTGAAAGCATTCAGGCTCTTATCATTAAGTAGGATGTTAGAAAATGCCCCTTTATTGTTTTCACTTCTCTACTTCCCTTTTTAAAAATTCTGTATTCTTACTACTCTCAAGTGTCTTCTATGTCATTGCTTCATTTTTTATCATTTTAAAGTCTACTTTTTCCTATATCCTCTATAGATTTTAAGCTTTCCATTTGTTTCCCTGCAATTCTTTTTTTAAGCCATTTTCATTTTTAAAAAAAATTCTTGGCTTTTTAATAGTAGCCTGTTTTCTGTTTATATTTTTCCTATATTTTATACAGTCCGTTTTTTTCCTTGCACTTTAGTAGTCATAACAATTAAAAATATTTTTGTTTTCTGCTTCTAATAGTAAATTACTTTTTAGTGTCTTCATGATGAAAGTTTGTTTTTTTAAAGGTAATATTTTTCCCATAGTTGGATTACAGAAGCTTCTCTTTAAGAAATTAATTAATCATTTGTCATATAAAATATGCAAATAAAGAAGTTGGAATGATCTGATTAATTGTACATTGTCCCATTGAGAATGCTGGAAATTATCTTTTGGTAATTCTGGGTATATCATAGGATTGCTAATATACTATTTTAAAGTCTGAAATGCTTAAATAATATAATGATAACAAGCATTTATTGTGCTTATTGTGGGTCAGATGTTATAATGAGTTCTTTGTATGTTACAAAACCCATTAATAGTTCTAGTTTATACATGTACTTATAAAATTGAGGCTTAGAGAGGTTTAAAAAGTTGCCCATGATTGTACAGCTAAGTAAGTGGCTGAGTTGGGATTTGACAAGAATAGTCACATTCCTAAGCTATTATGCTATCCTAACACATAGATGTTAGCTGCGGAATTTTTCTGCGTCAGGCATTATGCAGGGTGATTTATATAGTTGTTTGTATGTACTTCATATTAGTCCATTCTCACATTGCTATAAATAACCTGAAATAGGGTAATTATATAAAGAAAAGAGGTGTAATTTGCCCACGGTTCTGCAGGCTGTACGGGAAGCATGATGTGCTGGCATCTGCTTGGCTTCTGGGGAGGCCTCAGGAAACTTACAGTCATGGTGGAAGGTGAATGGGGAGCAGGTGTCTTTCATGGCAGGAGCAGGAACAAGAGAGAGAGGGAGGAGGGAGGGGCTACATACTTTTGAACAAGCAGGTCTTGCGAGAACTCAACTATCACAAGAATAGCACTGAAGGGATGGTGCTAAAGCATTCATGAGAAGCCTGCCCCCATGATCCAGTCACCTCCCACCGGGCCCACCTCCAACACTGGAGATTACAATTGCACATGAGATTTGTTGTGGTCACAGATCCAAACCATGTCACATACCTTTTAAAAGTGAGGAAATAAAACTTTAGAAAATATTAGTCACTTTATCATATTATCCCAAGTGGTCCATGATGAAACTGAAATGAGGATTGGATCTGTCTGTCTCTAAGTCTTATTCCTTTTATATCATGCTACCTCTGGCAGCTGTAATGCTATCTTTCTTTTTCATTCTGAGAACTGTTTAGGATACTGTGGCCAAAATAGCCAGATGTGAAAACAGATCATGCCATTTAAATTGTAACAAAAATATATTACACTGACTTATATGATGAAAAAAGGTGTACATGCAATGACTTTAACTGTTTTATGGTAACTTAGGGTCCTACCCACATAAACTGTGGGGTGCTTGCAGCAGAACACATGTTGGTAGTACAGTCAGCCCTCTGTATCCCTGGATTTCGTATTCATGGATTAAACTCGCAGCAGATCAAGAATATTTGGGAAACAAAAAATTCCAAAAAGTGAAACTTGAATTTGCCATGTGCTGAGTACTATGTTAAATCCACAGAAATGATGTGTTGTCATTGTATTAGTTATTATAAATAATCTAGAGATGATTTAAAGTATAAAGGAGGATATGTGTAGATTATATTTAAATACTGTGTCATTTTATATGAGGGACTTGAGTATCTGCAGTTTTGGGTGTCTGTAGGGGGTCCTGGAACCAGCCCTCGCTAGATACTGAGGAAAGACTGTGATTCTGAATTCAAAGAGGGTAAGATCAATGAAATAATGTTAAAAAATCAAAAGGTGTTTATTTTTATTCCATTTTAAAAACTTCTTTTTTAAGCTTTATCGAGGTATAATTGATAAACAAAAATTATGCGTATTCAGGGTGTGCAATGTGATGATTTGATAGCTGTATACATTGTGTAATGATTACCATAATCAAATTAATCAACATATCTGTCACCACACAGTTACCACCTTTTATGTGTGGGTGAGTGTGTGCGTGAGGACATTTAAGATCTACTGTCTTTGAAAACTTAAAGTAAACAACGTGGTATTATTAACTATAGTCACCATGCCATACATTAGATTCCCAGAACTTAATTTGTTTTATAGCTAAAAGTTGTACCCTCTGACCAGCATCTCCTCATTTCCCTCATACCCCATCCCCAGGCAACTACCATTCTACTCTCTGCTTCAGTGAGTTAAACTTTTAGAGTATGCGTATAAATTAGCTCATACAGTGTTTTGTCTTTCTGTGCCTGGCTTATTTCACTTAGCATAACACCCTCCAGGTTCATCCATTTTGTCACAAATGGCAGTGTTTTCTTTTTAAAGGTTGAATAATATTCCATTCATTATCTGTTCATTTGTTGACAGACACTTAGGTTGTTTCCTTATCTTGGCCATTGTGAATAATACTGCAGTGAACATGAGGGTGCAGATATCTCTTCAACTGATTTCATTTCCTTTGCGTATAAACCAGGAGTGGGATTGTTGGATTGTATGATAGTTTTATTTTTAATGTTTTAAGGAACCTCCATACTGTTTTTCATAAAGGCTGTACCAATTTACATTCCCACCAACACTGTACAATGGTTTCTTTTTCTCTGCTGTCTTCCTAACACTTGCTGTCTCTTGTCTTTTTGATAATAGGTATTTTAACGATGTAACGTCATGTTGTATTATGCTTTTGATTTGCATTTCTTTGATGATTAATGATATTGACCACTCTTTTATATACCTGTTGATCATTTTTATGCCTTTTTTTGGTGGGGAGAATGTCTGTTCAGTTCCTTTGTCCAGTTTTTAAATGGGTTATTAGTTTTCCTGCTATTGAGTTTGTGAGTTCCTTATGTATTTTGTATGTTAACCTCTTATACATGGTTTACAAATACAGGTTGGGTATCACGTATCTGAAATGCTTGGGACCAGAAGTGTTTTGGATTTTGGATTTTTTGAATTTTGGAATATTTGCATATACATAATGAGATGTCTTGGGGATGGTAAGCAAGTCTAAACACTGAATTCATTTATGTTTCAAATACACCTTATATACATAGCCTGAAGGTAATCTTACACAATATTTTAAATAATTTTGTGTATGAAACAAAGTTTTGACTGTGACCTGTCATATGAGATCAGGTGGGAAATTTTCTGTTTATGGTATCATGTTGGAGTTCAAAGAGTTTCAGATTTTGGAGTATTTTAGATTTTGGATTTTTGGATTAGGGATGCCGAACCTCTGTTTTCTCACATTCTATAGGTTGCCTTTTCATTTTGTTAAGTTTCCTTTGTTGTGTAGAAGCTTTTTAGTTTGATATAATCACACTTGTTTGTTTTTGCTTTTGTTATGTATTTCATATCCAAAAAGTGATACGCTTTTGGTGTCCTATCCAAAAAATCATTGCAAAGGCCAGTGCTAAGGAGCTATTTTTCCTGTATTTTTTTCTAGAAATTTTATAGTCTCAGATCTTTCATTTAAGTCTTTAATTCATTTTTAGTTAATTTTTGTGCATGGTATAAGATAAAGGTCCAGTTCCTTTTTTTTTTTTTTGCATGTAGATTTTCAGTTTTCTCAGTACCATTAGTTGAAAAGGCTTTTTCCCATGGTGTATCCTTGGTGCCCTTGTCAAAGACTGGTTGAAAGACACTTCTTTTTATCTCTTATTGTTTAGATTTAATAAATGAGAGGGCCAATTGAAAAAAAAACTTGACATTAATAGCTTTTTGCAGAATATGATTGAAGGGATTTTAAAATTTCATCTCATCTCACTTTAATACGTCTGTTTTTTGCCATTTATTTATTTTTCTTTGTATAAATTCATGGTGTACAACTGAAATTTTGTTACATGCATAGATTTCATAATGGTGAATTCAGGACTTTTAGGTAATTTCTCATTATCCACCCTCGCAGCACCTCCTCTCCCTTCTGAGTCTCCATTGTCTGTCATTCCACTTTTTACATCCATGTGTACACATTATTTAGCTCCCACTTATGAGTAAGAATATGCAGTATTTGTCTTTCTGTGTCTGACTTGTTTCACTTAAGATAATGGCCTCCAGTTTCATCCAAGTTGCTGCAAAAGATATGATTCTGTTCTTTTTTATGGCTCAATAGTGTTCCATTGTCTATATATACACACCATATTTTCTTTATCCAGTCATCCAATGATGGACACTTAGGTTGATCCCATATTGTTGTTATTATGAATACTGTGATAAACAGGAGTGCAAGTACCTTTTTAGTACACTGATTTCTTTTCCTCTGGGTAGATGCCCCATTGAGGGATTGCTAGATTGAATGTTAGTTCTAGTTTTAGTTATTTGAGCAATCTCTATACTGTTTTCCATAGAGTTCCCTTTTCTATACTATTTTCCATAAGAGTTCTCTTTTCTCCACATCCTTGTTAACATCTATTATTTTTTAACTTTTTTATTTTTTATTTATTTATTTATTTATTATTTTGAGACGGAGTCTTGCTCTGTCACCCAGGCTGGATTGCAATGGTGTGACCTCGGCTCACTGCAACCTCCGCCTCCCAGGTTCAAGAGTTTCTCCCACCTCAGCCTCCTGAGTAGCTGGGATTACAGGCGCACACCACCACGCCCGGCTAATTTTTGTATTTTTAGTAGAGATGGGGTTTCACCATGTTGGTCAGGCTGGTCTCGAACTCCTGACCTTGTGATCCGCTTGCCTCAGCCTCCCAAAGTGTGGGCTTACAGGCGTGAGCCACTGCGCCCGGACTTTCTTCACTTTTTAATAGCCATTCTGACTAGGGTAAGATGATAGCTCATTGTGGCTTTGATTTGCATTTCTCTGATCAGTGATGTTGAGCATTTTTAAATGTATCTGTTGGCCATTTTTATGTCTTCTTTTGAAAAATGTCTATTCATGTCCTTTGCCCTGTGCCCACTTTTTAATGGGATTATTTTTGTTGTTGTTGTTCAGTTGTTTGGGTTTTTTGTACATTCTGGATATTGGTCCTCTGTCAGGTGCATAGTTTGCAAATATTTTCTCCCATTTTGCAGGTTTTCTATGTACTATGTTGATTATTTCTTTTCCTGGGCAAATCTTCTTAGTTTAACTAAGTTCCATTTGTCTATTTTTATTTTTGTTTTCTGTCCTTTTAAGATCTTAGTCATGAATTCTTTGCTTAGAACAAGGTCCAAAAGAGTTTTCGCTAGGTTTCTTCTAGTATTTTAAATTTCAAGTATTCCATTGAAGTCTCTTAATTCATCTTGAGATTTTTTTTATATGATCAGAGACAGGGGTCTAGTCTCATTCTTCTGCTTTTGGCAATGCAGTTTTCTCAGCACCATTTATTGAAAACGTTGTCTTTTCCTCAATTTATGTTCTTGTTGACTTTGTCAAAGAACACTTAAATGTAAATATGTAGCTTTATTTCTGGGTTTTCTAGTCTGTTCTCTTGATCTATGTGTCTATCTTTATACTAGTACCATGCTGTTTTGGTTATTATAGCCTTGCAGTTTAATTTGAAGTCAGAGAGTGTAAGGCCTCCAGGTTTGTTCTTTTTGCTTAGGACTGCTTTGGCCATTCAGGTTCTTCATTGCTTCCATATGAATTTTAGGATTGTTTTTCCTAATTTAGTGAAAAATGACAATGGTATTTTGATAAGGATTGCATTGAATCTGTAGATTGCTTTGGGCAGTATAGTCATTTTAATAATAATTCTTTTTATTATTATGTTTTAAGTTCTGGGGTACATGTGCAGAATGTGCAGGTTTGTTACATAGGTATACACGTGCCATAGTGGTTTGCTGCACCCATCAACCCGTCATCTACATTAGGTATTTCTCCTAATGCTATCCCTCCACCAGCCCCCCACACCCTGACAGGCCCCAGTGTGTGATTCCCCCACCCCTTATGTCCATGTGTTCTCATTGTTCAGCACCCCCTTATGAGTGAGAACATGCGGTGTTTGGTTTTCTGTTCTTGTGTTAGTTTGCTGAGAATGATGGTTTCCGGCTTCATCCATGTCCCTGCAAAGGACATGAACTCATCCTTTTTTATGCCTGCATAGTATTCCATGGTGTATATGTGCCACATTTTTTTTTAATCCAGTCTTTCATTGATGGGCATTTGGGTTGGTTCCAAGTCTTTGCTGTTGTGAACAGTGCTGCAATAAACATACATGTGCATGTGTCTTTATAGTAGAATGATTTATAATCCTTTGGGTATATACCCAGTAATGGGATGGCTGGGTCAAATGGTATTTATAGTTCTAGATCCTTGAGGAATTGCCACACTGTCTTCCACAATGGTTGAACTAATTTACACTCCCACCAACAGTATAAAAGCATTCCTATTTCTCCACATCCTCTTCAGCATCTGTTGTTTCCTGACTTTTTAATGATCACATTCTAACTGGCATGAGATGGTATCTCATTGTGGTTTTGATTTGCATTTCTCTAATGACCAGTGGTGATGAGCTTTTTTTCATGTGTTTTTGGCTGCATAAATGTCTTCTTTTGAGAAGTGTCTGTTCATATCCTTTGCCCACTTTTTGATGGGTTTTTTTCTTGTAAATTTGTTTAAGTTCCTTGTAGATTCTGGATATTAGCCCTTTGTCAGATGGATAGATTGCAAAAATTTTCTCCCATTCTGTAGGTTGCCTATTCACTCTGATGGTAGTTTCTTTTGCTGGGCAGAAGCCCTTCAGTTTAATTAGATCCCATTTGTCCATTTTGGCTTTTGTTACCATTGCTTTTGGTGTTTTAGTCATGAAGTCTTTGCCCATGCCTATGACCTGAATGGTATTGCATAGGTTTTCTTTTAGGGTTTTTATGATTTTTAAGTCTTTAATCTATCTTGACTTAATTTTTGTATAAGGTGTAAGGAAGGGGTCCATTTTCACTTTTCCACACAGGGCTAGCTAGTTTTCCCAGCACCATTTATTACATAGGGAATCCCTTCCCCATTTCTTGTTTTTGTCAGGTTTGTCAAAGGTCAGATGGTTGTAGATGTGTGGTGTTATTTCTGAGGCCTCTGTTATGTTCCATTGGTCTATATGTCTGTATGGTACCAGTACTACACTGTTTTGGTTACTGTAGCCTCGTAGTGTAGTTTGAAGTCAGGTAGCATGATGCCTCCAGCTTTGTTCTTTTGCTTAGGATTGTCTTGGCTATGTGGGCTCCTTTTGGTTCCATGTGAAATTTAAAGTAGTTTTTTTCCAATGCTGTGAGGAAAGTCAATGGTAGCTTGATGGGGATAGCATTGAATCTATAAATTACTTTGGACAGTATAGCCATTTTCACGATATTGATTCTTCCTATCCATGAGCATGGAATGTTTTTTCATTTGTTTGTGTCCTCTCTTATTTTCTTGAGCAGTGATTTGTAGTTCTCCTTGAAGAGGACCTTCAAATCCCTTGTAAGTTGGATTCCTAGGTATTGTATCCTTTTTGTAGCAATTGTGAATGGGAGTTCACTCATGATTTGTCTTTCTGTGTCTGTTATTGGTGTATAGGGATGCTTGTGATTTTTGCACATTGATTTTGTATCCTGAGACTTTGCTGAAGTTGCTCATCATCTTAAGGAGATTTTTGGTTGAGATGATGGGGTTTTCTAAATATACAATCATGTCATCTGTAAACACAGACAATTTGACTTCCTCTTTTCTTTTTTTTCTTTTTTTTTTTGAGACGGAGTCTCACTCTGTCACCCAGGCTGGAGTGCAGTGGCACGATGTCGGCTCACTGTAAGCTCCTCCTCCCGAGTTCATGCCATTCTCCTGCCTCAGCCTCCCTAGTAGCTGGGACTACAGGTGCTTGCCACCAAGCCCAGCTAATTTTTTGTATTTTTAGTAGAGACGGGGTTTCACTGTCTTAGCCAGGATGGTCTAGATCCCCTGACCTCGTGATCCGTCCGCCTTGGCCTCCCAAAGTGCTGGGATTACAGGCGTGAGCCACCGCACCCAGCCTCCTCTTTTCCTAATTGAATATCCTTTCTTTCTTTCTCTTGCCTGATTGCCGTGGCTAGAACTTCCAATACTGTGTTGAATAGGAGTGGTGAGAGAGGGCATCCTTGTCTTGTGCTGGTTTTCAAAGGGAATTCTTCCAGTTTTTGCCCATACAGTATGATATTGGTTGTGGGTTGTCATGAATAGCTCTTATTATTTTGAGATATGTTCCATCAATGCCTAGTTTATTGAGAGTTTTTTTTAGCACAAAGGGCTGTTGAATTTTATCAAAGGTCTTTTCTGCATCTGTTGAGATAATCTTGTTGTTTTTTCATTGGTTCTGTTTATGTGATGGATTACTTTTATTGACTTGCATATCTTGAACCAGCCTTGCATCCCAGGGATGAAGCCGACTTGATCATGGTGGATAAGCTATTTGATGTGCTGCTGGATTTGGTTTGCTGGTATTTTATTGAGGATTTTTGCATTGATGTTCATCAGGGATACTGGCTTGAAATTTTCTTTTTTTGTTGTGTCTCTGCCAGGTTTTGGTATTAGGATGATGTTGGCCTCGTAAAATGAATTAGGAAGGATTCCCTCTTTTTCTGTTGTTTGGAATAGTTTTAGAAGGAATGGTACCAGCTTCTCTTTGTACCTCTGGTAGAATTTGGCTGTCATTCTGTCTAGTCTGGGACTTTTTTTGGTTGGTAGGCTATTAACTACTGCCTCAGTTTCAGAACTTCTTATTGCTGTATTCAGGGATTCAAATTCTTCCTGGTTTAGTGTTGGGCAGGTGTATGTGTCCAGGAGTTTATCCATTTCTTCTAGATTTTCTAGTTTATTTGCGTAGATGTGTTTCTAGTATTCTCTGATGGTAGTTTGTATTTCTGTGGGATCAGTGGTGAAGTCCCCTTTATCATTTTCTATTGTGTGTATTTGATTCTTCTCTCTTTTCTTCTTTATTAGTCTGGCTAAGGGTCTGTGTATTTTGTTGAGCTTTTCAAAAAACCAGCTCCTGGATTCATTGATTTTTTTGAAGGACTTTTCATGTCTCTATCTCCTTCAGTTCTGCTCTGATCTTAGTTATTTCTTGTCTTCTGGTAGCTTTTGAATTTGTTTGCTCTTGCTTCTCTAGTTCTTTTAATTGTGATGTTAGGGTGTCGATTTTAGATCTTTCCTGTTTTTGTTGAGTTTTGTTTTATTTTTTTTTTTGTGTGGGCATTTAGTGCTATAAATTTCCCTCTGCACACTGCTTTAAATGTGTCCCACAGATTCTGGTACCTTGTGTCTTTGTTCTCATTGGTTTCTAAGAACAACTTTATTTTTGCTTTTATTTCGTTTTCTACCCAGTAGTCATTCAGCGGCAGGTTGTTCAGTTTCCATGTGTTGTGAGGTTTTGAGTGAGTTTCTTAATCTTGAGTCTAATTTGATTGCAGTGTGGTCCGACAGAGTGTTTATTAATGATTTCTGTTCTTTTGCATTTGCTGAGGAGTGTTTTACTTCCAATTATGTGGTCAATTTTAGAATAAGTGCGTTATGGTGCTGAGAATAATGTATATTCTGTTGATTTGGTGTGGAGAGTTCTGTAGATGTCTATTAAGTCCACTTGGTCCAGAGCTGAGTTCAAGTCCTGGATATCCTTGTTGATTTTCTGTCTTTTTGATCTGTCTAATATTGATAGTGGGGTGTTAAAGTCTCTCACTATTATTGTGTGGTAGTCTAAGTCTCTTTGTAGGTCTCTAAGAACTTGCTTTATGAATTGGGGTGCTCCTGTATTGGGTGCATATATACTTAGAATAGATAGCTCTTGTTGCATTGATCCCCTTGCCATTATGTAATGCCCTTGTCTCTTTTGATCTTTGTTGGTTTAAAGTCTGTTTTATCAGAGACTAGGATTGCAACCCCTCCTTTTTTTTGCTTTCCATTTGCTTTGTAGATCTTCCTCCATCCCTTTATTTTGAGCCTATGTGTGTCTTTGCATGTGAGATGGGTCTCCTGAATACAGCACACCAATGAGTCTTGACTCTTTATCCAATTTGCCAGTCTGTGTCTTTTAATTGGGGCATTTAGCTCAGTCACATTAAAGATTAATATTGTCATGTGTGAGTTTGATCCTGTCATTATGATGGTAGCTGGTTATTTTGCCCATTAGGGTTTCTGCTGAGAGATCTGCTGTGGGTAACCTGACCTTTCCCTCTGGCTGCCCTTAACATTTTTTCCTTTATTTCCACCTTGGTGAATCTGACGATTATGTGTCTCGGGGTTGCTCTTCTCGAGGAGTATCTTTGCGGTGTTCCCTCTATTTCCTGAATTTGAATGTTGGCCTGCCTTGCTAGGTTGGGGAAGTTCTCCTGGATAATACCCTGAAGAGTGTTTTCCAACTTGGTTCCATTCTCCCCATCACTTTGAGGTACACCAATCAAACATAGATTTGGTCTTTTCACATAGTCCCATATTTCTTGGAGGCTTTGTTCATTTCTTTTCACTGTTTCTTCTCTGATCTTGTCTTCTCACTTTATTTCATTGAGTTGATCTTCAATATCTGATATCCTTTCTTTTGCTTTATCGATTCGGCTATTGATACTTGTGTATGCTTCATGAAGTTCTCGTGCTGTGTTTTTCAGCTCCAAGAGGTCATTTATGTTCTTCTCTAATCTGGTTATTCTAGTTAGCAGTTTGTTTTACCTTTTTTTCAAGGTTCTTAGCTTTCTTGCATTGGGTTAGAACATGCGCCTTTAGCTTGGAGGAGTTTGTTATTACCCAGCTTCTGAAGCCTACTTCTGTCAGTTCGTCAAACTCGTTCTCCGTCCAGTTTTGTTCCCTTGCTGGCGAGGAGTTGTGATCCTTTGGAGGAGAAGAGCTGTTCTGGTTTTTGGAATTTTCAGCCTTTTTGTGCTGGTTTCTCCCTATCTTTGTGGATTTATCTACCTTTGTTCTTTGATGTTGGTGACCTTTGGAAGAGGTCTCTGAGTGGCCGTACTTTTTGTTGATGTTGATACTATTCCTTTCTGTTTATTAGTTTTCCTTCTAACTGTCAGGCCCTTCTGCTGGAGTTTGCTGGATGTCCACTCCAGACCCTGTTTGCCTGGGTATCACCAGTGCAGGCTGCAGAACAGCAAAGATTGCTGCCTCTTGCTTCTTCCTGAAGCTTCTTTCCAGAGGGGCACCCACAAGATGCCAGCCCCAGCTCTCCTGTATGAGGTGTCTTTCGGCTCCCACTGTGGGGTTTCTCCCAGTCAGGATACACAGGGGTCAGGGACCCACTTGAGGAGGCAGTCTGTCACTGGATCAGAGCTTGAATGCTATGCTGGGAGATCCACTGCTCTCTCCAGAGCTGCCAGGCAGGGGCGTTTAAGTCTGCTGAAGCTGCACCCACAGCCACCCCTTTCCCCAGGTGCTCTGTCCCAGGGAGATGGGGGTTTTATCTATAAGTCCCTGACTGAGGCTACTGCCTTTTTTTCAGAGATGCCCTGCCCAGAGAGGAGGAATCTAGACTGGCAGTCTGGCTGCAGTGGCTTTTTGAGCTGCAGTGGCTTTTTGAGCTGCAGTGGGCTCTGCCCAGTTCGAACTCTCTGGTGGCTTTGTTACACTGTGAGGGTAAAACCGCCTACTCAAGCCTCAGCAATGGCGGACGCCTGTCCCTCCACCAAGCTCGAGCTTCTAGGTCAACTCAGACTGCTGTGCTAGCAGCGAGAATTTCACGTCGGTGGATCTTAGCTTGCTGTACTCTGGGGTTGGGACCTGCTGAGCCAGACCACTTTGCTCCCTGGCTTCAGCCCCCTTTCCAGGAGAGTGAACGGTGATTCACTGGCATTCCAGGTGCCATTGGGGTATGAAAAAAACAAACAAACAAACTCCTGCAGCTAGCCTGGTGTCTGCCCAAACGGCCACCCAGTTTTATGCTTGAAACCCAGGGCCTAGGTGGCATAGGCACCCGAGGGAATCTCCTGGTCTGCAGGTTGTGAAGACCGTGGGAAAAGCACAGTTTCTGGGCCGGAGTGCACCGTTCCTCTCGGTACAGTCTCTTACGGCTTCCCTTGGCTGGGGAAGGGGGATCTCCTGACCCGTTGTGCTTCCCGGGTGAGGCAATGCCCCACCCTGCTTCTGCTCACCATCCGTGGGCTGCATCCACTGTCCTATCAGTCCCAGTGAGATGAACTGGGTACCTCAGTTGGAAGTGCAGAAATCACCTGCCTTCTGCATCGATTTTGCTGGGAGCTACAGACCGGAGCTGTTTCTTTTTGGCCGTCTTGCCAGCATATCATCATAATAGTTCTTTTGACCCATGAGCATGGGATGTTTTTCCATTTGTTTGTGTCGTGTTCAGTTTTCTTTCGTCAGTATTTTGTAGTTCTCCTTGTGAAGATTGTGCATCTTGGTTAAAAAAATATTCCTATGTATTTGGCTGAGCACTATGGGCTCATGCCTGTCATTTCAGCACTTTGAGAGGCTGAGGTGGGTGGATCACCACTCCTGGGTGATCCCCAAGAGTTTGAGACCAGCCTGGCCAATATGGTGAAACACCATCTCTACTAAAAATACAAAAATTAGCCAGGCGTGCTGGTGCGTGCCTGTAATCCCAGCTACTTGGGAGGCTGAGGCCTGAGAATTGCTTGAACCTGGGAGGGACAGGTTGCAGTGAGCCGAGATAGTGCCACTGCACTCCAGCCTGGGCGACAGAGTGAGACTCTGTCTCAAAAACAAACAAACAAAAAATTCCTATGTATTGTATTTTTCTTGTAGCCATTGTAAATGGGATTGTTTTCTTGATTTTGTTCTCAACTAGATTGTTACTGGTGTAAGAAATGCTACTGATTTTTCATGTTGATTTTGTGTTGTGCAGCTTTACTACATTCATTTATTAAATCTAAGAATTTTTCATGAATCTTTAGGTTTTCCTAGATATAAGTTATATCTTCAGCAAACAGTAATAATTTTACTTTCTCTTTTCCCATTTAGAAGCCTTTTATCTCTTGCCTGATGGCTGTGGCTAGGACTTCCAGTACTATGTTAAATAGGAGTAGTGAAAATGGGCATCCTTGTCTTGTCCAACGTTTTTGAGGAAATGTTTTTAACTTTTCCCTGTTCAGTGTGATGTTGTCTGTGGGCTTGTCATATATGGCATTTAATATTATGATGCATATTTCTTCTATGCCCAGTTTGTTGAGAGTTTGTATCATGAAGGGGTACTGCATTTTATCAAATGCTATTTCTCAGTCTATTGGTTTGATCATAAAGTTTTTCTCCTTCATTCTTTTTATGTGATGAATCACATTTATTGACTTGTGTATTTTGAACCACTCTTAGATCCCTTGACTAAAACCCACTTGATTGTGGTGTATTATCTTTTTAATATGCTGTTGGATTCTGTTTCCTAGTATTTTGTTTAGGACTGTTGTGTCTATGTTCATCAGGGTATTGGTCTTTAGTTTTCTTTATTCGTTGTGTCCTTGTCTGGTTTTGGTATTGGGATGATACTGGAGAATGAGTTAGGGAGAATTCCTTTCCCCTGTTCCAACTTTTTGGAACAGTTTTACAAGAATTGGTATTAGTTCTTTGTATGTTTGGCAGAATTCAGCTGTGAATCCGTCTGGTCCTGCGTTTTTGGGGGGAAGATTTTATTACTGATTTAATCTCACTACCCATTATTGGTCTATTCAGGCTTTCTGTTTCTTCTTTGTTCAATCTTGGGAGGTTGTGTATTAGTCTGTTCTTACATTGCTACACAGAAATACCTGTGACTGGGTAACTTATAAAGAAAAGAGGTTTAATTGGCTTATGGTTCTGCAGGCTGTACTGGAAGCATGATGCTAGCACCTGGGGAGGCCTTGAGAAACAAAACAATCATAGCAAAAGGTGAAGGGGGAGCAAACCCATCACATGGTCAGAGCAGGAACAAGAGAGGAAGGGGGGAGGTGCTACACACTTTTAAACCACCAGATCTCAAGAGAATTCACTATTGTGAGGACAATACCAAGAGGGGTGGTGCTAAATCATTCCTGAGAAACCTGCCTCCATCATCCAATCACCTCCCATCAGGCCCCACCTCCAACATTGGGTATTACATTTCAATATGAGATTTGGATGGGAACATACATCCAAACTATATCAGGTTATATGTTTCCAGAAATTTACCTATTTTCTGCAAGTTTTCTAGTTTATGAACATGTAGTTGTTCATAATAGTCTCTGATGATCTTTTGAATTTTTCTCATATCATTTGTAACGTCTCCATTTTGATTTCTTATTATATTTGGATCTTCTTTCCTCTGGTTAGTCTTGCTAGCACTTGATCAATTTTGCTTATCTTTTTAAAGAACGAGCTTTTTGTTTCATTAATTTTTTAATTTTTTTTTGGTCTCTGTTTTATTTAGTTTTGCTCTGATCCATGTTACTTCTTTACTTCTGCTAATTTTGTGTTTGGTTCGTTCTTGCTTTTCTAGTTCCTTTAGATGTATTGTTAGGTTGTTAATTTGCAATCTTTCTACTTTTTTGATGCAGGTATTTATTGCTGCAAAATTCCTTCTTAGCACTGGTTTTGCTGTGTCCTACAGGTTTTTGTATGTTGTATTTCCAGTTTCATTTGTTTCATAAAATTTTTTAATTCTCCTTAATTTTTTCATTGATCCAAAGGTCATTCAGGGGCATATTGTTTAATTTTTCTGTATTTGTATAGTTTCCAGAGTTTTTCTTGATATTGATTTCTTGGTATTGGTTTTATTCTACTGTGGTCTGAGAAGTTACTTGGTATGATTTGATTTTTAAAAATTTGTTGAGGCTTGTTTTGTGGCATAACATATGGTCTATATTGGAGAATATCCCATGTGTTGATGAGAAGAGTATTTATTCTGCAGTTGTTGGATAGAATGTTCTATAAATGTGTGTTAGGTACATTTTGTCTGAAGTCCAATTTAAGTCTGATGTTTGTTGATTTTATGTCTCAGTGAGCTGTCTAATGCTGTGAGTGAGATGGTGACGTCCCCTATTATTGTTTTTCTGTCTAACTCTCTTTAGGTCTAGTAATATTTGTTTTATGAATTTGGGTGCTCAAATGTTGGGTGCATGTATGTTTAGAATTGTTATGTCCTCTTGTAGAACTGACACCTTTAATATCAGGTTTTATACTTTTGTGTTTTCTTGATGGGGTTGCCCTGTCTCTTTCAAGTTTAGGACTCCTTTGAACATTTCTTGTAGAGCTGGTCTACTTTTGACAAATTCTCTTAGTATTCTGTTAATAATCTGTCTGGGAAAGAAGATTATTTCTACTTCATTTATGGAGCTTGATATTTCTCGATGTAGAACTCTTGACTGATAATGACTTCATTATTTTTTACTATTTTTATTTTAAAGTATGCTTTATCTGATAAAAATATAGCTACCTCTGCTTGCTTTAGATTTTCGTTGGCCCATAATATCAATCAATATCTTTTTCCACCCCTTTACTTTTAGTCTATGTGTCTTCACAGATAAGGTGGGTTTCTTGTAAATAGCATATAGTTGATTTTTTTTCTTTTTTTTTGAGATGGAGTCGCGTGCTGTCGCCAAGCTGGAGTGCAGTGGCGGGATCTCAGCTCACTGCAACCTCCGTCTCCCAGGTTCAAGCAATTCTCCTGCCTCAGCCTCCTGAGTAGCTGTGACTGTATATAGGTGCGCGCCACCATGCACAGCTAATTTTTGTACTTTAAGTAGAGACTGTCACCATGTTGACAGAATGTTCTCTATCTCTTCACCTCATTATCCGCCTGTGTTGGCCTCCCAAAGTGCTGGGATTACAGGCATGAGCCACCGCTATATGGCCTATAGTTGATTTTTTTTATTCATTTAGCCAACGTGTATTTTTTAGTAGGACATTTAATCCATTTATGTTTGAGGTGGTATATGAGATTTTGTTCCTGTCATATTGTTTTTTTCATCATTTTGTAAACTTTTGGGTTTTTTGTCTGTCTAAATTTATGGTTTGTTGGAATTCTGTAATGGTTTCATTTGATTCTTCTTCTTTGTATGATATCTTTACTAGTGTATTTTATATTTTTGTGTGTTTTCACAATGATAAATATTGTCCTGTCTCTTCCAAGTTTAGGACTTCTTTGAGCATTTCCTGTAGGACTGGTCTAGTTTTCATGAATTCCCTCAGTATTTGATTGTCTGGGAAAGACTATTTCTCCTTTATTTATGAAGCTTAATACTACCTGGATATACAATTCTTGGCTGACAGTTGTTTTCTTTCACACTTTGATTATGTCGTCACATTTTTTCCTGCCTTGTAAGGTTTCTGCTGGGTAGTCTGCTGTTAGTTTGATGGACTTTCCTTTATAGATGACACTTTTCTCTTGATTGTAGAATTTGTTCTTTCACTTTGACATTAGACACTCATTATAATATGTTGTATTGAAGTCCCTTTTATGTTGTATTTGCCTGCAGATCATGGAGCCTCCTGTATCTATTATGTCTGTATCTCTTGCTAGCCTTGGGAGTTTTTCAATCTATTATTTTGTTAAAGATTTTTGATGTTTCTGTCCCTTTGGGAATACCAGTAATTCATAAGTTCAATGCTGTATGCAGTCCTAAACACTTGGAAAGCTTTGTTCATTTTTTTCTTATTTTTAAAATTTTTATCAGACTGCACTGTTTGAAAAGACCTGTCTTCATGTTCTGAAATCTTTTCTTCTGCTTGGCCTAGTCTATTATTGGAGTTTCCATGTATTTTATATCTCCTTCAGTGAATTTTTTAGTTCCAGGATTTTTTTAAAGACGTCTATCTCCTTGGTAAATTTCTCATTCATATCCTGAATTGATTTTCTGATTACTTTGTATTAGTTTTCAGATTTCTCTTGTATCTCATTGAACTTAATTGAAATCAAAATATTGAATTCTTTGGGGTTGTAAGGTTTTCTTTTTGGTTCTGCTCTATTGTTGGAGAATTATTGTGTTCCTTTGATGGTGTCATATTGCCATGCGTTTTCATGTTTCTTGTGTTTTTATGTTCATTCTAGCACATCTGGAACAATTGCTTTTTTTTTCAATTTAACTTTTGTTTGGAGTAGACTTTGCTCCTTTATATGTGACTTCGATGTTGGTTGAGTAGGGCCACTTGTTTTTATTTCTGGGTGTGCGCATTGGTGAATACTTTATGATATTCTTGGCTATAAATATTGTTATTGGTATCTGTGGATTCCTTTGTGTGTTAGGGTGTGGGTTTTGATGGAGGATGTGGTGAAATTATGCTAGGGACTGGAATGCTTGATAGGTCCTTCTTCAGGTTTCAGTGGTAGCAGTGGTTGTCTAAGCAGGTCTATATCTAGGGCAGTGTGTGCTGGCACATGAGTTGGCAGTTCCATGCAGGCTGATTATTGGGGGCTCTGGGTGGCTCTTTTGGATACCAGTTGTGGTAGCAGTGTACTGGGCAAGTGAGTGGGCTCATGAGCTCTTGGGTAGCTGGGTGGCCTCAGTAATGGTGGCAGCAGTAGTGGTAAGATGCTCTCCCCAGTGCCCTTGTGTTGGGAGTGATTGCAATTGGCTGTGTGGGCTGACCTCCAGGCTGGGTGGCACTTGCAGATAGAAACCAACCGAGAGAGTAATGGCAGGGTTTTTATGCCCAAACTCTGTCCCCTGGGAGAAGTGCTTGGGTGTCTCAGGCAGTGGGCTGGACTGTGGGACCTCCAGAAGTCCAGATCCTGCATTGTGTCTCAGAGAGTAGGGCAAAGCTGGGTAAATCTGGATTGGGAAAGCCTGGGCTTGTCCTATGAAATGCTTGCATGAGGGGTGACAACACCTTTGCTGAAGTACTGCCATGATGGGAGAGTGGGGCTACTGGTCCCAGTGGTTTCAGCATTGGCTGGCAAGTGGGGAATCTGTGTCCCTCTCATGTCTCAGTCCTGGTGGGGCTTCCTCCCTTATCCCGACTCTTGCAGCTGATCCTGTAGTTTAGTCGGACTGGGTAGTTGTCACCTATCTCATAACTCAGCCCTGCCCAGGTCAGGACCAGACTGCTTTGGCGGCTCTTATTCTGCTCACATCTTGGGGGTTGCCTAGCTCCCAAGCTGGGGGCTGGAGTTTATGTCACGCTTGCTTTTCAGTCCTGGTTGCAGAATCCCATTTCCTACACAGGCCCCAGTTCAGCAAACCACAGATTGAGTTACTCTGATACTTAGGACTGGTGCTATAGGTTCCCAGGTCACACAATTTGTTAAACCCTAGGATTGAGAATGGCATCTTACTGTAGCTGCTTAGGTCTCAGGGAAGGTGTGGAACCCAGGGTGTGTTATTTCCCTATAGCAGTTCCTTTATACAGTCTCCTGGTTGCTTCCCAAGTCAAATTCAAGGTTTGGGAGGGTCAAGATACACTCCCATGGCCTGGATTATACAATTGATTCTCCAGTAGGAAAGTGAACCACAGAAAGACACTCAGTTACCTTCTCCCACGTTGCAGACTCCCTTTTGGTTGCCAGCCTGCCCTGTCCACATTAGCTGTTTGTTGTCCTCTCTTTTTGGAGTTTCTGTTTGCTTTTCTGTTAAATGCCTGTGTTCTGTCTTGGAACACTTACATTATAAGTGTGACTTTAACACTTTATCTTAACCTCTTTGGAGACTTGAGACTGAAATGTCACTACCACTTATTAGAATTTGTATTCTTCCCTCTTGAATCTGTGTTGACTGTTAGCAGTGTTCTTCTAACAGGGTTTTCTGTTTGATTTTGTTGTTGTAATACCTATGTGTTCATAACATTTATTAAATCATGAATTCTTTTCAGACAGAAATTGAATGCTATGTTTAATTTTATTCCTGAAATTCTATTTGGAGCTCTTTTACGTGTATTCCTGCCATACTAAATGTAAAAACTGACATGTCAAATGTTTTTGACATCAATGTATCTTTTCTGGGAGATACCTAAAGGAAACGACTTGAGTTCTTTTATATATATTTTCTAAAATATTTTTACAAATAAGATTATGAGACTTGTAAATAATATTTTAAGCACTTCTGAGTATCTTGCTCTTTAAAGCATGCATTTATTGACTCCTTAAAATGCACTTATGGTTTTGTCAGGGAGTTTTAAAATATAAATTCAACAGTTCTGTCTAGTTTGAATGTTTAGAATGTGTTTAATGTGATTTTCTCCTGCTAAGAATGTTCTTTATTTCGCCAAGTACATGGCAGATTTTCCATAATATAAACTATTATATAGTGAAACTTTGTATTTTCTTACAGGTTCTTGAGAAATCTACATGAAAAAATGGATAGACAATAGTCCTAAGATAATAATGTTCCTATAACATTAAAAAAATCCCCTTTAAGCCATTGTAAGATTTACTTTATTGTTAACAACTAGTTGTTTCATTAATTATTGAATACCTATCTTTTATATGGAGTATAAGAAATTATAAATTGTTACTTTAAAAACTTATGTTCTCTTGTTTTATTATTTTCTTTAATTTGATTTCATTTCTTTTGGCATTCTATGGATGGTCGAATGGCTTTGTCCTAAAGAGGACAGAAAAAGCATACTTTATGCAGCTAAAGCTTGAAACACAATATGTAACTGTGAATACATATCTGAGAGCTTCTTCAAGATTTAAATGCTTCTGAACATTATTGTCTTTGTTTATAGCAAGGGTATTTTGTTGTAATTATATTCACATGCAATTCAAATTTCTGCCTTTTTTGTTACTTTAGTTTCGGTATGTTATGTAAAAGGCATAGGTTTTCTGTATGCTTAAATTCACTGACTATACGTGGTTGTGAGCTTTAAATGCTGCTATGTATTCTCTACCTTTACTGAAATGTTTATCTGCAGTAAAATGCAGAGATTTTTTTTTTTTTTTTTTTTTTTTTTGAGACGGAGTCTCGCTCTGTCGCCCAGGCCGGACTGTGGACTGCAGTGGCGCAATCTCGGCTCACTGCAAGCTCCGCTTCCCGGGTTCACGCCATTCTCCTGCCTCAGCCTCCCAAAATGCAGAGATTTTAATTTAATTGTTCAGTCTGATGGGTTTTAGAAGTTATATACACACATTTAATTATGATACCTAACAAAGTATAGAAAATTTTCATCAGCAGGAAATTACTTTCAACCTCATCCTCACTTTTTTATTTCTGTCACCACAGATTAGTTTTGTCTGCTCTTGGATTTAACGTAATGGACTCATATAATATGTATTTGACTGTCACTCAAAATAATTTTTTTGATTCATTCATATTATTACATTTATTAGTAATTCTTTTATTGCTAAGTGTCATTCCATTATATGAAAATATCACAATTTGTTTATCTGTATTTCTGTTCATGTATGTTTGGGTTTTTTACAGTTTCTGGCTAATATGAGTAAGATTGCTATGAACATTTGTGTTCAAGTCATTTTATGGATATTATATTTTTTTCCCTTGCGTAAATATCTAGTAATGGGGATTGCTGATCCCCCAAGCCAAAAAGTCTGAGACTTCCTATTTAAGTTTTAGTCTCTCCATGCTACATGGATTGGGAAAAGTCATATATGTGTGAATCTCACCTTGAGTGGTTTCCTTTAAGAGTCAAATTTCCTTTAACTTTTGCCTGATTTTAGTCATTCTTTTTTGTTTGTTTGTTTTTGAGGTAGGGTCTCGCTCTGTGGCCCAGGCTGGAGTGTGCAGTGGCACGATATCGGCTCACTGCAACCTCTGCCTCCTGGGTTCAAGAGATTCTTGTGTCTCAGCCTCCCGAGTAGTTGGGATTACAGGCACGCACCACCACTCCTGGCTAATTTTTTTGTATTTTTAGTAGAGGTGGGGTTTCACCATGTTGGCCAGGCTGGTCTTGAACCCCTGAACTTAAGTGATCTGCCCGCCTTGGCCTCCCAAAATACTAGGATTACAGGTGTGAGCCACCACACCTGGCCTGATTTTAGTCATTCTTAATGCATTCAAATTGTTGTTTTAAAAAAACGTTTTGTATAGAGATTATATATTTTTATATTCAAGGAGGTTGGTGTGATATAGGCTATTTCCCAACCATTACTAGACTAAGAACTCCAAAAGTGATTTTTTAAAAATGTGTCTTATTTTATCCACCCCACTCCATTTCCATTTTAGGGTTTCCATGTTACTCATTGTAGAAGTTGGAGTTCTTACAATTGTCTTTAAGGAACTACATGCCCTGTTGTCTCCTCAGCCCACAACCTACATTGTTGACCATCTCCTTTTAACATCCTCTATCTGGCTTATTGAATACCTCTAATCTCTTTACTTCAAAAGTTCTGCTGGATGTTCATAGGGCTGGCTTGGTTCCTTTTTCCAGCTGATTGTTTAAATGTCACATTTGTCAGTGAATCTTTCCCTGATAGTGCCACCTCCTCTGTGGCATTTTATTATCTTATTTTTCTCCATAATATTTATTTTTTTTGTGGCCCACTATATATTTTACTTATTTACTTTTTTGTCTGTCTCTACCACCAGAATATAAGCTCCTCAATGGCAATAATTTTTGTCTGTTTGTTTACTGCTGTTATTTTCACTACTTTTGGTCTTTGGGAGATAGTAGAGTGTCAGTAAATATTTGTTGAATGAATGCATGTGCAATATTCCATCCTTACAAACTGTGCTATTTTTAAGTTCACTTTATTCGGTTTCCTTATGAAGAGGGATATTTTTTTTATTGACAGAGAAAGGACAATAAAAGGAGGAGGCTATGAACTGCATTTTGTATTTCCTAATATTCTTTTGTGTTTTCATTTTTGGTTGTACTTCAAGCCTTTTTGTGGTTCATTTATTTTATGGCTCTTGAATTTTGCTAGAGTACTAGATTCTAGTCATTTAAAAAATTTTCTCTTTAAAAGTGAAAATATAGAAAGAATTGCTTTAGGTTGAAACAGATGGAAATTCTCCAGGAAAAAAAAAAAGTGATGGACTTAGCTGTTGATGCAGAAATCAATTTAAAAATCTTTAGATCTAAGAGACCCTTAATCAGTCTTATTTGAAACAGAATGTATTTCTCCACTGCATAAGTAATTGGCTGAAACCAGAACCATTAACAAATTGAATGAAGATTTCGTTAATGCCAGGGAACTGTGCTGTTAGCAAAATCACTCTTATTATGTCACAGTATTCAAAGATGTGCATTTGTTAAATAGAGTTGATGTACTTTTTCAGAGTGTTGCCAATTGTGAGAACATTTGTTGAATGACATTTCAGTGTCCTCAAACTTGTGCTATTATCTTCATATATTCTTGGTATGCAGAGGTGACAAACAATTTGAAAAAAAAATACATTGATGATTTCCCTCACTTCCCTCCAACTTGAATATGAAGGCCAGTCTTATGATTTGGTACTTTGGTCAAGTCTGTGGGTCAAGGGATATAATTAAGTTCCTTGTCACCCTAACAGTGAGACTAGGCCGACTTTTGTGGTGTCTAAACTTGAGGGTATTGGTTAGGGAATATCCCTGAATTGTGTTTGTAATAAGGCATTTGCACTTCTTATTGTGATTTGATGTAGCAGCCAAATTAAAAGTACAGAGTGCCAAAATGAATGTGTTGGCTTAGTCACTTTTGGAGTTTTGCAGAGGGCAACAGACTCCTGAGGTCTTCTGGAGGCTGCCTAATGGGTAACCCTGTTGGAGATTTGTGCAGTATGTCTTATGAAAGTAGGCAGTCACTTGGATATGGTAATATATTCACTTCTGTGTTTTATAGGTTATATATTGTATACCAGTCATCTCTGATACCCTGGCCCTGGCATCTTATTATTTTTTTTCCAGAGACAGGGTTTTGCTCAGTCACTCAGGCTGAAGTGTGCAGTGGCTTGTGGTGTGATCATAGCTCACTGCAGCCTTAAACTCCTAGGCTCAAGGGATCCTCCTGCCTCAGCTTCCCAAGTAACTAGGACTACAGGTGTATGCTGTCATGCCTAGATACTTTTTAAAGAACATTTTCATAGAGACAGTGTCTTGCCATTTTGCCCAGGCTGGTCTTGAACTCTTGGCCTCAAGCAATTGGTCCCCCTGCCTCAGCCTCCCAAAGTGCTAGGATTACGGGTGTGAGTCACTGTGCCTGCCTTGTATCTTTAAAAAATAATGTTTTATAATTATAATTTGTATAGTATATACTGTATTCTTTTGAATTGTATGGTTCCATGAATTTTGATAGCTGTATTTCCATGAGATCACCATGGTAATCAAGATACAGAGCATTATGTTTATAGCGGCACAATTTGCAATTGCAACAATATGGAACCAACCTAAGTGCCCATCAACCAACAAATGAATAAAGAAAATATGGTATATATACACTATGGAGTACTACTCAGCCATAAAAAGGAATGAAGTAGCGTTTTTTGCAGCAACTTGGGTGACACTGGAGGCCAGTTTTCTAAATGAAGTAATTCAGGAATGGAAAACCAAATATCTTACGTTCTCCCTTATTGGGAGCTAAGCTATGAGGTTGTGGTGGCATGAGAATGATATAATGGACTTTGGGGATTTGTGGGGCAAGGTTGGGAGGAAGATGAGGGATAAAAGACTACACATTGGGTACAGTGTACACTGCTTCGGTGACGGTTGCACTAAAATCTCAGAAATCACTGCTACAGAACTTACCCATGTAAGCAAATACCACCTGTACCCCAAAAACTATTGAAATAAAATTAAAAAAAATTTTTTTTAAAGATAGAGTATTTTCATTACCCTCAAAAGTTTCATTTTCCTTTGCAGTCCCTTACTGCCCTAACCTAGCCCCAAGCAACCCCTGCTCTACATTCTGTCACTATAGATGGCATTCTCTAGTATTTTATATAAATGGACTTACAGATATACTTTTTGTATGTGTCTGGCTTCATACACTGATTATAATGATTTTGAGACTGATCATTTTGTTACTTGTATTAGTACTTTTTTTTTTTTTATTACAGAGTAGTATTCTACCATTTGGATATACCTCAGTTTGCTTATCTGTTCACCTGTTTGTGGATATCTGGGCTATTTCTAGGTTTTGGCTATTATGAATAAACCTAATTAATGTTTATCTGTGATTAACATTTATGTATATGTTTTGTATGTTTTTGTATATGTTTATGTATATGTTTTGTATGTGTATATGTATATGTTTTTGTATAGGCCTATATTTTCTTTTTTTTAATTATACTTTAAGTTCTAGGATACATATGCACAACGTGCAGGTTTGTTACATAGATATACATGTGCCATGTTGTTATGCCGCACCCATTAACTCATCATTTACATTAGATATTTCTCCTAATGCTCTCCTTCCCCCTGCCCCCCACCACATGACAGGCCCCGTGTGTGATGTTCCCCTTCCTCTGTCCAAGTGTTCTCATTGTTCAGTTCCCACCTATGAGTGAGAACATGCGGTGTTTGGTTTTCTGTCCTTGTGATAGTTTGCTGAGAATGATGGTTTCTGGCTTCATTCATGTTCCTGCAAAGGACATGAACTAATCCTTTTTTATGGCTGCATAGTATTCCGTGGTGTATATGTGCCACATTTTCAAAATCCAGTCTATCATTGCTGGACATTCGGGTTGGTTCCAAGTATTTGCTTTTGAGAATAGTGCCGCAGTAAACATACATGTGCATGTGTCTTTATAGTAGCATGATTTATAATCCTTTGGGTATATACCCAGTAATGGGATGGCTGGGTCACATGGTATTTCTAGTTCTAGATCCTTGAGGAATCGCCACACTGTCTTCCACGATGGTTGAACTAGTTTACACTCCCACCAACAGTGTAAAAGCATTCCTATTTCTCCACATCCTCTTCAGCATCTGTTGTTTCCTGACTTTTTAATGATCGCCATTCTAACTGGCATGAGATGGTATCTCATTGTGGTTTTGATTTGCATTCTCTGATGGCCAGTGATGATGAGCATTTTTTCATGTGTCTGTTGGCTGTGTAGATGTCTTCTTTTGAGAAGTGTCTGTTCATATCCTTTGCCCACTTTTTGAATGGGGTTATTTGTTTTTTTCTTGTAAATTTGTTGGAGTTCTTTGTAGATTCTGGATGCTAGCCCGTTTTCAGATGGGTAGATTGCACAAATTTTCTCCCATTCTGTAGGTTGCCTGTTCACTCTGATGGTAGTTTCTTTTGTCATGCAGAAGCTCTTTAGTTTAATTAGATTCCATTTGACTATTTTGGCTTTTGTTGCCATTGCTTTTGGTGTTTTAGACATGAAGTCCTTGCCCATGCCTATGTCCTGAATGGTATTGCCTAGGTTTTCTTCTAGGGTTTTTATGTTTTAGGTCTAACATGTAAGTCTGTAAGCCATCTTGAATTAATTTTTGTATAAGGTGTAAGGAAGGGATCCAGTTTTAGTTTTCTACATATGGCTAGCCTGTTTTCCCAGCACCATTTATTAAATAGGGAATCCTTTCCCCATTTCTTGTTTTTGTCAGGTTTGTCAAAGATCAGATGGTTGTAGATGTGTGGTGTTATTTCTGAGGCCTCTGTTCTGTTCCATTGGTCTGTATCTCTGTTTTGGTACCAGTACCATGCTGTTTTGGTTACTGTAGCCTTGTAGTATAGTTTGAAGTCCGGTAACGTGATGCCTCCAGCTTTGTTCTTTTTGCTCAGGATTGACTTGGCAATGAGGGCTCTTTTTTGGTTCCATATGAACTTTAAAGTAGTTTTTCCAATTCTGTGAAGAAAGTCATTGGTAGTTTGATGGGGATGGCATTGAATCTATAAATTACCTTGGGCAGTATGGCCATTTTCATGATATTGATTTTTCCTATCCATGAGCATGGAATGCTCTTCCATTTGTTTGTGTCCTCTTTTATTTCATTGAGCAGTGGTTTGTAGTTCTCCTTGAAGAGGTCCTTCACATCCCTTGTAAGCTGGATTCCTAGGTATTTTATTCTCTTTGAAGCAATTGTGAATGGGAGTTCACTCATGATTTGGCTCTCTGTCTGTTATTGGCATATAGAAATGCTTGTGGTTTTTGCATATTGATTTTGTATCCTGAGACTTTGCTGAAATTGCTTATCAGCTTAAGGAGATTTTGGGCTGAGACGATGGGGTTTTCTAAATATACAGTCATGTCATCTGCAAACGGGGACAGTTTGACTTCCTCTTTTCCTAACTGAATACCCTTTATTTCTTTCTCTTGCCTGCTTGCCCTGGCCAGAACTTCCAACACTATGTTGAATAGGAGTGGTGAGAAAGGGCATCCCTGTCTTGTGCTAGTTTTCAAAGGGAATGCTTCTAGTTTTTGCCCATTTGATATGATATTGGCTGTGGGTTTGTCATAAATAGCTCTTATTATTTTGAGATAATCAATACTTAGTTTATTGGAATACCATCAATACCTAGTTTATTCCAACAAAAGCCAATGGAAACTAATACAAATGGAATCTAATACCTCTAATACCATCGATACCTAATTTATTGAGTGATTTTAGCATGAAGGGCTGTTGAATTTTGTCGAAGGCCTTTCCTGCATCTACTGAGATAATCATGTGGTTTTTGTTGTTGTTTCTATTTATGTGATGGATTACGTTTATTGATTGGCGTATGTTGAACCAGCCTTGTATCCCAGGGATGAAGCCGACTTGATTGTGGTGGATAAACTTTTTGACGTGCTGCTGGATTCGGTTTGCCAGTATTTTATTGAGGATTTTTGCATCAATGTTCATCAGGGATATTGGTCTAAAGTTCTCTTTTTTTGTCGTGTCTCTGTCAGGCTTTGGTATCAAGATGATGCTGGCCTCATAAAATGAGTTAGGGAGGATTCCCTCTTTTTCTGTTGTTTGGAATAGTTTCAGAAGGAATGGTACCAGCTCCTCCTTGTACCTCTGGTAGATTTCAGCTATGAATCTGTCTGGTCCTTGGCTTTTTTTGGTTGGCAGGCTATTAATTATTTCCTTAATTTCAGAGCCTGTTATTGGTCTATTCAGAGATTCAACTTCTTTCTGGTGTAGTCTTGGGAGGGTGTATGTGTCCAGGAATTTATCCATTTCTTCTAGATTTTCTAGTTTATTTGCATAGAGGTGTTTATAGTATTCTCTGATGGTAGTTTGCATTTCTGTGGGATTGGTGGTGATATCCCCTTTATCATTTTTTTTTATCTATTTGATTCTTCTCGCTTTTCTTCTTTATTAATCTTGCCAGCAGTCTATCAATTTTGTTGATCTTTTCAAAAAACTGGTTTCTGGATTCATTGATGTTTTGAAGGGTTTTTTTCTGTCTCTGTCTCCTTCAGTTTTGCTCTGATCTTAGTTATTTCTTGCCTTCTGCTAGCTTTTGAATTTGTTTGCTTTTGCTTCTCTAGTTCCTTTAAATGTGATGTTAGGGTGTCAGTTTTAGATCTGTCCATCTTTCTCTTGTGGGCATTTAGTGCTATAAATTTCCTTCTACATACTGCTATAATTGTGTCCCAGAGATTCTGGTACATTGTGTCTTTGTTCTTATTGGATTCAAAGAACATCTTTATTTCTGCCTTCATTTCGTTACTTACCCAGTAGTCATTCAGGAGCAGATTGTTCAGTTTCCATGTACTTATGCAGTTTTAAGTGAGTTTCTTAATCCTGAGTTCTAGTTTGATTGCACTGTGGTCTGAGAGACAGTTTGTTGTGATTTCTGTTCTTTTACATTGGCTGAGGAGTGCTTTACTTCCAACTATGTGGTCAATTCTGGAATAATTGCGATGCGGTGCTGAGAAGAATGTATATTCTGTTGATTTGGGGTGGAGAGTTCTGTAGATGTCTATTAGGTCTGCTTGATGCAGAGCTGAGTTGAAGTCCTGGATATGCTTGTTAACCTTCTGTCTCATTGATCTGTCTAATTTTAACAGTGGGGTGTTAAAGTCTCCCATTGTTATTGTATGGGAGTCTAAGTCTCTTTGTAGGTCTATAAGGACTTGCTTTATGAATCTGGGTGCTCCTGTATTGGGTACATATATATTTAGGATAGTTAGCTCTTCTTGTTGAATTGATCCCTTTACCATTATGCAATGGCCTTCTTTGTCTCTTTTGATCTTTGTTTAAAGTCTGTTTTATCAGAGACTAGGATTGCAACCCCTCCTTTATTTTTGCTTTCCATTTGCTTGGTAGATCTTCCTCTATCCCTTTATTTTGAACCTATGTGTGTCTCTGCACGTGAAGTGGTTCTCCTGAATACAGCACACTGTTGAGTGTCTTGTGTCAGTCTGTGTCTCTTAATTGGAACATTTAGCCCATTTACATTTAACGTTAATATTGTTATGTGTGAATTTGATCCTGTCGTTATGATGTTACCTGGTTATTTTCCTCGTTAGTTGATGCAGTTTCTTCCTAGCATTGATGGTCTTTACAATCTGGCATGTTTTTGCAGTGGCTGGTACCAGTTGTTCCTTTCCATGTTTAGTGCTTCCTTCAGGAGCTCTTGTAAGGCAGGCCTGGTAGTGACAAAGTCTGTCAGCATTTGTCTGTAAATGATTTTATTTCTCCTTCACATATGAAGTTTATTTTGGCTGGATATGAAATTCTGGGTTGAAAATTCTTTTCTTTAAGAATGTTGAACATTGGCCCCCACTCTCTTCTGGCTTGTAGAGTTTCTACTGAGAGATGCGCTGTTAGTCTGGTGGGTTTCCCTTTGTGGGTAACCCGACCTTTGTCTCTGGCTGCCCTTAACATTTTTTCCTTTGTTTCAACTCTGGTGAATCTGACAATTATGTGACTTGGAGTTGCTCTTCTCCAGGAGTATCTTTGTGGCGTTCTCTGTATTACCTGAATTTGAATGTTGGTCTGCCTTGCTAGCTTGGGGAAGTTCTCCTGGATAATATCCTGCAGAGTGTTTTCCAACTTGGTTCCATTCTCCCTGTCACTTTCAGGTGCACCAATCAGATATAGATTTGGTCTTTTCACATAGTCCCATATTTTTTGAAGGCTTTGTTCGTTTCTTTTTATTCTTTTTTCTCTAAACTTCTCGCTTCATTTCATTCATTTGATCGTCAGTCACTGATACCCTTTCATACTGAATGGGCAAAAACTGGAAGCATTCTCTTTGAAAACTGGCACAAGACAGGGATGCCCTCTCTCACCACTCCTGTTCAGCATAGTGTTGGAAGTTCTGGCCAGGCCAAGCAGGAAAGAGAAAGAAATAAAGGGTATTCAGTTAGGAAAAGAAGAAGTCAAATTTTCCCTGTTTGCAGATGAGATGATTGTATATTTAGAAAACCCCATTGTCTCAGCCCAAAATCTCCTTAAGCTGATAAGCAACTTCAGCAAAGTCTTAGGATACAAAATCAGTGTGCAAAAATCACAGGCATTCCTATACGCCAATAACAAACAGAGATCCAAATGACGAGTGAACTCCCATTCACAATTGCTTCAAAGAGAATAAAATACCTAGGAATCCAGCTTACAAGGGATGTGAAGGACCTCTTCAAGGAGAACTACAAACCACTGCTCAACGAAATGAAAGAGGACACAAACAAATGGAAGAACATTCCATGCTCATGAATAGGAAGAATCGATATCATGAAAATGGCCATACTGCCCAAGGTAATTTATAGATTCAATGCCATCCCCATCAAACTACCAATGACTTTCTTCACAGAATTGGAAAAAACTACTTTAAAGTTCATATGGAACCAAAAAAGAGCCCTCATTGCCAAGTCAATCCTAAGCAAAAAGAACAAAGCTGGAAGCATCACATTACCGGACTTCAAACTATACTACAAGGCTACAGTAACCAAAACAGCATGGTACTGGTACCAAAACAGAGATATAGACCAATGGAACAGAGTACAGCCCTTGGAAATAATACCACACATCTACAACCATCTGATCTTTGACAAACCTGACAAAAACAAGAAATGGGGAAAGGATTCCCTATTTAATAAATGTTGCTGGGAAAACAGGCTAGCCATATGTAGAAAGCTGAAACTGGATCCCTTCCTTACACCTTATACAAAAATTAATTCAAGATAGTTTAAAGACTTAAAAATTAGACCTAAAACCATAAAAACCCTAGGAGGAAACCTAGGCAATACCATTCAGGCCATAGGCATGGGCAAGGACTTCATGTCTAAAACACCAAAAGCAATGGCAACAAAAGCCAAAATTGACTGATGGGATCTAATTAAACTAAAGAGCTTCTGCACAGCAAAAGAAACTACCATCAGAGTGAACAGGCAACCTACAGAATAGGAGAAAATTTTTACAATCTACCCAACTGACAAAGGGCTAATATCCAGAATCTACAAAGAACTTGAACAAATTTACAAGAGAAAATCAAACAACCCCATCAAAAAGTGGGCAAAGGATATGAACAGACACTTCTCAAAAGAAGACATTTATGCAGCCAACAGACACATGAAAAAATGTTCATCATCACTGGCCATCAGAGAAATGCAAATCAAAACCACAATGAGATACCACCTCACACCAGTTAGAATGGCGATCATTAAAAAGTCAGGAAACAACAGGTGCTGAAGAGGATGTGGAGAAATAGCAATGCTTTTACACCTTTGGTGGGAGTGTAAACTAGTTCAACCATCGTGGAAGACAGTGTGGCGATTCCTCAAAGATCTAGAACTAGAAATACCATGTGACCCAGCCATCCCATTACTAGGTATATACCCAAAGGATTATAAATCATGCTGCTATAAAGACACATGCACACGCATGTTTATAGTGGCACTATTCTCAATAGCAAAGACTTGGAAGCAACCCAAATTTCCGTCAATGATAGACTGGATTAAGAAAATGTGGCACATATACACCATGGAATACTATGCAGCCATAAAAAAGGATGAGTTCATGTCCTTTGTAGAGACATGGATGAAGCTAGAAACCATCATTCTGAGCAAATTATCGCAAGGACAGAAAACCAAACACTGCATGTTCTCACTCATAGGTGGGAGTTGAACAATGAGAACACTTGGACACAGGGTGGAGAACATCACACACTGGGGCCTGTCTTGTGGTGGGGGGAAGGAGGAGGGATAGCAGTAGGAGATATACCTAGTGTAAATGACATGTTAACGGGTGCAGCACACCAACATGGCACATGTATACATATGTCACAAACCTGCACGTTGTGCACATGTACCCTAGAACTTAAAGTATAATAATAATAATAATAAAAAAGGTGGGAAACATAACAGATTATCAGAGAAGACTGCTCTGGATAAAAATTGTTTTGTGAAACCTTTGTGTATGTGTGTCAGTTCGCAGCATAAAAAGTATTCTTGCTGTGGGACATAGTCGAAAAAACTTTAATGCTGCTGTTTTTAGAGAGCTTCTAGTAAAAATTTAGCTGGTAAATTTACATTTTCTTTTCCTATTTTGAGGAGTTAATGTAGTAATTTTGTCTAATTTGAGATGTGCTTAGAATTTTGGTTTACAGAGTAATTGTAAGAATTTAAGATTATATTGAAGTTATAATATTTTGAGGTGACATTTTAGTAACATTCTCAGGTAAAAGGTAATGTAAGTGAGATGCCTAACTACTGTGTTAACAGTTTTGGCATGGGTTGAAAACCATTATAAATATTAGTGGCTTATTTTCCTGTGTTTTATATTATTTTGATCATATTTAAACCTAGGACATTAAAGTGTAAGGACCCTCAGATTTAAATTTGAATATGAAATAATAAAGAAATTACATTAATATAATTCATTGATATGATGTACACAGGATAGTTTTATTTTAAATAGAAGCAAATATAATTAGCTAACTTAAGGCAAAACTCTATACTGGGTTTTATTTCACATGTAACTAAAATATTGGTGATTGTCTTATTTGCTTAGTTATGAGTCTCAGGAATAATTAAATGGTATGAGATTTTTCATCTTTGTATAGTAACTGTATCTTGTTTATGTCAGCAATGCCTACTATAGGTCTGGCAAATAATATAAGAATATATTCTAAACAATGTAAGGAATTATTTATTCCCTTTGCTTTTAGGACATTGATATTTCTGAAGTATACGTGCCACTTATTTTATGGCGTATCCCTCAATTTTTATTTTTCTGTTGTTAATTCATGATCAGATTTAGATTGTGATTTTTTGGTTAGAATACTGTGTAAGTGACGTTGTGACTTTTGCAGAATATCACACCTACAGGTGCTTGATGTTCATTAGCCACTTTTTGATAATGTTAATTTTGATCCCTTGGGTAAGGTGAGGTTCTCCACTGTATCACTACTCTTTTCTTTTATAAATAAAGAGCAGTCGTGGGTAGATACTTTGTGACTATGTAAACATACAATTCCACGTGAGACTTTCTCCACTTTGATTCAGTATCTACTGATGATTCTTACTTGATTGAACTTCTTGTAACTTTTGATTTTGATATAATTTATATAATTTTAAACTTACAGAGAAGTTGCCATAATGATGTAAGGAAGCCCCATATATTCTTTATCCTGATTCACCAATTGTTTACATTTGTTTTACGTTTTTAATCTGTAAAATGGGGGTAATAAGCGTTACCTGTCTCACAGGGTTGTTAGTTTTCTTTGTCTTCTTTTTTGTATATATAGTATAGTATATATATGCTATATACTATAGTATTTTATATATATTAGTATATATACACTATATACTATGTAATATACATTAGTATATATATACTATATACTAATGTAATATACATTAGTATATATATACTATATACTAATGTAATATACATTAGTATATATATACTATATACTAATGTAATATACATTAGTATATATATACTATATACTAATGTAATATACATTAGTATATATATACTATATACTAATGTAATATACATTAGTATATATATACTATATACTAATGTAATATACATTAGTATATATATACTATATACTAATGTAATATACATTAGTATATATATACTATATACTATGTAATATACATTAGTGTATATATATACTATATACTATGTGATATACAGTATATATATATACTATATACTATATAATATACATTAGTATATATATACTATATACTATATAATATATATTAGTATATATAGTATAGTATATATACTGTGCTATGTAGTATAGTATTATATAGCTATTAAGTATTAGTTTGTAATAATAGTTATCCTTTCTATATTTTCTATTCATTTAAGCTTTCTGAATACTGATTATTCTCTGTGAAGCTGTGTGTGTGGGTGTTTGCATGCACAAACACATATGAGGTCAGCAATTTTATTTACTTTTTTTATTACTCTGTCATATGGCCATGGAACAAATATTTTTCAATGACAAAGTTTAATAGAAAAGGCTCTGGAAATTAAGAAAGCCAATCCATGAATACTTTTAGTCATGACTCTTTTAAAAATTACTTTCCTTGTGCATACTCTTTAATTTATTTCAATTCAATTCTACAGATAGATGTAGAATGTGCTTACTGTATGCGGGACATTATTTTAAGTGCTCCGGGTATAGCACTGATAAAAAGGGCAAAATCCTTTGTTCTCAAGGAGTTTAGAATCTTAGGTGGTAGTCAGCAAGCAAATAAATACTATATGTTATGATAGATGGCAAAAAGCCCTAAGAAAATAAAGTGAGGCAAGTAGTGACACAGTTCACTTATTAGTTTTCTGTTATCCGGGGACTGAGAATACAGTTTGTTAATTTATTGACCCTGCTTCTCCGTCTTCTGGACGTTTGTTATGTCAGTCATTCTTACTGTTAGTTGAGGCCAAAGAAACTGTAATCTAGAAGTTATTTAGTCCTCTACTTAGGGAGTGGGTAGTGAATGAGTCTTTCAAAATTTGATGCAATTATCCAAAATTAGTGAATGTGTATGCGTTTTTCTGAGACAAGTTTCTATACTTTTCATTCAGTTATCAAATAGTCTGTGACCCAAAATATTTAAGTGGCGACTCTAATTTGTCCTTTCTTCTAGCCACATGGCTAAGGAGTTTTGTGAATGAGTAACACAGTCTTGATTAACATGAGGTTTGCAGGCTAGCCTTTGTGTACCTATCTCTAGTTAGTAACTTTTAAAATTAGAGTTGTATCCTTTTGTCAGATGGCTTTCTAATAATTTTCTAAAATGAACATAATAAGTATAACATTGTAAATATTTAAAATATGCAATTTTGTTTGTAGTTTTAAAATCAAAATACTTGATAGTTTCTTGTGTGATGATATATATTTTGAGTAGTATTTTCCAAAGACAATTTATAATATCAACAAAGAAGGCTAACTCATGGCAATATTACAAATATACACGTATCTAGTTGGGGAAAGAATATACTGATTGGACAGAACACTTAATTGGAGAAATTGGGAAAGGAGGTGCCACTAACTCAATATTTGACAATGTATCATTTAACCCTTTACAACTTAGTGAGGCAGGTCTTATTGTGTCCATTTTGCAGATGAGAATATCGAGGCCCAAAGAGGTGAATAGAATATGTAACTTGCTTAAGGTCAATTAGTATGGAACTTCACAGCCCACACTCAGCTGCTACTTTAGCAAACCAAATGAAAGCTAGGGTAATGTTTACTCATTATAAAAAGGATTTCTGGACATGCTTTGGCCTGCAGATAATATTGTATGTGTGACAGGTGGGAGGGGTATGTGTGTGTGTGTGTATGTGTGTATGTATGTATGTATGTATGTATGTGTATGTGAAGAACCAACCAAATATTAGCTCTATAGGTTGCAGTCCTGCCTCCTACCAAAGCCATAGCCAAGTGGAAATACAACTTTTTTTCTTCCTCTTTCATACATTCATTTTCATGTGAATACTTCTCCTTGAAAGTTTGTATATGTTATGTGATTGATCACTTGTCTGAGAGGAATCTTTAGTGTTGACTCTGTCAGAGGCTGTTGTAGGTCACAAGGATATAAAGGTGAATAAGACTCCAGCTGTCTCCTAATGGAGATTGCACTCTACTCTGAGGAGATAGACATGTAGACAAATTATTGCAATACACTGATCTAAATGTTAATAGAGAAAGATGCAGAGTGCTGAGGGAACAGAGTAGCAGACTACAGAGGGAAGGGAAAGGAAAAAATAACAGAGGAGGTGACACTGGAGTCAAAGAAGAGGCATGTGAAACAGCATAGTATGTTTTGGGAATCTTATTTGTTTCACTGTGGCTAAATTATAGATAATTAGTAATATGTTTTAGAACGTAGGAGTGGAAAGGTTGTTATCCCATCCTGAGGGGTTTTGTATATAGAGTTTGGATTTTATTTTGTAGGTAGTAAGGAGCTATTGGAGAATTTTAAGAAGGGAAGTGGGATGATGGGACGAGGTTCTATAGGAGGCAGGTAGCCCAGTTAGAAGACTATTGTGATAGTCTGGGAATATGTGGATGATGAGAATCTGAAATGAGTCATGAATTTTGGAAAATATTTGAAAAATATTTAGAAGATACTGTAGAACAAATTAGGTGACCAAAATGCCTTATATTTATAATACTTTATAGTTTCCAAAATCCTTTAGGTGTGCATGTTATTGGATATTATCAGTAACCCAGAAAAGTAGGTAGTTCAGATGGATTTATTTCCATTTTATATGAGGAAATTGAGATCTTGAAAGATTGTGGCTTAGCCACGGTCACATAGCTGGTGATAGTTTAAGCATGAACCAAATCATAAACTTCAAATATAGGGTTCTTTTTAATTTGTCTGCATCATCTCTATGCAGTGCCTAAGCATACATTAGTTAATATCAAGGCCTGATCACAGTGGGGTGTGAGTTTTAATTTATTCACTTGATATCTCTCTTCATTAGTTATGTTAAGTGCCTAATGGAGAGGGATAGGATCAATTAAATAAGGTAAATGCAACATTTTACAGGTCTATATAAATACCTAGAAAGTGCTTTTCAATTAAGACGGCATGTATGCCAGTGCTTTTTTATATATGAGAATGGTTATGACATTTATTCCTATTTTATTGGAGAGTCTATTGCATGGGACTTGATAATAGTGGCAGGCTGGTATCAGAGACTATGCTTGCTGTAATCAGTGTTAAAGATCAGTATGTAAAGAATCCTTACTTAACATGTACCATGAAATTGATTTTTTATTAGTTATTATAGAGATATTATAGATTATATCTCTACAACATCTTCCTTCTTTTTACCCATAACCTCTAAAAGGCTTAGTGCCAGAAGGAACAGAACTGTATCTTTATTTTCTCATCACATCCTCTCTCAAATAGATAATACTTCCATTGCTGTCTTTCCAACTTGGCTTTGAGTCACTGCTGTGATTCTAGCTGTTGAACAGTCTTTCAAATTAAGTGATTAGTATTCTAGTCAAGGAAAAATTGTGAGCCTGCCATTCTTACCCAGTATTGCTAAGGTAGTTTTACTAAATCTATTATTAGGGTCATGTTCTCAGAGGCATATGACAATTGCATTTCACAAAACTTCCCTAAATATTGATACTTGAGATTTACAGGAAATTAAATCTAAAACCTTACACTTCTGAAGCTGGAGGCACCATAGAGCTGTGAAGTTCAGTATAAAGTCACATCTGTGCTCAATACTTTATAAGAAAAGTTACTCTGCCTTAGTCTTCCTTTACTATTTTTGTCTTACTTGATTAAAATTTTGCTGTTGTATTAACTAATAAATTCAAAGGAAATGTTCTGATTAGTTTCTGTCATAACTGGGAACGATAGTAAGAGTACCTTGGAAAGTATGATAGTCTGTTGCGTAACACTTGCTGGGTAGTAGATATCAATTCTCTGCCTGTTTCAATCTCATTGTGTCTAAAGGTGTGAACCTCTTACCATCTGGATACTTTAGTTTCCCTCTAAATTAAAAAGAAAAAAAGCAAATCTTACCTGTATAGTACCTACGCAAAGATTTTGGAAGATAGTGGGAAGTCATTAAAGTGCTTTTCACCAATTTATGCAATTTACTAGTTGAAATTTGTAACTATTTAAAAATCATTAGTTTTAAAAAATACTATTTTAAAATAGTAATTTACTATTTAATATTTAAAAACCATTGGCTCTTTTAATATATTTCATTGCTTGGTATTAGAATTTTTTATTTTTAGAATAGAGTATATTTAAAGATGACTTTTGCTGTTAAATTTGACAGGCGTGGCAGGAGGCCAATCTAATAAGCCCAAAGGGAGAATTCGCAGAGTATGCAGGTTAAAAGAGCCCTGGAACTGACTTTCTGTGAAGCCTAGGCTATCCATATACATTCCTGCTGAGTGGAGATTTGCTTAAAGTTGACTGTTTTCTTCCTTCTGTACCATCTGATTCCAATCTGCACCTGTCTTTTATAGCTAGAGACCGTTGGATGGCAGCTTAACCTTCAGATGGCTCACTCTGCTCAAGCAAAACTAAAATCTCCTCAAGCTGTGTTACAACTCGGAGTGAACAATGAAGATTCAAAGGTAAGAAATGGTATCCCATTAAAAGGATGTATTTTGTTTGTTAGGACTTAAACTTTTTATTCTTAGCAGTCTTTGCTCTCTGGATTTAGAATTTAAACATAATTCAGTTAAACAGTTATTAATAAGTGGATCTTTTTTGACAGAAATAGCTTATCTTGCAAGGTGCCTTTCTTACAAAAACATTTCATAATGTCTTCTTTTAAATTCTGCAGTGAAAAAAAATTGTTGAAGACCATATAAAATTATGATTTTAATGTTTTAGGTATTTGCAGATATTCCTGAGTGTTTCATGTTTTAAGCTGAATATATGTGGTAGAGAGAATATTGTTTGTTGTCCAGCTAGAGCCTGGAACAATAAATATGATGGTGACCTGAATTGTGTTTTTGTGTGTGTAGTAGTATAGTATGCCTGCATGTGTTTAAATCCCAGCTTTTGAGAAATACAATTTATTTATTTTTTTTGAGACGGTGTCTTGCTGTCGCCCAGGTTGGAGTGCAGTGGCGCGATCTCGGCTCACTGCAGGCTCCGCCCCCTGGGGTTCACGCCATTCTCCTGCCTCAGCCTCCCGAGTAGCTGGGACTACAGGCGCCTGCCACCTTGTCCGGCTAATTTTTTGTATTTTTAGTAGAGATGGGGTTTCACCGTGTTAGCCAGGATGGTCTCGATCCCCTGACCTTGTGATCCACCCCCCTCAGCCTCCCAAAGTGCTGGGATTACAGGCGTGAGCCACCGCGCCCGGCCTACAATTTTTTTTATACCACAGGATTTTACTTTATTATTAATTTCAGAACAACTTGAACGTGATTATTAAAGATCAAAGCATTGCTATGAAATACTTTTTGTTACTGCGGCATATAGGGAAATATATCTTTCAGATATGATAAGAGCTTTTTATCATATTTTATACTGTAATGGATTATCTTTTAAGGTAGAAAAGGGGGAGTGACTTTTTCCTCCTAAGTAGATAAGACTATCTCATCTTAAGACAAAATAGAATTGAGAATGAGGTATTAGAGAAGATCTGAGGCAGGAGATTACAGTGACTGAATGATAATAGAATAATGGAAGAAATGTTATTATTTATAACAGGAATTGAAGGATGGGAATATTATTACTTTTTTGTTAAAACTTTCGCTATTCATTCTATTATGCAGGTTTCTGGCTTCTTTAAGAAGTATCTAGCCCAGATTATATGACTATAAAATTCTGTGGAATTGACTTGAGTCTTACATATAATGTATTAGTTTATTACAGTGTTTCAAAAGTATCATTTTATTTCACACATTTTCACTGGAACGTAATATGAACTTAGTGGTTAGAGTCAAGCTATTAGAGTATGTCTGGTGGTTTCCCTTTATGTGCAGTTTCACTTTCCATAGTTTCAGTTACCCGCGGTCAACTGCCGTTTGAAATAGGTGAGTACAGTACAGTAAGATGAGAGAAAGAGACCACGTCCACATAACTTTATTACACTATGTTGTTGTAGTTGTTCTATTTTATTATTATTGTTGTTAATCTCTTACAGTGCCTAATTTATAAATTAAACTTTATCATAGGTTTGTATATATGGGAAAAAACAGTATATATTGGGTTTAGTACTATCCATGGTTTCAGGCCTCCACTGGGAGTTTTGGAATGCATCCCCCCACAGTGGGCAGGGGGACTACTGTGTGCTCTGCAGTTTAGTGTAGTGTAACCTCAGGCAAATTACTTAATCTTTGATTCTCAGTTTCTTTATCTGTAAAATATAGGTAATAGTATCTATCTACACAATTTTTATGAAGACTAAATACCTAGTATATGTAAAGTGTTTAGTCCAGTGCCCAGTATTACAGCGTGTGCTCAATAAATGCTGGCTACTACCATCATCATCAATAAAACTTTTTTGTTTTTGGCTAAAATAAAGAAATCAATCCATTTGTTTTAATTCAGAGCTCTCACTAAATTTATTTCCTGATGAAGTTATTACCTCTTCCCTTGTTCCTTGCATTCCCTCTCCCTTTTTTCTTGATTATATTTTTCACATGTATCCTTACTGGAAATTAGGAGGGGAAAAAGAGCCTGAAAAGTCCCTTTTGTTTCTTCTGTGAACTGAGTAAGTTATTCCTTTAGGTGTAGGATGATGATCTGGAACTCACTAGCATAGACTGGAGCTATTCCATGAGTGAAAATACATACATACATGCACATTCCAAGTAGCTATATACTTCCTTTGTTTTATTTTTCGTGACTACCTAATGTTAAGTCTGCGTAGCTAAAAGCATTTTGTATGTTGGAAGTGTACTATTTTGACCACATACATTGGATATGCTTTAAGCATCATGAGTTCAGCAATGCTTGTCTTTGGGATTCTCAAGTCCTTCTAGCTTCTTTGTTACATCTTCAAAGTATGCCTATGTGTCTGTTATATTTTTAGGCAGTAGGAATAAAAGAGTAATGCTTCTAGTAAGACAGCCATGTTAATAAGACATTCAGATTATTCAGGAAGATGTGAATATCTAGATGTGAAATCTAACTCATTTGAAATATGAGCTTGAGTACATTTATGTTTTTCTGTGTTTGTATTTTGAGATTTTGGATAGATGCATATATGCACATTGATTAATCTTATAACTTGCAGAGCTAGAGCACCATTTTCATTAACAAATATGCTGAGGAAGAAGAGGAGAAGCACACATACATAAAAGATATTTCTCTTTCATCTTGTATGTAGACTTAAGTGACTTCTTTGTATTGTCTTTCTCTTCTATGGCATTGTACACATTTTGTGCCTGTGTCTTATATCTCCTAAACAATAGACAGACACATAATGAGGTATAGAGCTACCATCACCTAGGCAGAAGCATGCCATCTCCAAGTGTTATGGTGTGCCCTAGCTGTAAAGGAACAGTTAACTACTATACCTCTTTTCCTCAATGAACTGCTGCCTGGAATTACTGCTCTTTCTCTTGTTTACCTTCTCCTTGATTTTATGATTTGGTATTCTATTCTTTGTACTCTTCATCTTATTCCTTATGTTAATTTTTATGTGACTCCTGTTATTAAGGACCACAAACTACTTTTCTTTCAAATATTTACAAATATGAAATGAGAATTCTTCACAGGTTGGAATATTAAGTAAAAAGGAATGAGGGTATAGAGCATGTTTTAAAAAACAAGTTTATTAAAGGAAAGGAAAGCTTTTACAAAAAGGGAGATTAAAAGTTACCACTGCTTAGTTTATGATATAAAGTATCTTAAAGTACAAAACTGTCATACTTATGAAGTTGGTGTTGGTTTAAAACAGGAAGCATTGGGTACAGTTCTCATAAATGTGTATTTTATAGGGTAGTTATCCTGAAAATATACATATATTAAACTACTGGGAGGATTAGAATCACTGTAAATTGTGAGGGATTATTTTGGTTGTATTTACTTTTGAGCTGTTGTACTGAAAACTTACTGTAATTCACTGAAGAGTACGGTTTATAAGGAGCTCCTTATCTTCTTTTTCACTTCTAACATACAAATGAAAAATGCAGCCTGCAGTGAAGTTTTAATTGCTATCACACTGGATAACACTGTTTGACTGTGGTCTCCTTTCTTAGAACACTTCTGTCTCGAGGCTTTCCTGTTTTGCTATTAATTTTATCACAAAAACTAGGTGATTGTAGCTTTCCTGCAGTATTTTGATATGTATTCTAGTTGTTTTTGGTTAATTGTCTTAGTGTTTGTCTACTGTGTTTAGCAAAGTGAGATTATTTTCCTGTTCCACAGATACCTCAAATCGAGTTTTCTGACTTAAAGTTTTTTTCGTTAGGGGGCAGTAGAGTGCTTTGCTTACCTAGCCTTTTCTGGCATTCACAGTGTTATTTGAAATAACATTCAAAATAATTTGTGAAGTCAGTAGTTGAAGGAAATGCTAAGTGTTTACATTTCAAATCTTTATAGAACAATAGAGTTCTCTTATTTATTTCCATAAACAAAATTAATGCTTATTAATCATATACATATAGAACAAATAAATGAAATCATCATGATTTGGCTTTTGAAATTTGTATATGATCATTTGCCAAAATGAAATATATTAAAAGCTTTCTACATTATTGACTTTTTTGTTACATTCTGTCACTTGTATTAATTTCTTCATGAGAAAAAAGAATAAAATAGTCCATAAGATAATTGAATGGCTCTATTAGGTTATGATGTAACTAGTTCTAGGCCCATTGTAGTCAGCTGAAAATTCTTTATTTCTAGAGAGTAATGTCATTTGTAACAAATGTTGATAATTTTGACTGACACCAACACTTTAACTTTGAATATCTTAAAATACTTAAATTTTGCTATTAATCTTAGTACATTTTTTTCCCCAGTAAATTTCCTGTTAAAGACAAACCTGTTTTGTTAATACAGGGATTCCAAATTTTATTTGTGCATCTTTTGAGGAAGGATCCTTGTGTTTCATTTTTTTTTCTTTTACAGTAACTGTGGTAAAATCACCCTGACAGTAGAATTTTTATTTATCTTAATGTTAAATTAGATTATAATCAGATTGCAGAAAGTACTTTATGTAGAAGTAATTATGATTTTGAATGAATTTGGGGCTTCTAATACTAGTTTTCTGACTTAGAGCTCTTCATTCTTATTTCCAAAATATATGACAAATTCTGTTTAGTGTGAGAAAATGGGCAAAAGTTCTTTTTTAAAGTGTTTACTCTGTGCTACACATAGTATCACTTCTTTTTGTGGTTAAAACCTCTCTTCCAGGCATGATTTCTTATTATTCTTATTTTATTGATAAATGGAGACACGGAAGCACAGAGAAGTTAAATAATATTCCCATGTTATACAGATAGTAAACAGTAGACCTAGGATTTGAATCCAGGCAATTTTATTTGAGTTCCAGTTTATCAGTAGGATGCTGTATCACCTTGTTAATTTAATAACTTAGCAGTTGAAATTGTAATATGTGTATATGTTTCAAGGTGTTGAAAGCTGTTGTAAAATGTAAGGTTGTTCATAGGATTATCGTTACATGGACTCTAGATTTAATTTTTCTTTCCCCTTTATTTGACTAAGTTGAAACAATTTTACATTTTTAGTCAATTAGAAACACCATTTATTCTTATGTAGTAAGTAAAGTATAAATGATGTCAGTTCAACAGAGGCTGCCTTTTATTAACAAATATTATTGTAAGGGCTACATGACATCAATGATGTTGATGTGAGCAAATAACTGCATCAGTTAAAAAGAAAAGATGTCCTCAGATCTATTTAGGATAGATTTCTCAGAGAAAAATATGTATGCTATTCAAATCATGAATTCTTGTTATAGAAATTTAAATCTTTTCATCTTAAAGGTGGTGTTAGTATTGACTGATTTGGAATGACCTTCACATTTTTTAGCTACTTATGTGAGTTCGTCTGCATTTTCCTTTTTTTTTTCATTGAAGTATCACGTATCATATCTTTATTAGAATAAATCACACTAAAGCATACTTTCTCACCCTTAATTACACATACAAATGAGATAATTCAACTGATAGGACATAATTCAAATATAAATAAAATCATTCTCTCACATATTTAACATTGTTGAGTGGATTTTAAATTGTATATATTTAAGGTATACGGCATGCTGTTTTGATATAAATATACATAGTAAAATGATTGCTACTATTAAGAAAATTAACCCACCCATCACCTGCCATTATTACCTTTTTTGTGTTTGTGGTTAAAGCACGTAAAATCTATTTTCCTAGCAAAATTTCAGTTTACGATACAATATCATTAATTATAGTCCTGATGCTGTACATCAGATCTCCAGACTTATTTATCCTACATAACTGCAAGTTTATATGCTTTAACCTGCTTCTCCCCATTTTTTCCCTTTCCTTGTCTCTGATAATCTCTGTTCTAATAGGCATTTTTAAAAAATTCCACATATAAGTGAGATCATGCAGTATTTTTCTTTCTACGTCTGGCTTATTTCACTTACCATAATGTCCTCCAGATTCATCCATGTTGTTGCAAATGGCACTATATCCTTTTTCAAGGCTGACTCATACTACTATGTGTGTGTGTGTGTGTGTGTGTGTATGTGTCTGTCTGTATATATGTCTATGCGTATATATATGTACACATATGGACACATACACATACCACAATTTATCCATTGATAGATAGTTACGTTGTTTCCATATCTTGGCTGTTATGAATAATGCTGCAACAAACATGGGGGTGCAGATATCTCTTTAACATACTGGATTCATCTTCTTTGAATATATACCAAGCAGGAGATTCCTGGTAGTTCTAATTTGAATTTTTGGAGGAACCTTCAAACTGTTGTCCTTAATGGCTATACCAATTTACATTTCCACCATCAGTGTACGGGGTTCCCTTTTCTCCACATTCTCACCAGCGTTTGTTGTCTCTTGTCTTTTTGATAATAGTCATTCTAACAGTTGTGAGATAATATTTCATTTTGGTTTTGTTTGCATTTCCCTAATGGTTAGTGATATGGAACATCTTTTCATGTATCTGTTGGCCATTTTTATGTCTTCTTTGGAGAAATTTCTATTTAGGTTCTTTGCCCCTTTTAAAATCAATTAATCTTAGTACATTATTATTATTTTGCTATTGAATTGTGTGAGTTCCTTATACATGTTGTATATTAACCCCTTATCAGATATGTGGTTTGCAAATTTTTCTTCCAGTCTGTAGGCTGTGTTTTTTGTTGATGGTTTCCTTTTCTGTACAGGAGCTTTTAGTTTGATGTAGTTCTACTTGTTTATTTTTTGCTTTTGTTCCTCAAGCTTTTGGTGTGATAATTCAAAATATCAGACTAGGATGAACATCAAGGAGCTTTTTCTCTGTGCTTTCTTCTAGGAGTTTTATGGTTTCAGATCTTATGTTTAGGTCTTTTATCTCTTTTGAGTTTGATTTTTGTGTATGGTGTAAAGGTCCAATTTCATTGTTTTCACATGGATATTCAGTTTTCCCAGCACCATTTATTAAAGAGACAATTCTTTCGTTATTGCATCTTCTCGGTAGCCTTGAGAAAAATTAATTGAACATGTATGCTTGGGTTATTTCTGGGCTCTCTATAGTATTCCTTTTGTCTGTGTATCTGGCTTTATGCCAGTACCATACTATTTTGGTTACTATAACTTTATAATGTAATTTAAAATTAGGAAGTGTGATACATCTAACTTTGTTTTACTTTCTCAAGATTATTTTGGTTATTCCATGCGAATTTTAGAATTTTTTTTCTCTATTTCTGTGAAAAAATGCCATTGGAATTTTGATGGAATTGCATTGAATCCATATATTGCTATGGGTAGTATGGACATTTTAACAATGTTAATTCTTCCAATTCATGAACGTGGGATATCTTGCTATTTAATTATGTCATCTTCAATTTCTTTAATCAGTGTGTTATAGTTTTCAGAGCTTTCACTTCTTTAGCTATATTTATTTATAGGCATTTTATTCTTTTTGCTCTCCTAGCAATGGTATAGTAGCGGGGGGCTGGGAAGAGGGGTGGTGGCTGGGAAAGTGGGAGCACATAAATAAGATTGTTTTCTTGATTTCTTTTTAAGCTAGGTCATTATTTTTGTGAAGAAATGCATCTGATTTTTGTATGGTGATTTTGTAAGGTGTATGCTACTTTACTGAATTTATTTGTTCATTTAACTTTTTTGTGGCGTTTTAAGGGTTCTTTTTCTTTAAATGTAGGATAATGTCATCTGCAAACAGGAATAATTTTATTGTCCTCTCTCAAGTGAAATGATTTTTTAATATTGCCTGCCTTTTTTTAAAAATCATGATTCATTTTTCTGTTACCAAAGCTGTATGTGCTTACTGTAGAAAACTTAGAAATTATAGAAACGTGAAAGGAAAAACTGTTAAACTTACCACAAAGATGCAGGTAATCCATTTGTTTTATTTTATTTAGTGTTTATTCAACATAAACTTTTTCTCCAGTCTGATTATAGGACTTGTTTAATTTTATATTCTACCTTTTTTCACTTAATGCTGTAACAAATCATTTTTTATATCATTTCAAACTCATCATTAATATATTCTAAATGACTGCATTATGTTATGGCTATGACAGACATATTAGGATTTCTTAATAATTCTTACCCTGTCAAATACTGGGTTTGTTTCTAGTATTTTCCTGTTACATTGTAATAAACATCTTTGTGAATATATACTTAGATGCTCAGTAAACCTTTATGCATTATGAATGAATTAGAGAAGCCTTCTTAGGATTTAGGGTTATTCCTCAAGAGGATGATTACTAGGTGAAAGGGTATAAACCAAAATAAAACAAAACATCTTATTTAGTTTGATAAATGGCTTTCTGAAATCATTTTGGGGAATATACACAGAAACGCAAACGTTGCATTCAGAAGATTTCTTAGCTTCTAGAGAAAGATATAACACTATTTCAAAAATAGGTTCTTTAATAACTAGGTAATTAATTACTTTGGATTTTAGGAGGCCAGTAAAAAGCCCAGATATTTTTGTAATATTATAGCGCCCCCTCTTTTAAACTTTTGTATTACTTTAGTGCACAAATTAAACAAGCTTTTGTTATGTGTATTTTGTTTTATTATAGAACATGTAGAAGGAATCTGATCAAATACTCAAGCAGTTAGAGAAAATAGAAATAACTCTTATGTGTTAGATAATTGCCAAGATACTTTGAAAACAAAGCCTGCTTCTTTGGAATCAAATTTATTTAAATATTTTTAAGGCTTTGTGACTCTGGTTTCCTGATTCTTTGTTTTGTATCCTTTTTCATTGTGATCAATTTCTCAATGAAATTATCCTTCAAGGTTTTACGTTTTCTAAATAACAGCAATACAGAAATGTTTTCCCTCAATTTAATGTGTGTTTTTGGTTTTTTTTTTTTTTTTTGGTTTTGTGGTCAACATGACTTTTTAAAAGACAATATTATGTAGTCAGGTATATTGATACAAATCATATGTATATAATTTCTGCATAACGCAATGCAAACTTCCTCCATATATGTGGGTGTGTGTGTAAGATTTTTTCATATTTCAGGCTGTCAAGTGGAAAGTCTACATTTATCCATAATAAGATTTTATAAGCTAACAAAAATACTGTTTCAGATGCTACTTACCTTTGAAGAGTGAAAATACACAATATTAATACACCATTAGAGGTTAGTATTTATGTGGAGAAAATGATAATAGAGACTTGGAGGAGAAAATCTCTGTTAAAAATACTCCAAACATTTTAGGCAATTTAGAATTAAAATATTGTTTTACTAAAATTCTTTTAAAAATTTTGTGGGATTCCATAGTAAAGAAACAAATACTGTCTTCACTTGTCTTTTCTAGCTTCTGAATCGTGTAGTCTCTGAAACCCAGAGGCAGTTGATAAATACAGAATTTTTAAAACAGAATATGTTTAGAAGTACCTTTAAATTTCATTAGATACCTTTTCATGTATTAGAAATGACAGTAATGTAAATGAATAATATAAATATTTTGACATAAAAGTATTAACAATGAATTAGACATCTGGACAAGTAAAATGCTCAATTCAATAAAGTAAATATGCACTAACTTTTTAAACATCTTGAATTCAGTTCCAGAAATAGTTTTTAAGCATTTACTACATGTGAGTTACTAGGCAAGGTATTCGTGATATAGGCAGGTTTTATTTTCTGTCATGGAGCTTATGGGCTAGCAGGAAATACATATGTTAAGCCAGTAAATATAAGTTTGATGACTAGTACAAAGGAGGAAGTACATGGAAACCAATAGCAAGGAATTAGAAACTGTGACAGGCAGAGAAGTTTTCAGATGGAGGAAAAAGCACCTGAAAGACGACAGGTTTATTTTTTGAGCATTTCAAATATGGAGGTACCTGAGATATCCAGGTGGAGATTGTCAGGTTTGTAGTCTGAGACATGGGAGCAAATTGTAAACTAGAAATTGAGGTTTGGAAATCATTGAGTTTATAATTTCAGTCATGAGAATGGAAGAGATCACTTAGAGGATATATTAGAACTAACATTTAAATGACAAGTAGAATTGAAGGAGCTTATGACAGTGATTGGGAAGGAACAGCCAAATACCAAAGGAAGAGAGCATTTCTTAGGGGTGAATCATGTCACATGTTGCTACTAAGTAAAGTTAGAGGGAAGCAGGGTCAGAGAGAGAAGATAATAATTCTCACAGCCATGAAGTAGGTGCTAGTATTTTCCTATTAACTAGATGAAGAAACCCAGACTCAGTGGTTAAGTATCTTTCTCTAAATTGGATACTAGAAAGTGATGGTGCTATAATTTGAACCCAGGTCTGTCTGACTCCATAGTCTGAGCTTATAATCACTACATAGTGTTAAAAAATGAATTTAGTGACATGGAGATCATTGGTGATCAGTTTGTGGGACAGGAGAAGGAAATATTTCAAGATGGAGGGCAGTATTGGATGCTATTTGAGAGGTCAGAAAAGAGAAGAATGGACATGTGACTGTTGGATTTTGTAAAATGGACTTCTCTGATAACCTAGACAATTATGATTTCAATAACAATTGAGAGGAGAAGAAAGAAACCTAATTGGGATAAACTGACGAAAGAATATGAGGTGAGAGTGGAAGTAGTGATACAGGTAACTTTCGGAAATAGGACAGTTTATGTAGGGGAATGTGGATTCAGTAAATGGAGATACTAGAGGAGGTTTGTATGCAGATGCCACAGATCCATTGGGGGAGAAAATGATGCAGAATGGAGAGGGATATATTAATACATTTCTTGAGAAAGTGAGATGTGAGATTCAGAGCACAAACGGAAAGGTAGGATTCAATCAGAGTGGGAACATTTCACTTGTCTTCATAGAGAAGAGTATGGGTCAGGTGAGTGGTTTTGATGGTGGAAAGAGAAAGTTGCAATGATCTGATTGCTTCTGTTTTCTCAATGCTGCTGTCATGAGGTTGGGAGAATGGGGCGGTTCTAGTAGGTTTGAGAACAGAGGACAAAGTGTGAAATGGTTATTTTGGATATTGGACAATTGAACAAACTGGGTATTTTAGGGTATTTTTACTATTACTACACAGTGCTGATTGCCCAATTGTGATTTGTGATCACGACTTTGAGAGGAGAACTGTTGGCAGGTTGTGTAGTTTTCTTCATCTATTTTTAATTGCTCAGGTGCACATGTGGAGTAGGTGGATAATTGGGTTTAATCATGCTTTTATCTTTGCCGGGTGTTGTCAGTGGAGGGTGAAAAGGACAAAGGGTTTGTCTGTGTCTATGAAAGAGTAAATTTTAGTAACTGACCCTGGAGTCTAAATTGGGCCAGGTGGAAAGTGAGGATATTGTGTATGTGTGTTCGGGGCAGGGTGGTAAGTGATGAGAGGGAGAAACTATCTAGAAATATGCTGGAACCTAGCCATACTCTCTGATGTGGTTAGGCTTTGTGTCTGCACCCAGATCTCATCTTGAATTGCAATCCTCACAATCCCCACAATCCCCACGTGTCAAGGGAGAGACCAGGTGGAGGTAGTTGAATCATGAGGGTGGTTCCCCCATGCTGTTCTCCTGATAGTGAGTGAGTTCTCACGAGATGTGATTGTTTTATAAGGGGCTCTTACCCCTTTGCTCAGCACTTCTCCTTCCTGCCAACTTAAGAAGAAGGTGTCTTGCTTCCTCTTCGCCTTCTGCCATGATTGTAAGTTTCTTGAGGCCTTCCCAGCCATGCTGAACTAAACTGTGAGTCAATTAAACCTCTTTCTTTTATAAATTACCCTTTCTTGGGCAGTTCTTAATAGCAGTATGAAAATGCAGTAATACAGCTTTCCTAGAGGTTTATAGAGGAGCCTCAAATAGATGCATTATTTTCCAGGATCACTCAGTGACTTTTAATTTGAGTCTTGAGATGTCTGTGGCTTGACCTGGTGTACAGTTTATCTGTTAAGACAAAGAAGTGGATACATGTAAAACTTGAAAGCTGGTCTTTTGCGAACCTTTACCCTGCATCACCTTGGAAACAAGTGGTCTAATTATATGAAGATTTATTCTGTATCCTAGGAGTTCCCAATGTGTGTCCAGTGGCTACTCGTTGATCTCTTGCTTCCTTGGTTGATAATATACCCAGCATCTGCTGGAGATAGTAGAGTATTAATTTCATAATGAGCCCATTACCCCAGTGATACTATATCCAGAAATCAATTAAAATGTGAGAATTTTGTATGTTGTTTGAATTATATTAGCTTTTGAACATCAGTGGTGATTTTTGGAATTGTTTTTCTGAATCTGGTATTCTTATTTTGAGGGTATTATTGTAAATTTTACTTCAAGACAGAGTAAAGATGTCTAGATTAAGTTTTCTTATGAGTAATTTGCATTATTGGATACTGAATCCAGTCCCAATTATTTTGGCAATAAAAGGAGTTGACAAACACTTCTTTCCTGGCATAGTTTAAATAAGATTTTAAGCATGTTTACGGTGTTAGTTACTATGTGAATACTTAAATATGTCTTTAATGGATTGTGGGGATTTTAGTCTTTTCAGATTTTTTCTTTCCTTTATATGAGAATTATTTAGAGGAAGTTAAACTTATATGAAGAGGAAGAATACTTGTAACTATATATTTCTCAGAAGAAATTATTGGGCACTTTTGGCTGTTTTGATGGTATTGGGAGAAGGGAAGATTATTCTATTAAGTTTTCATATAAAATCTCTTTATTTTTGTTTTTCAAAGTTTCTCAGCTGTCCTTAATACTTATGATCCAAAGCTGCAACCTTTCAGAAATGCCATGTCCATATTTTAAAAAACTAAAATGCTTTAAGGATTTAATCAGATCCTCGAGTCTTATATCACAGGACTTATTTGGAAATGTGGCCATCCCGAGATAGCTAATGATGATGAGTCTGGTTTGGGTGTTTTCTTTTTGCATATTTAGCATCAACCCAGCACCATCGGTTCTGTGTTTTTGGTGTGTATCTGGATGATGTATTTGAGAATCTGCTGAAGACAGCTGTTCGGTTAGTGCACAAGGAACAGTCAATTTTAGTTACTTTATCATATGCTGGAGATTGATATTCATAAAGCAGTGGGAATATACCGTAACTAGGGTCATTGATGAACAAAGGGATAGAAATGGGGTTGATGAAGCAGTATTATTCTTTATCTCACGAATTATCCTAACCTTTGCTACCAGCACAAAGAAGAGACAGATAGGATTAATATAATCGAATTTTTACAAACTCATTTTAACTTGCTTGTTTCGTAAATGTTTGATTCCTAAGTATAATCAATGAATAGCAAATTATACAGTATTTTAAAAAATATATCATATTTTAAGCTTTTAAAAATTGGTTGACTATCTGAAATTGACATAAATTTTGCTTATAGTCAGTAACTGCTATTATGACATCAGTGAAACTGTATGTTGTGATTGTTGCGGCTGGTTAACCAAAACATGTATTTCACAAATGACATGTAATGGGTGAAGATGAAATGTAATGGAAAATGAATGTGTAGAAAGAAATTCTTGTTTATTTCATGTTTAAAGAACCTTGATTTTGTCTTTTAAAAAATTATTTTATACTTTTTAAAAATTACACAAGTAATTTACATTGAGGAAAAATAAAAAAATGTAAGAAAATAAAATTCACCTAGAATCCTACCTAGAGGTAATCACTTTGAGTGACGTATTTAATTGGCATATATCTTTCCAAGTCTGTCCATTGTAAACTAGTTGTCTTTCCCCATAAAGCATTATATTGTAAACAACATCTTTTATTGTCAGTACATGAGCTTCTACTCAGCAACATCATTTTAAATGACTACATAGGATTCTGTTGTTTGTATGTTCCATTTCTTATTTCTTTTTTTGGTAAATATAATTTATTTATTCAAATAGTCCTTCAGCAGTACATTTGCCTTTAAAGCCATATTTAAAATACTATATACTAACATGTTGACTAAAGTGATCAAGAAGATTTTAGAAATTCTATTCATGTAAATTCTGTTGGAATTCTAGTAATTGCTAAAATATTAGATTTTTATTGCTGAGAGACTTCCTTTTTCAGGGATTAACATGTTTAGACATATAGTTTAGAATGTCTTTTAAAACTATATGTGTGTTTGTTAATTCATGAGGTTTCTAAACCATGAGATTTTGCTCCTTCCCTTTCTTCCTCTCTTTCTCTTTCCCCCTCTTGGCTTCTTCTTTATGATAGAGTAGATACGAAGTTTCTTTCAGACATAAAGAAGTTCTACCCTATCCATTATAAAGGGGTAATTTTACCCATATTTAATGTGCTGCTACCTCCTTGGTGAGAGCAGTACCATAAATATCCCAGGATAACACCTTTGTTGTTGTCAACAGTAAAATGACCAGAATTGTCTAGGTACAACTTCATTTATGGAATCAGCAAAGGCTGGTGGAATTTTCTAGCCGAAAGGGATCTTAAGTGGATTTGTCAATGGATTCTTTTTTTTTTCTTTTCTGACAATGGATTCTTAATATGACACCAAAAGCATGAGCAATCAAAGAGAAAAGATAAATTGAACTTCATTAAAATTGAAAACTTTTGTGTATCAAAGAACATTGTCAAGAAATTGAAAGGACAACCTGAAGAATGGGAGAACACATTTTAAAATTACATATATTATGGGATTTGTATTTGTTTTTTTGTATTTTATTATTATTATACTTTAAGTTTTAAGTTTTAGGGTACATGTGCACAATGCGCAGGTTAGTTACATATGTATACATGTGCCATGCTGATGTGTTGCACCCAATAACTCATCATGTAGCATTAGGTATATCTCCTAAAGCTATCCCTCCCCCCTCCCCCCACCCCACAGCAGTCCCCAGAGTGTGATATTCCCCTTCCTGTGTCCATGTGTTCTCATTGTTCAATTCCCACCTATGACATAGTGAGAATATGCGGTGTTTGGTTTTTTGTTCTTGCGATAGTTTACTGAGAATGATGATATCCAATTTCATCCATGTCCCTACAAAGGACATGAACTCATCATTTTTTATGGCTGCGTAGTATTCCATGGTATATATGTGACACATTTTCTTAATCCAGTCTATCATTGTTGGACATTTGGGTTGGTTCTAAGTCTTTGCTATTGTGAATAGTGCCGCAATAAACATACGTGTGTGTGTGTCTTTATAGTAGCATGATTTATAGTCCTTTGGGTATATACCGAGTAGTGGGATGGCTGGGTCAAATGGTATTTCTAGTTCTAGATCCCTGAGGAATCGCCACACAGACTTCCACAATGGTTGAACTAGTTTACAGTCCCACCAACAGTGTAAAAGTGTTCCTATTTCTCCACATGCTCTCCAGCACCTGTTGTTTCCTGACTTTTTAATGATTGCCATTCTAACCGGTGTGAGATGGTATCTCATTGTGGTTTTGATTTGCATTTGTCTGATGGCCAGTGATGGTGAGCATTTTTTCATGTGTGTTTTGGCTGCATAAATGTCTTCTTTTGAGAAGTGTCTGTTCATGTCCTTTGCCCACTTTTTGATGGGGTTGTTTGTTTTTTTCTTGTAAATTTGTTTGAGTTCATTGTAGATTCTGGATATTAGCCCTTTGTCAGATGAGTAGGTTGCGAAAATTTTCTCCCATTTTGTAGGTTGCCTGTTCACTCTGATGGTAGTTTCTTTTGCTGTGCAGAAGCTCTTTAGTTTAATTAGATCCCATTTGTCAATTTTGTCTTTTGTTGCCATTGCTTTTGGTGTTTTAGACATGAAGTCGTTGCCCATGCCTATGTCCTGAATGGTATTGCCTAGGTTTTCTTCTAAGGTTTTTATGGTTTTAGGTCTAACGTTTAAGTCTTTAATCCATCTTGAATTAATTTTTGTATAAGGTGTAAGGAAGGGATCCATTTTCAGCTTTCTACATATGGCTAGCCAGTTTCCCCAGCACCATTTATTAAATAGGGAATACTTTCCCCATTTCTTGTTTTTGTCAGGTTTGTCAAAGATCAGATAGTTGTAGCTATGCAGTGTTACTTCTGAGGGCTCTGTTCTGTTCCATTGATCTATATCTCTGTTTTGGTACCAGTACCATGCTGTTTTGGTTACTGTAGCCTTGTAGTATAGTTTGAAGTCAGGTAGTGTGATGCCTCCAGCTTTTTTCTTTTTGCTTAGGATTGACTTGGCAATGCGGGCTCTTTTTTGGTTCCATATGAACTTTAAAGTAGTTTTTTCCAATTCTGTGAAGAAAGTCACTGGTAGCTTGATGGGGATGGCATTGAATGTATAAATTACCTTGGGAAGTATGGCTATTTTCATGATATTGATTCTTCCTACCCATGAGCATGGAATGTTCTTCCATTTGTTTGTATCCTCTTTTATTTCGTTGAGCAGTGGTTTGTAGTTCTCCTTGAAGAGGTCCTTCACATCCCTTGTAAGTTGCATTCCTAGGTATTTTATTCTCTTTGAAGCAATTGTGAATGGGAGTTCACTCATGATTTGGCTCTCTGTTTGTCTGTTATTGGTGTATAAGAATGCTTGTGATTTTTGTACATTGATTTTGTATCCTGAGACTTTGCTGAAGTTGCTTATCAGCTTAAGGAGATTTTGGGCTGAGACAGTGGGGTTTTCTAGATATACAATCATGTCATCTGCAAACAGGGACAATTTGACTTCCTCTTTTCCTAATTGAATACCCTTTATTTCCTTCTCCTGCCTAATTGCCCTGGCCAGAACTTCCAACACTATGTTGAATAGGAGTGGTGAGAGAGGGCATCCCTGTCTTGTGCTAGTGTTCAAAGTGAAAGCTTCCAGTTTTTGCCCATTCAGGTATGATATTGGCTGTGGGTTTGTCATAGATAGCTCTTATTATTTTGAAATACGTCCCATCAATACCTAATTTATTGAGAGTTTTTGGCATGAAGCGTTGTTGAATTTTGTCAAAGGCCTTTTCTGCATCTATTGAGATAATCATGTGGTTTTTGTTTTTGCTTCTGTTTATATGCTGGATTACATTTATTGATTTGCGTATATTGAACCAGCCTTGCATCCCAGGGATGAAGCCCACTTGTTCATGGTGGATAAGCTTTTTGATGTGCTGCTGGATTTGGTTTGCCAGTATTTTATTGAGGATTTTTGCATCAATGTTCATCAAGCATATTGGTCTAAAATTCTCTTTTTTGGTTGTGTCTCTGCCCAGCTTTGGTATCAGGATGATGCTGGCCTCATAAAATGAGTTAGGGAGGATTCCCTCTTTTTCTATTGATTGGAATAGTTTCAGAAGGAGTGGTACCAGTTCCTCCTCGTACCTCTGGTAGAATTCGGCTGTGAATCCATCTGGTCCTGGACTCTTTGGTTGGTAAGCTATTGATTATTGCCACAATTTCAGAGCCTGTTATTGGTCTATTCAGAGAGTCAACTTCTTCCTGGTTTAATCTTGGGAGTGTATATGTGTCGAGGAATTTATCCATTTCTTTTACATTTTCTAGTTTATTTGCATAGAGGTGTTCGTAGTATTCTCTGATGGTACTTTGTATTTCTGTGGGATCGGTGGTGATATCCCCTTTATCATTTTTGTTGTGTCTATTTGATTCTTCTCTCTTTTCTTCTTTATTAGTCTTGCTAATGGTCTATCAATTTTGTTGATCCTTTCAAAAAACCAGTTCCTGGATTCATTAATTTTTTGAAGGGTTTTTTGTGTCTGTATTTCCTTCAGTTCTGCTCTGATTTTAGTTATTTCTTGCCTTCTGCTAGCTTTGGAATATGTTTGCTCTTGCTTTTCTAGTTGTTTTAATTGTGATGTTAGGGTGTCAGTTTTTGATCTTTCCTGCTTTCTCTTGTGGGTATTTAGTGCTATAAATTTCCCTCTACACACTGCTTTGAATGTGTCCCAGAGATTCTGGTATGTTGTGTCTTTGTTCTCATTGGTTCAAAAGAACATCTTTATTTCTGCCTTCATTTTGTTATGTACCCAGTAGTCATTCAGGAGCAAGTTGTTCAGTTTCCATGTAGTTGAGTGGTTTTGAGTGAGTTTCTTAATCCTGAGTTCTAGTTTGATTGCACTGTGGTCTGAGAGACAGTTTGTTATAATTTGTGTTCTTTTACATTTGCTGAGGAGAGCTTTACTTAAATGAATATAGAAGAAGAATACCACTTCCTTAATTACTAATATTCTATTGTAGGCTACTTGAACTCTCTCCCTGTGGGATTTTTTTTCACAGTGACCTTTCAGAGAGTATGAGCTGTGAAAGAAGAAATCCACAGGGATAGTATGGCAGTGTGCCAACTGTAAATGTAGATAAAAAATCTGGCTACTATATCATCATCCTCAATTTTAATACTTTGTATTTACTTAGTAGCTTTCAGCTATAGGACTCAAAAGTCTACAAATAGCCTCAAAACACCCCATTGAGGCAAGCATAGAGTAATCATTATTTTTTGTTAAAAGAGGAAGTGAATGGTGTTATTTAATTGTCAGTTTTAGAATAAGAGAATAAAACATCTTTTAAAAATATGCTGCTAGTTACAGCATGGTCTTTTTTTAAAATGAGAAACCAGAAGTTTTTCTCCTTCATGTTAAGGGATGGTCCAATTTTCATCCCCATTTTCCTTTGGTTATTTTTGCCACTTTTTTACTGATTGTAATTATGTGTTGACCTCATTTGATTCTAAAGTATAAGAAAATATGAGAATTATAAGCATAAACTTTAAGTAGTTTCATTGACCTATTTTAATTTGTGAAATCTTTTTTTGCTATAAACAGATGAGTACAATAATTTATAGGTAGCTTTGTGAGTGGGTATTTTGTTTCCAGCTATACAGAAGTTGCATAATAGCTACCCACTCAGGTATTTTAGATTGGCATGGTAGTAACTGTTTAATAATAAGACTGCTACTACATAATAGCATATTTGTGCATCTTTTCGACACTACACATGAATGACCTTTATGAATAAAATAGTGCTACCTAATTCTATATATTTTGGCTATATGTTTCCTAAAAGTGATAATCTTTGGAGATGGACAGATCTTACATAGGTTAAGATACAGGATAAGTTTAAAAATACAAATTAAAATGGAGTCTAATTAATAGTCGTTCCTGAAAAAATATAAGCCTTTCCCATGAGGACATTTTCTGTCAAGAGGTAAGTGTGGGTCAGGCTCATTTGGAGGCTGAGGGGGCATCTGATTTCTTCATAATATTATATAAAATTTGTGAGTGGCTAAGCTACCTCATTGTTTCTTCTGTGGATAAGGGCCTGCTGCCTTGAATTCTAGTCAGCCTGGATGGGTGGGGCTGATCTAAGCTGAGGGTCTTGATAGCTGCAGAGCACACAGTAATCATCATACCTGATAACACCATATTGAAATGATCAAGACAATAATGATAATAGATAGCATTTATTGACCAATTAATATGTGCCAGGTATTGTTCTGTGGGCTTTTATGTTTTTTTCTCATTGGAGCTTTGCAATTAATAAGCAGTGAGTTACTTCTTTTATTGGCCCAGAGGGCTGAAAATAATTTGCAGCTTAATAAAGTAGCTACTTTGCTTCTATAGTGATTGGTTTGCCACCTGTTTTAAGTGTGGGCCATGGCTTCTCTAATAAACCCTATTCTTTATCTTGCTCTTAAACATTTTGTTTTGATAGCCATGAAACCCTCCTCAGGGTAGGTGATTTATTTCCATTTGCCAAATGTGAAGAGTGAGAGAATGACCTTGATAAAGGGTTGGGTTGAGAATTGTTCCTGTTTTTTTCCTGGTGGGGCTTTACGGGTGATGGAGCACTTAGAATACTAGAGAATTAGAGAATTTAGGGGCATAAAATAGAATCCATACTGGATTTTATTAGAGCTTAGCCACTCAACCACAATAAAAGTAGGCAAGAGGTCAGCTGAGATACTGATTGACTTCATATGCCCTTGGAACAGACAGGCAGTGTCTGAGGGGACCTGAGTTCCCAGCCACCCAGCCTCAAGCTGCGTTATTACTTAACTGCTTTGTAGAGTGTAAACATTATCATTTTCTGTCAGTGCCAGAATGTGAGTTAGGCTTGGGAAGCATAATTTCACTCAGAAATGGAAAGAAGAAGAAATGTTATTTTGTTACTTTTATTTTTAAACTAGTTCTCTCTCCTATTGTTTAATTGATGATGAGATATATAAATATTCATATTGGATTTAAAACTTGAAATTTGTACTGGGTAGTTTATTGTTAGTGATGTCAAAAGTTATAGCATAAAAGTTACTTGCATAAAAGTGTAAACATTTCCTGAGCAATGCAATATGTGGCCACCAGTCAGTTGTGTTAGTTGACAAAGGGCAAACATGACCTGTTTTCTGAGAGTGCTGTTCACCTGGGTTCTTTTCATTTTCAGTACTCCTTTTGGAGAAGTTTGGTTTACTAGTAGTTTCAGGTAATCTTTGGAGCTCTGATATAAAAATTCTTTCAGATAGTTTAGGTAAGACTTATACATTAAGTGATTTATATGGCAAGTTGGCCCAAAGTCGTATACATAGGCCACCTTTATTCATCACACAGTTTTCCTTAATCCTCATCTCTGCCAGCCTTGACCACAGAACTTACTTTTCTTTTTCTTTTTCTTTTTGCACATACATTTTAAAGTGAGTGATAGCCCTTCATTTTTTTTTTTTTAATATACAGTGGGACCTCGTTTAGGGAGGGATGGAATTTAGGGTCTCACTTTAGTGCAAAAGGTAATAATCTCAGAGACAAGGCTGTTCTTGAGAGGGAGCGGGAGTGCTTTGGGAAAGTACCACATTGGATCCCAGTATAACATTTCTAAATAAGTCCATGATAGCTATGCTATTTTTCTTTAGCAGTTTTGTTGGAACTGTTGCTGTTTCTTTAGTTAAGCACTCAGAATACATTTATGTATCTTTTAACATTGGTATCATCTTTAGCACACATGAGATCCTGGAAACATATGAGACCTTGGCATACATTGACTGAGTAAACAGCAGATTCACCTTTTCCATCTCACAGTCACTCTAGGGCTTACACTTTTTCAGGGGAATTGTGGACTTAATTGTCTGCATTATTTAGTTATTCTATTTCTGGTTGCAGAGTTTATAGTTGAATTAATACAAGTGAATCATAGTTAAATTCACATAAATATGAAGTTTCTATTAACTGATGACTTGGGTTGTTTGTGCATTGTCCTTATGTTTTATTTATATATGCCATCAGAATCTTCAGATTCTCATTTCTTTGAATTTAAAAACGCTACTATTTTCATTAAGAAAGTCTCCTGTCTGTTTCCATTTTCTACTGATTTTAGCATCAGAGGCTGTTAGGGGAGATAAAAGATTCTTAAATATATATTCTATATTTGTTAGATAAATGTATTTTTGTAAAAATTTTGTAGATAAACAGACATCCTGTGTATTCTGGTAAGAAAAAGAGAGGATAGTATAGATGATTGCTGCTAATTTTTAAATTGACAAAGTGAGGAATGTGACTATATTGGTTTAATGAGTGCCTAATTTGAAGAATTCTAACATAGTTGTTTTTTCCCCTCCATATGTGTTGATTGTGATTCTATTGCTTTCAGCCAAATTATTTTAATTAGATTTAGATTCAGGAATGACTGCCTCCCACAGTTTCTACTCTTGTAGGCTTTACTTACACTGCTTTAAACAATAGGGGTTTACCTTTATATTAGGAGCATTAATTATCTATTAATTTTCCTCATTTAGAACCATTAAATTTAATATATCACATTTATTAATATAAGAGAAAATTATAGAAGTCAATTATCTTAACAAATTGAGGTCCTACAATTTTTGAGAAGTGTTAAGTTTATTATATTTAAAAAAGTCTAGCTGAGGATTACTATTTGTGGTTTCTTTTTTCTTCATGTTAATAATAATGTAGAGAGTGCTTAGACTTTGTTACTAAATAGCTGTGTGCCCTGAGACCAAAACATTTCACCTCCCTGGCCTTCCTGCATTTATGTACAAAATAAAGGGTTAAGCTGTCCTACTATCCAGTTCCAAAATAACTCTGTATTATATTTTTGACAAATAATAGAGAATAAGGTGAAGGACCAGTGGTGGCACTGGTATGTAGTAAAAACAGTACAGGGTTTGTTATCACACTGTCTTGACACTTAGGAAGTTGCTAGAGGATGTCAAGCAGATTACTTAACTGATTGAGGCTCAAATTCTGATCTGAAAATTGGAACAATAGTAGGTGCCTCACAAGGTTTTTCTGGAAATTAAATATGACAGCAAATATAAAAGCATCTATTACAGTACAGTTTCATTCATTGATATCTTCATTTCCTTGAAGAGGTCTTTCCAGATTGGGGCTGGAGAATTAAAATGCTCAGGTTCTTACAACACCATTATTTGAGCTGGAAAATATGCCCTTTAAGCAACATTTTCGTTCTACTTCATATCTATAGAAAGTTGGGGGCCTGAAGGCCTTTTGAATTTTGAATACTTTCCATCTCTTTTAGTCTAGGTGGTATCACTTTGGCCAGTACAACTCTTAGAATTTTTGTAGGCATTCTTTAATCTAATTCCATAACCCCCTCAAGTTAGAAGAAGTTCTTTATAATTCTTTTAGAGACATTAACAAAGGGTTTTGTAGTTACTCTTCTGCTTTGATCTGTCCCAGACTATATTGTATTTGGAGACTATTTTGCCAGCTTATACACTGGAGATGAGAAGAGTTGTATTTTCCAACCCTGCACAGTCCTTGCCCCCTTTATTTTTTCTAAATTCTCCTTGTAACTGATCAGTTGTTTGTTTAGCTCATCTCTTTGTTGCCATATTGCCTTATGGTGTACAGTTAGGAACAACCAGTTGATTTTCAGTTTTCTGCCTAGAGATCTCAGGCAAATCCAAATGTTTATTAAGTAAATATTTCATCCTCTGAGTTTTATAGGGAACACAATTTTGCCGATTTTTTGTTGCTACATATCAGAAGTTCCTATTTTTTCAGCCACCAATAACAATTTTTTAATGAATTTCTAGTTTTTCCTAATAGATTGCTCACTGTTTTTCAAGCTGAAGGCCACTGTTTAACTCCAAAACCAATACTACATATTTTATTTTTATTTTTTTAAATTGTGGCAGGACCTTACCTTTGGTAACATCAGTTAGCTATTGCTAATAACATACCATTTCAAAATGTAGTGGTTTAAAACAATAACCATTTATTATTGTTCACAAGTCTGTAGGTGGGCAAGGCAGTTGGCTGGCTGGGCTTGGCTGATCCAAGGCTGACTTGCTCATGTTTCAGCAGTTTGCCGGGTCTAGTTTGGGATGATTTTAATCAGTGGGATGAGTGGACTTTATGTCGGTTATCATTTAGCAGGTTACCCTGGGCTGTTCACTTGGTTCAGAGACAGCAGAAAAGATGTAGGATAGGTCTTTGGAGATCTGGTACAGAACAGGCACACCGTTATTTTCATCATATTCTGTTGGCCAAAGGAATTTGAAAGAATAGGCCAGATTTAAGGAATAGGGAAGTAGATTCTAATTGTTGATGGAACATGCTGCAAAGTCACACTTCAAAGGTTATGTTTATAGTGAGAGGTGAAGAATTGGAGTCATTTTTGCAATTTACCAAAATATATGTGTTTAATTTTAAAGTAGTTGTACAGTTTATACTCCCACCAGCAGTGTATATAAGTTGTGATTGTTCTACATCATGTCCAGAACTGCTAGTAACAGTCTTTTTAGTTTTAGCTATTTTGGTGGGTGTCTAGTGGTATTTTATTGTGGTTTTAATAGTCTCAATTGCTAAGATGGCTTTCCTTTACTTTTTTTTTTTTTTTAGTCAACCATTTGAATATCTACTTTTGTGAAAGGGAAGGGGAGGTGTGCCTCCAAAGTCTGTGTTACCTTTTGGGCTGCCATTTCTTCTAGATCCTGGCCTGTAAATCATGACTTGTTAACTCTCCAAGGCCTTCAAGCAGATGCCTGCCTGCCTGCAGATTCCTTCCTCCCTCCCTCCCTTCCCCTCCCTCCCTTCCCCTCCCTCCCTCCTCTCCCTCCGTCTCCCCTCTCTCCGTCTCCCCTCTCTCCGTCTCCCCTCTCTCCGTCTCCCCTCTCTCCGTCTCCCCTCTCTCCGTCTCCCCTCTCTCCGTCTCCCCTCTCTCCGTCTCCCCTCTCCTCCCCTCTCTCCCTCTCCCCTCTCTCCCTCTCCCCTCTCTCCCTCTCCCCTCTCTCCCTCTCCCCTCTCTCCCTCTCCCCTCTCTCCCTCTCCCCTCTCTCCCTCTCCCCTCTCTCCCTCTCCCCTCTCTCCCTCTCCCCTCTCTCCCTCTCCCCTCTCTCCCTCTCCCCTCTCTCCCTCTCCCCTCTCTCCCTCTCCTCTCTCCCCCTCCCCCCCCTTTCTCCCTCAGGCTGAAGTGCAATGGCGTGATCATAGCTAACGGCAGCCTTGATCTCTTAGGTTCAAGCGATCCTCTGGCTTAAGCCTCTCAAAGTGCTGGGATTATAGGAATGGGCCGCCATGCTTGGACAGCAAAACTTTTAAAATTTTCATTTTAAATTATGTTTTCTTAAGTGTTTTTACTTAATCCTTAGTGTGAAAGTCTCCTATTACTGAAAGACTAATTCATTCCTGTCTTTGTAGTTTTGACTTTCATTAATCTAATGGATTTGAGGATCCACATCTAAAACTTTAAGAATTAATGTACATTATGTAATGTCATTTGCCTTGCAAACAGTTGTTTTTTTTTTTCCCCCCCTGAGGTCAGACTAATTTATTGACAGTTTTGTTGTGCTTGACAAGTAACAGGTGCTAACATCTTTTTCAGTCTTGTCACAGGGACTAGAGGGTCTAGGTCACCATGTTCATTAATGTAGTCCAGGAAATTTTATTTCTCCTGTGGCTAATCATTTACATTTGACATGAATCTGTCATCTGTGCCTCTAGTCTCTCTGCTTCCACCTTTGTCTTCTATAGTGTGTTGTTCTCATAATAGTCATACTTTTAAAATATAATTCAGATTATTTCTTTGCTCTGTATATTTTACAGGCTTTCCTTATAACTCAAAGTGAAACCCAAAGGCCTGTAAGAACCCACATGATCTAAACTCATGCTGCCTATTTGATTTCACCTCTTACCTTGTTTCCCAGCCCCTCCACTCTGTTATGACCATAGAAGTTGCCTTGTTTTTCCTGACACTCCAAAATGCTCTTGCCTCATGGCATTTGCACTTTTCATTTCCTCCTCTAGAATGCTTCTTCCCTAGATATACACATGGATTGCTGTTTCCCTTCTGTTAGGTCTCTACTCAAGTATCATTGGAGAGAGGCCTTTCCTGAACATACATTGCAAATACTTGCAGTGTCCCTCCTGTCACTCTTTATCCAAGTTCTGAGCTAGGTGCTGAGCAGATAAAAAGGATATTAAGGTTCCTGCTCTGGACAAAGTCAGTGATGTGAGAGAAAAAGGCTTGTATGCAGTGCAGTTAATTGGGAAATGTGTTAAGCCCCTAAAGTGGTGCCCCAAACACTAGATGCTTGTACATGATAATGAACTGTGGAGGTTTATTCCAAGTACAGGCTGAGTGCAGAGATGCATGGGGTTGATATTGTCTAGATCCATAGAGAAGACTCCACAGAGGAAAACATCTTTGAATTAGGCCTTAAAAAGTAAGTGAAAAAAGGAATGCATGGTCTGGGTAAAAGGAAGAGTATACACAATGACTAAATTTATTAAGATTGAAACTTAAATGTATTGCCTGGAAAAATGCTTAATTCTCCTCCCTAGTGGCTTAAAAAAATAGTTAGAAAACATGTCATTTACAATATGAATAGATTGTTCCAATAACATTGTATTATGACTTTTCAGGATGGAATAGTTATGGACCAGGAATTGGAGGCAGTAAATTACCTAATGTGATGTTGATATGCGAGACACTTATAAATGGTAGTGAATTATAGAGGTCCATTTCAAGTGCAGTGGGATAGCAAACAAGAGGTTGTTTTCTGCCCATTTGCCTCCTTTACTAGACCCTTGAACCTATTTTCTGCCTAAAGAGTAAATGAAACTAGAAATAGAGATATGGGAGAGACTGTAATGAGTATTTAGATATACGTGTTACAGAATTGTTACAACTTTTGCTGCAGGTTACTGTTTTGAGGACAAACTATGAGTTTTTAAAAAATATAAATTTACTCTGAAAATTTAGCTCAAATTCATTTGTTAATGAATTTGTTCCTGCATTTGGCAATGAGCTAAATCCATTGTATTCTGACCTTCTCATAGTAACTTAGCATCCTAATATCAGGTGCTGTATTAAAATGTGAAGAAGACAAGATGCTCTTTTTAATTAAATGTGATTGATAAAGCTAGAAAGACAGGAATGCAACTGAAGTTGGATGAGTCTCTTAGGTACAAGGTAATAGATTTATACTCTTTAACAGCTGGTTTGATTGCATCAGATCTAAAGATTTTATTTGAAGAAAAAGCCTAAGGAAGAACTGCTATCTGTGAAAGTACAAAGTAATGCCTGTATTGAAAATGAACAATCTGCTGATACTAGAAACTTCTTTATTTTTAAAGCCTGTATAATTTTCTTGGTCATCAGAACCTTGGCATATAAAAATTTCAGAAATCTCATGGCTTTAATTAAGGCAACATGCATTCTCTGTAATGAAAGTAGGAAGAGGATGTAGGAGAATGTTTCAGGTTCTGTTTTCTGCCTCTCTGTTACGGGAAGCAGTGTGATTCAGTACAATTGTTCTCCCTTGCCAGTTGGTGAACCTGTGCTATTCTGTGTTGAAAATATTGGTATGAGGCTTTTTTCCCCAGAAGGCTTTTTTCTTAATTTCAGGTATTTTTTTCATGTTAATATCATTTTTAAAAAAATAATACTGATGGTAAATAGTAGGGCTTTGAAAAAATATCTCATTTCTTGGGAAATAAAATATTTATGGGCCCATGAAGCCTGCCGGTTGGTTGGTTTGTTTTTGGTATATGTGTATGTGCATGTGTATCTGTGTATCGTACTGATCTGTGAAATCTAAATGTCTGAAAACTACTGATTATGTAGAAGGATCATGGGCTTTGGATTCAGCAAACCTGGTTTAAATTCTTTCTCTGCTTTGTTCTTATCTTCGTCATCTTTAAAATGGGGATGTGAATGCTTATCTCCTAGGGTGGTTGTGAGAATTGACTAAGATAATGGATATATAATGGTTTAGTGCCGGCTGTATAATAGAAGCTGAATAAATGTATTTCTTCCTTTTTCTTATAAGTTGTTGGGGATAGAGAGAATTTCAGGTGAAGTTACAAGTGCAGTTGACCCTTGAACAATACCGGGTCTAGGGGTACCAGCCCCTGTGCAGTGACAAATCAGCATATGACTTTTGACTCCCCGAGACCTTTATTACTAGTTGCCTACTGTTACCCAGAAGCCTTACCAATAACAGTCAACACATATTTTATATATTATATGCATTATGTACTATATTTTAGCAATAGAGTAAGTTAGAGAAAAGAAAATGTTATTAAGAAAATCATAAGGAAGAGAAAATATATTATTTCTTCATAAAGTGAAAGTAGAAGCAGATCTTCATAAAGATCTTCATCCTCATCATCTTCATGTTGAATAGGAGGAAGAAGAGAAAGGGTTGCTCTTGCCATCTCAGGGGTGGCAGAGGGAGAATAGACGGAGGAGGTGGAAGGAGAGGCAGGTGCACTTCATATAACTTTTATGGAAAAAATAAACTCACGTATAAATGGACCCCTGCAGTGCACACCTATGTTCTGTGGGCTTTTAAATCATCTTCTGAAAATATGCTGCTAGTTACAGCATGGTCTTTTTTAAAATGAGAAACCAGAAGTTTTTCTCCCTCATGTTAATGATGGTCCAATTTTCATCCCATTTAAATTGGTTATTTTCGCCACTTTTTGACTGATTGTAATATATGTTGACCTCATTTGATTTTAAAGTACAAGAAAATATGAAAATTATAAGCATGCCCCTTAAGTAGATTCATTGACCTATTTAAATTTGTGAAATCTTTTTTGCTATAAATAGATAAGTACAATAATTTATAGATAGCTTTATGAGTGTGGGTATTTTGTTTCCAGTTATACAGAAGTTGCATAATAGCTACCCACTCAGGTATTTTGGATTGGCATGGTAATGACTGTTTAATAAGACTGCAGTACAAGAAAATATGAAAATTACAAGCATGCACCTTAAGTAGTTTCATTGACCTATTTAAATTTATGAAATCTTTTTTGCTATAAACAGATGAGTACAATAATTTATAGATAGCTTTGTGAGTGTGGGTATTTTGTTTCCAGTTACACAGAAGTTGCATAATAGCTGCCCACTCAGGTATTTTAGATTGGCATGGCAGTGACTGTTTAATAAGACTGCTACTACATAGTAGCACATATAGATAAGTGATATATCTATATATGTACATAAATAGATTTTCTCTTTTTATCATTTATCATTCTCTATAACTGAGCTTACCAATTTAGAAATAATTTGGTTGAAAACGTTAAATTGTAGAAAACACTATAATTAGCAACAAAGGTGTGTACTTTTCTATCCAGAGGGACAGTTTGTATACTGTTTGGTCAATTTTGTGAGATTAAGTTGAGAAACCTAAGTGTTTTAGAGACATAGTGGTAAATGTCTCCATCAGTGTTGGGTTATCGCACAGAACACCTTCTAGGGTCTACTTCAGAGTAGTAGTTTTGGAACTATTTTAGATACAACACCTTTTTAAAAAATTATCAGATATTCAGAGCCCTAATATGTATCTGACAAAAATGGAGCAACTCTTGTTGGGTGAATGGGAGTGAAGGAGCCAGGCATTGTTAAGAATTTGTCCTGCTTATACTCCTCTCTCAGTTTCTAGAAACCTCTCTGCCACCTGTGGGGCTCCTTACCACTTCTTTAGAGGTTCAGATAAGAAGAGTCTTGACTTAAAGACTAAGCTAAAGGAAATACTAATTATTTTACCAGAGTGAGTAATTTTTAGATAATTCAGCATTAGATATATACAAATAACTTTTAATATCAAAAGATAGAATGTATTTCTTAGTGTCTAGTAGCTGGATCTTAGATTTTTAAAAGCATCTTTGTAATTAAAAAAAGTATTGGCGTTTTCTTCTTGAAAATGTCTTATAATTTAAAAAAAGATAAACCAGGGCCAGGCATGGTAGCTCACTCCTGTACTTCCAGCACTTTGGGAGGCCGAGGCAGGTGGATCACCCGAGGTCAGGAGTTGGAGACTAGCCTGGCCAACATGGTGAAACCCCACCTCTACTTAAAAAAAAAAAAAAAAAAAAGCCAGGCTTGGTGGCGGATGCCTGTAATCCCAGCTACTCAGGAGGCTGAGGCAGGGAATCACTTGCACCCGGGAAGTAGAGGTTTCGGTGAGCCAAGATTGCACCATCGCGCTCCAGCCTGGGCAACAATAGCAACACTCTGTCTCCAAAAAAATAAAAATAAAATAAAATAAACCAAAAACTCAACACAAGGAAACTATCTTGATGATTTTGTGAATAGTTTATAGTATATAGGGTTAATTTTATGGTATGGCATTATTGAATTAGTCAGAGATTATTCTTTTATTATAAAGCACTAAGTTATGTCTTCTTAAACCACTTTTTGTTTAGAATACTTTCTATGCTTTTGAGTAAAGATGAAATTATATGTCTTTTTTAATTTTTTAAATTGAATGATGTTCAAGGGAAAAGCTACCCAGTTTCCATTTGTGTGAAATTTATGTATATTTTTGGTTTTGTCTTGTATATGAGTAAATAAACGTAGTTTCTACCCTTTTTCTACCCTTTCCCATTGAAGTTACAGGTTTATCTACAAAGGGGTGATGGAAATACTTTGTGTAACTATTTTCCTTAGTCAATATAACACTCTGAGGCCAGGCCTGGTGGCTCACGTCTGTAATCCCAGCATTTTGGGAAGCTAAGGAGGGCGGATCACCTGACGTCAGGAGTTCTGGACTAGCTCTGCAAACATGGTAAAACCCTGCCTCTACTAAGAATACAAAAGAAAATTAGCTGGGTATGGTGGCGCACGCCTATAATCCCAGCTACCCAGGAGGCTGAGGCAGGAGAACTGCTTGAACCCAGGAGGAGGAGTTTGCAGTGAGCCGAGATTGGGCCACTGCACTCCAGCCTGGGCAACACAGTGAAACTCGGTCTCAAAAAAAATAAAAATAAAATAAAAAACCACTCTGGATTAATTTCTATTTTGTATTTCTGGTTAATTTTTCCCCTACCTCCAAATAAGTGGGGGTAATTGACAGTTGTTCACACAAAGGTTAGGTAATTCTATAATTAATTTTTCATTGGTTTAGAGAAGTCTTCTCAGTGAGCATGCCTTTGTTGTCAAATGTTCATGCCATTACTGCTAATGAAATAAAAATGTTAAGCAAGAACAGTAACTGTCTATTTTAGTAACTGTCTATTTTCAGTTACTTTTTAAAACCCTAATTATAAAAGCCAACTTGTAGTTTACAAATGACCACATGTATCTTTATTTCAAGGAAATTCTGGATTACTTCATGTATTTACTCATAATAATATCTGAAATAGTAAAAAGAGTGTGGATCTGGGTATCACCACTTAACTAAGAGTTAGTTGCAAAATTTTGGGGGAAAAATTTATAATGTTCTTAGGGGGGTTGTGTTGCACAGCTCAAATATGATATTTTATGTACTGCCACTTAATAAGCTATAATGTGCCCTTGGCAAGGAGGATGAAGAGGAGGTATAGCCTGAGCCCTGGAATTTGTCTGAAGTCCTTGCAGACTAAAGTACCCATGAAGACTTGGATTTACACAGAATGAATCATGGCCAAGACATGAAAAGTCAGTGATAAAGTCAGTATTGATCTCAGTCTGTAGCTTACAGCTTTTCTAATTTTTTAAACTTATTTAAGTAAAGTGTATATCCCTCTCAAGTTTCTGACATATCCTTATGCTGTTGAGGCCTGAAGAGAATCTCTGAGACTAAGATGAGAATTGTCATTGAGCAATGAAAAGGAATTAAAATGAGAAAAGTCTGAATTATCTGGTTCCATTGATGAGGGAGTGCCTATGGTGAAAAGCATACCTCAGGCTATTTAAAATATCCCCTTAATCGAGTTCTCCTGGCTTTCATGCTTTGCTTGAAACACAGCTCTGATAATGCATATTTTTGGTAATTGTATTTAAGGAGTATTTTTGGTAATTGTAATTTCTTATTACAAATTAATAGCCACTCACATACATCTTATGTACTTGGTGTATTAGTCTGCTAGGGCTGCCAAAACAAAATATCACAGGGTGGGTAGTTTGAAAAACAGACATTTATTTCTCACAGTTCTGGAAGAAAGTTTAAAATCAAGGTCTTGGCAAATTTGGTTTCTGGTGAGGGCTGTCTTTCTAGCTTGTAGATGCCTGTCTGCCTTGTCTTCACATGATCTTTCCTAAGGGTGTGTGTGTGTGTGGGTGTATCTGTGTGTGTGTTTGTGCGCACACACACGCGTGTGCACAGGGCTGGTAGAGAGTGAGCTCTCTGGTGTCTCTTATTGTTTCTTTTTCTTTTTTCTTACCTTGTTATTTTCTAATCTAGTCTTCAGAGAGATGGTGTCTCTTCTTATAAAGGCACTCATCCTAACAGATCAGTGCTGTACCCTTGTGACCTAATTTAACCTTAAATACTTCCTTAGAGGCCCCATCTCCAAATGCAACTACACTGCTGTTTAGGGCTATAACATGAATTTTGGGGTATACAAGAATTCAGTTAATAATACTTGATTACCCTTTATCTGCCCCTGAGAGGGTGGTTCATCTTACCCTTTTTTAGTCAAATCACATTTGGTAACATGAATTGAGGTGGGTCAGCTATGGTGGCAGACTCACTAAGAGTGTCATCCTCAACTATCCTGTATTGCTTGTGGCATACCTAGACATTCTATGGCCGAAAGAGCTTGCATGTTTAAATATTTCTATAGTTTTAGTCCTTGGCACATGGACTTGAGTCCATTTCTCTGTCAAATGGCGATAGTTGTTCCTCAGAGTTGTTACTGGTCATAATTTAAGGGAAAATATATTTTGAACCATAAGATGCAAAGATTGTTTTTTATAAAAATGTACAATGTTCCTTTTTCTATTATTTGTAGAGCTTAAGGACTTGAATCCAGATCTTCTAATTACAAGTATAAGACTCTAAGTAGCCAGACATACCCATTTTTTTCAGGATAATTGGAATTCTCCATAGACAAGCACTCTAGGGGAAGTTCTGGCAAGTTTTATTTGCACCATGTAATGCATTGAAATAAATTGTACCATCTAATAAATTGAAATGCTGTGCGTTTAGCCCTCAAGCTCTGTTAAGGGACAGACTGCCTCCTCAAGTGGGTCCCCGGCCCCCGTGCCTCCTGATGGGGTGACACCTCCCAGCAGGGGTTGACAGGCATCTCATACAGGAGAGCTCCAGCTGACATCTGGCGGGTGCTCCTCTGAGACGAAACTTCCAGAGGAAGGAACAGGCAGCAATCTTTGCTGTTTTGCAGCCTCCTCTGGTGATACCCAGGCAAACAGGGTCTGGAGTGGACCTCCAGCAAACTCCAGCAGACTTGCAGCAGAGGGGCCTGACTGTTAGAAAGAAAACTAACAAACAGAGAAAGGAATAGAATCAACATCAACAAAACGGACATCCACACAAAAACCCCATCCGAAGGTCACCAACATCAAAGACCAAAGGTAGATAAATCCATGAAGATGAGGAAAAAAACCAATGCAGAAAGGCTGAAAATTCCCTAAACCAGAATGCCCATTCTCCTCCAAAGGATCACAGTTCCTCACCAGCAAGGGAACATAACTGGTTGGAGAATGAGTTTGACGAATTGACAGAAGTGGGCTTCAGAAAATGGGTTATAACAAACTTCTCCGAGCTAAAGGAGCATGTTCTAATCCAATGCAGGGAAGCTAAGAACCTTGAAAAAAGGTTGCAGGAATTGCTAATTAAAATAACCAGTTTAGAGAAGAACATAAATGAGCTGATGGAGCTGAAAAACACAGCACAAGAACTTCATGCAGCCTACACAAGTGTCAATAGCTGAATCAAGCAGAAGTAAGGATATCAGATTGAATATCAACTTAATGAAGTAAAGCATGAAGGCAAGAATAGAGAAAAAAGAATGAAAAGGAATGAACAAAGCCTCCAGGAAATATGGGACTATGTGAAAAGACCAAACCTGTGTTTGATTGGTGTACCTGAAAGTGATGGGGAGAATGGAACCAAGTTGGAAAACACTCTTCAGGATGTTATCCAGAAGGACTTCCCCAACCTAGCAAGACAGGACAACATTCAAATTCAGGAAATACAGAGAACACCACAAAGATACTCCTCGAGAAGAGCAACCCCAAGACACATAATCATCAGATTCACCAAGGTGGACATGACGGAAAAAATGTTAAGGGCAGCCAGAGAGACAGGTCAGGGAAGCCCATCAGACTAACAGCGGATCTCTCGGCAGAAACCCTACAAGCCAGAAGAGAGTGGGGGCCAATATTCAACACTCTTAAAGAAAAGAATTTTCAACCCAGAATTTCCTATCCAACCTAGCTAAATTCCATAAGTGAAGGAGAAATAAAATCCTTTACAGACAACCAGATACTAAGGGATTTTGTTACCACCAGGGCTGCCTTACAAGAGCTCCTGAAGGAAACACTAAATATGGAAAGGAAAAACTGGTACCAGCCACTGCAAAAACATACAAAATTGTAAAGACCATCGACACTATGAAGAAACTGCATCAACTAACAGGCAAAATAACCAGCTACTGTCATAATAACAGGATCAAATTCACATGAAACAATAATTAAACTTAAATGTAAATGGACTAAATGCCCCAATTAAAAGACACACACTGGTAAATTGGATAGAGTCAAGACCCATTGGTGTGCTGTATTCAGGAGACCCATCTCGTGTGCAAAGACACACATAGGCTCAAAACAAATGGATGGAGGAATATTTACAAAGAAAATGGAAAGCAAAAAAAAAAAAAAAAGGGATTGCAGTCCTAGTGTCAGATAAAACAGACTTTAAAGCAACAAAGATCAAAAAAGACAAAGAAGGGCATTACATAATGATAAAGGGATCAGTGCAACAAGAAGAGCTAACTTTCTTAAATATATATGCACGCAATACAGGAGCACCCAGATTCATAAAGCAAGTTCTTAGAGACCTATGAAGAGACTTAGACTCACACACAATAATAGTGGGAGACTTTAACACCACACTTTCGATATTAGATCAATGGGACAAAAAATTAATAAGGATACTTAGGACTTGAACTCAGCGCTGGACCAAGCAGACCTAATAGACATCTACAGAACTCTCCACCCCAATCAACAGAGTATATATTCTTCTCAGCACTGCATCCCGCACTTATTCTAAAATTGACCACATAATTGGAAGTAAAACAGTCCTCAGCAAATGCAAAAGAATGGAAATCATAACAGACTCTCAGACCACAGTGCAATCAAATTAGAACTCAAGATTAAGAAACTCACTCAAAACCACACAAATACATGGAAACTGAACAACCTGCTGCTGAATGACTACTGGGTAAATAACGAAATGAAGGCAGAAATAAAAAGTTCTTTGAAACCAATGAGAACAAAGACACAATGTACCAGAATCTCTGGGACACAGCTAAAGCAGTGTGTAGAGGGAAATTTATAGCACTAACTGCCCACAGGAGAAAGCGGGAAAGATCTAAAATTGACACCTTACCATCACAGTTAAAAGAACCAGAGAAGCAGGAGCAAACAAATTCAAAAGCTAGCAGAAGACAAGAAATAACTAAGATCAGAGTAGAACGAAAGGAGATAGAGACATGAAAAACCAATTCAAAAAATAAATTCATTCAAAAAAAAATCAATGAATCCAGGAGCTGTTTTTCTGAAAAGAATTAACAAAATAGACCTCTAGCCACACTAATAAAGAAGAAAAGAGAGAAGAATTAAATAGACACAATAAAAAATGATAAAGGGGATATCACCACTGATCCCACAGAAATACAAACTACCATCAGAGAATACTATAAACACCTCTATACAAATAAACTAGAAAATCTGGAAGAAATGGATACATTCCTGTACACATACACCTCCCAAGACTAAACCAGGAATAAGATGAATCTCTGAATAGACCAATAACAAGTTCTGAAATTGAGTCAATAATTAATGGGCTACCAACCAAAAAAAAGCCCAGGACCACACAGATTCATAGCTGAATTCTACCAGAGATACAAAGAGGAGTTTCCTTCGGAAACTATTCTGAACAATAGAAAAAGAGGGACTCCTCCCTAATTCATTTAAGAGGCCAGCATTATCCTGATACCAAAACCTGGCAGAGACACAACAAAAAAAGAAAATGTCAGGCCAACATCCCTGATGAACATTGATGTGAAAATCCCAATAAAATACTGGCAAACTGAATCCAGCAGCATATCAAATAGCTTATCCACCATGATCAAGTCAGCTTCATCCCTGGGATGCAAGGCTGGTTCAACATATGCAAATGAATAAACGTGATCCATTGCGTAAACAGAACCAATGACAAAAACCACATTATTATCTCAATAGATGTAGAAAAGGCCTTCGATAAAATTCAGCACCTCTTCATGCTAAAAACACTCAATAAACTAGGTACTGATGGGACGTATCTCAAAATAATAAGAGCTATTTATGACATACCCACAGCCAATATCATACTGAATGGGCAAAAGCTGGAAGTATTTTCTTTGAAAACCGGCAGAAGACAGCGATGCCCTCTCTCACCACCCCTATTCATCATAGTATGGGAAGCCCTGGCCAGGGCAATCAGGGAAGAGAAAAAAATAAAGGGTATTCAAATAGGAAGAGAGGAAGTAAAATTGTCTCTTTTTGCAGATGACATGATTGTATATTTAGAAACCACATTGTCTCAGCCCAAAATCTCCTTAAGCTGATAAGCAACTTCAGCAAAGTCTCAGGATACAAAATCAGTGTGCACAAATCACAAGCATTCCTATACACCAATAATAGACAAACTGAGAGCCAAATCATGAGCAAACTCCCATTCACAATTGCTACAGAGAGAACAAAATATCTAGAAATACAACTTACAAGGGATGTGAAAGACCTCTTCAAGGGGAACTGCAAACAACTTCTCAAGGAAATGAGAGGACAGAAACAAATGAAAAACATTCTATGCTCATGCATAGGAAGAATCAATATCGTGAAAATGAAAATACTGCCCAA